>NC_000015.10:40549601-40852631 GCF_000001405.40 Homo sapiens | reverse complement strand
CACAGACACTTACTTGAGGGGATAGGCTTATTTCTATTTTCTACAATAGAAATACCTCAGACAGACTCGGCCTCCAGTTACAAGGGGTCCCGGGAGCCACGCCCTTCCTTGACTTGACAGTGCCTGTGTCTGAGGCTTCCCCACCTCAGGGTCAGGCATGGGGGTGGGTGACAAGCACAGTGCAGGATCGCTGCCTGTAGGGGGCTGAATGGTGGCCCCTCAAAGATATGTTCACATCTAACCCCTGGAACCCATAAACGTGACCTGATTTGGGAAAAGGGTCTTTGCAGAAGTAATTAGGATCTCCAGATGCGATCATCCTGGATTAGCTGGTTAGGCCCCAAATCCAACGACAAAGTATCTTTATAAGAAACAGAAGAGGAGAAGACAGAGTGAAGGAAGAGAAGGCCACGCGAAGACAGAGGCAGAGACTAGAGTGATGCAGCCACAGCCAAGGTACGCCTGGGGCCACCAGAAGCTGGAAAAGACAAGGAAGGATTCTCTCCTAGGGTCTTTGGAGGGAGCACAGCCCTGCTGACACCTTGATGTGGGGCTTCTGGCCTCCAGAACTCTGCAAGAATAATTTTTTTGTTTTGTTTTGTTTTGTTTTTGAGATGGAGTCTCACTCTTTCATCCAGGCTGGAGTGCAGTGGCACAATTTTGGCTCACTGCAACCTCCGCCTCCAGGGTTCAAGCGATTCTCCTGCCTCAGCCTCCCGAGTAGCTGGGATTACAGGTGTGCACAACCATGCCCGGCTAATTTTTGTATTTTTAGTAGAGATGGGGTTTCACCACATGGGCCTGGCTGGTCTTGAACTCCTGACCTCAAGTGATCCTTCTGCTTCAACCTCCCAAAGTGCTGGGATTACAGGCATGAGCCACCACACCTGGCCAAATTTGTTTTAAGCCAA
The DNA here is from genome assembly GCF_000001405.40 of Homo sapiens. NCBI lineage: Eukaryota > Metazoa > Chordata > Mammalia > Primates > Hominidae > Homo > Homo sapiens. The sequence goes on along the minus strand of NC_000015.10, from coordinate 40,851,720 downwards.
CCAGTTCATAGCCATCTGTTACAGCAGCTCTAGGAAATTAATACGTTGCCCTTCAGAGGATTAGTCCAGTTGGGCAGATAAGACCCCACGACATGAAGCAACACGTGGACTAAACAAGGCAGTGGACATTCAGAGAAAGGAGGCCATGGCAGGCTAGGGGGATAAGGCAAGGCTTTCTGGAGGAGGGAGAAAGGATTTTTTGATTTTTTTGTTTTTGTTCTTGTTTGGTTGTTGGGAGAATGTAGGGTGTTGTTGAAAATGGCAGAACACAGCTGGGCGCGGTGGCTCACGCCTATAATCCCAGCACTTTGGGCGGCCAAGGCGGGCAGACACAAGATCAGGAGATTGAGACCATCCTGGCTAACACAGTGAAACCCCCTCTCTACTAAAATACAAAAAATTAGCTGGGCATGGTGGCACATGTCTGTAATCCCAGCTACTCAGGAGGCTGAGGCAGGAGAATCGCTTGAACCTGGGAGGCGGAGGGTGCAGTGAGCCGAGATCGTGCCACTGCACTCCAGCCTGGCAACAGAGCAAGACTCCGTTTAAAAAAAAAAAAAAAGAAAAAAGAAAATGGCAGAACACATGAGAAACCAAAGCAAGGAGTTAGGAATTTGCAAGGCCAGTTCGCTGGGCTTGAGTTGATCTTAAAGCGTCCTGGAGGCCAGGCCAGGGTGTTTGGACACAGCAGGAGTAACATTCAAATATTAAACAACTGGTAGTACAGAAAGGGGACAGACACTGGCCGTGAGCAGTGGCGTAGAGTCCTGGAGGCCAGCTGCACCAGACATTGACCTCCTAGATACATGACAGAGGTCCAGGAGTTCAAAGGGAGGGGCCCAGGGCTTGGGCAGCAGGAGCACTCCTGAGCTCTGAGCAGCAGCTATTTTCCCATCTGTTTGGAAGCATTCTGTGGAGCGAGGAGGCTGGCAAGTATACCAGTGCAGCGGTCCAGGGCAGATGCAACAGGAGTGGCCCAAATGCCAGAGCAGCCAAGGGAATGGAGATAAAGATGTGAGAAACAACGCTGGGCTGATGCTTCTGGCTTCTCCCCTGCCAGTCTCTGGGAACTGGGAAGGAAAAGCCAGGGTACAGGCAGAAGGGAAACCGGATTTAGAGGGAACATATAGGTTAAGTCATAAGAGAAGTTAAATTTGGGAGAAGGCAGGCCACCCGAACCAGCAGACAATGACAGACAGGCAAGGGTTGGAAATAGAGGCACTGGCTGAGTGTATGCTGGGCAGCATGCTAGGTACTCTACCTGCATCAGCTATAGCTTAGCATCAGCTAAGCCTGCAGGCCAAATCCAGCCCACCATATCTTATATTTTGGAATGGATGAAAAAACAACAGCCGGGTGCGGTGGCTCACGCCTGTAATCCCAGCACTTTGGGAAGCGGGGCGGGTGGATCACCTGAGGTTGGGAGTTCAAGACCACCCTGACCAACATGGAGAAACTCCATCTCTACTAAAAATACAAAATTAGCCGGGTGTGGTGGCACATGCCTGTAATCCCAGCTGCTCGGGAGGCTGAGGCAGGAGAATTGCTTGAACTCAGGAGGCGGAGTTGTGGTGAGCCGGAGATCGCGCCATTGCACTCCAGCCTGGACAACAAGAGCGAAACTCCGTCTCAAAAAAAGAAAGAAAAGAAAAAGAAAAAACAAAAGGAGAATCCTTTGTAATGACATGTGAAAAGCACATGAAATTCAAATTTGTGTCCATCGATTGGAACACAGCCTTGCCCACACATTTACATGTTGAGTATGGCTGCTTTCATGTAACAACAGCAGAGCTGAGCAGTCGCAAGTGGGACCCTATGGCCCACAAAGCCTAATAATTTCTATTTAGATCTTTACAGAAAAAGTTTATTGACCCCTGGAGTCCATGATGTACCTTCAAAACCAGCCTGCTACACCTACATTCTCACCCTCTTTTCAGATGAGAAAGTTGACACCAGAAAGATTAAATGGCTTGCTCAGAGTCATTCAGTTTCTAAAGGCAGAGCTGGGATTTGAACCAAGGTCTGTCAGACTCCACAGCAAATGCTCTCTCCAAAACGTAATTCTATAGGTTATCCACCCCCTCAGAGGTTGTGATTTTAATTGCTTTTATAATGTTGGGTTTTTAAATTTTGCTTTTCTAGTTTAGGTAATACATATATGACATAAAATTCAAAAGGTGGCTGGGTGTGGTGGCTCATACCTGTAATCCCAACACTTTGGGAAGCTGAGGCAGAAGGATGGCTTGAGCCAAGGAGTTTGAGACTAGCCTGGGCAACATAGTGAGACCTCGTATTTACAAAATAAAAAATTAGCTAGGTGTGATGGTGTGATGGCTACTTAGCTATTCATGAAGATGAGGTTGGGAGGATCGCTTGAGCCTGTGAGGTTGAGGCTGCAGCGAGCTGTGGTTACACCACTGAACTCCAGCCTGGGTGACAGAGTGAGACCCCATTTCTCTCTTTTTTTTTTTTCCTGAGACGGAGTGTTGCTCTGTTGCCCAGACTGGAGGGCAGTGGCGTGATCTTGGCTCACTGCAAGCTCCGCCTCCTGGGTTCACACCATTCTCCTGCCTCAGCCTCCCAAGTAGCTGGGACTACAGGTGCCCACCACCACACCCGGCTAATTTTTTGTATTTTTAGTAGAGACGGGGTTTCACCGTGTTAGCCAGGATGGTCTCAATCTCCCGACCTCGTGATCCGCCCGCCCCGGCCTCCCAAAGTTCTGGGATTACAGGCGTGACCCACCGCGCCCGGCCCGACCCCATTTCAAAAAAAAAAAAAACAGAAAAACCAAAACCAAAAGGTACAAAAGCCTAGTCAAAATTAAGTCACCTCTTCTCCTTAAGAAGGAACCTTCTCCATCAGGTTTATTACCCCAAAGGTATGTATGAGACAGAGAGAGAGAGAGAATATCAAGAGACAGTATTTGAATTCACAAGCATTTGAGTTCTTCATCTTGTTTTGCCCTTTATATATATTGGAAATCATTCCATAGTGACACATAAAGAGTTTCCTTTTGTTGTTGTTGTTGTATCATATTCATTGTATAAATGCACCACAATTTATAATTTATTTAAACAGTCCCTACCAGTTTCCTGATTTAGATTTTCTTTCTTTCTCTCCTAAGAACTAAACCATGCTACCTTAGGGTTTATTATTATTATGAAAACAGCATCACAGTATTCAATTATAGGATGTGTTGACAGACAATGCGATTGTTTCCAATTCTTCGTTATTATAAACAATACTACGGGGACTAACTGGCTGGTAAGTTGTTTTATCCGTGTGTAGGTACAGCTGCAAGATGAATTCCTACAAGTGGAATTGTGTCCAGGGCTGTGTGCATTTAGGTTTGATAGATATTGCCCAACTACCCTCCACAGAGGCTCTCTAGAGAGTTTTTTCAAGTGTTAGAGTGAATGCAAAGAAAGAAGAGAAGGTAAAGAGCTAAGAACAGCTGGTAGGAGGCCGAGTCTCAGGGATTCCTCTTTGATGAAGTAGAGAAAGCAGAGCCAATGGGGGACTCACAGAAGGTGGTTCTGGGGCTGAGAAGACCAGGATGCACAATGACAGCAAAAGGGATGGGAAGGGAGAGATTTCAGGAAGAAACATGTTGAATGTTTCAGAGGCCTACAAAAATAGTAAAAAGAGAACTGGGTTCCAGGGATTAGGGAAAATAAGACAGGGATGAGCAGGAACGAAAAGTGGCTGTCTGGAGGCAACCTCCCAGCCCAGGGGCTTGGCTGACAAACAGGAGAGTACCCTGAGAACACCTGCCAAGGGAGTAGCGAGCTGGGAGGAGCGCAGTCCTCCCTCCTTGCATTTTGTAGAAAGAAGACAGACTACTTAGCAGTCTGCCTAGCAGACAGACAGGCTAGCCCCACCAGGCCCCCAGAGTGGAAGTAGCATGCAGAGTGATGCATCAGACTTTGAGCTGAATCAGGGGCTGAATCCCACCCCAACACAACTCAGTCCTCTCCAAGCCCCAGCCCCCAGGACCAAGGAGCAGGTACCTTGCCTTACCACTCCCTTCCTCCCACCCGCAAGAGAGCAAAGGGCTAGAGTGGCAATAAAACCAGCCCCTCCCCCAGTTAGTTACCAGGTCTCAGGACCTCAGGGAAGTGCAGACTCCGCCTCCTAAGCCACTCCTTCATAGGACTGGGGAGGAGGAGAGGTGGGGGAAGAGAAGGGGAGAAGAGGAAGTGCAAGCTGCTCCGCCTCCAGCTGCAGGAATCTGTACTGGCCTGGCCTGGCCACAGGCAGAAGGAGGAACAAACAAACCCATTCTGGGGAGCATTTATCTATGCAATAGGAGAATCAAAGGTTTGGAAGCTCTCAGTGCCCGTGACCCACGTCACCCAACCCACCTCATCCACCCTAGCCCTTAATGGCTCTACCCTGTCATTACCCACCTCCAACCTCTCTAACTGGACCCAGGTGAGAATAAACCCCTTGACACACACACAGCTTTTTCCTCTTCCCAAAGCACTGCAGCACTCTAAGAATGGCCTAGAATGGCCTGGAGCTCATACTAAGTCCAAGCCCTACCTGCCTCCCTCAATGTCCCAGGAAATCCCCACTCCACCCTCTCTTGTGGCAAACAGGCAGGTCCTGGGGGTTTCCAGATGAGGATGGCTGGTCTCAAGACCATGGGGCCATAGTCCAGCTAAGCTCCCTGACCAGACTCCAGAATTTCACACTCTGGCTCTGGAGAGGGACTCCCATGGGGCCTCTGTGGAGCAGGAAGGGCATGAGCAACTCAGGTCAGTAAGAGTCATCACCACCTACACTTTCTGCTACTTCCTTGTGGAACAGGCTGCAGCCCTGGTTCAGTGGGACTTGGTGGCCCAGACTGGCCCTCAGATATGTCCCCCTCCCATCCACAGGAATCCCCATCTCGCCTCTCCTCAGAGACCCAGGAGAGCTACTGGAAGGATAGGGAGGAAAGAGGACCCTCCTTAGCCTGGCAGAGAGACTAGCCCAGGAAAAGTCTGCGGAGGAAAGCCCTTTCTCCACTTTCCAGAACGGAGACCACCCCCAGATGTGGCCCCAGCCCAGTTCTGGCCCCCAAACTCCCCAATCCCCGGTTCTGTTATCCACTGGGCTATTTTGGGTCAGAATGCTAGGTTTTTACCAGAGAGATGGTCTTGTGTGAAAAACAGCACAGGACTTTTTTTGGAGGTCTCCCCTGGGGTGAATCTCAGGCCTACCATTTATGGGCAGTGTTACCCTGGGCAAATTCTTTAACATGGGAGTCTTAGTTTCCTAATCTAAAAAGTGGGATGACTGCTAGTAGCACCCTTTTTGGAAGTTGTTGTGATGAGGCCTGAGTGAGAGGATGTGTGGCACAGCAATCAGTAAGCTGTAAAGTGCTCACAGAGGTTATGAGAGGTGACCTACCCCTGCCCTGGAGCCCCACCTGGCCAGAACAGCAGGTAGAGAGAAAGGGGGAACCAAGGCTCTGGACTGGCCCTGATCCCAGCAGACAGTTCAGTCCGGGGAAGAAAGAGGAGGAGCCCTGGCCTCCGCTTTGCCTTTATCTATGGAAGTAAACAAGGTTTGGCTACCAGATTCTAAGCAGGGAGAGCCCTGTCTGGCTCATGCGCATGCACACACACCTGCCTGGACAGCTGACATCCCTTCCCTACTAGGTATACATACCAACAGGCTGACTCACCCCACAACCCTCCTCATCCCCCACCCCAGAGCCTCTAGGCTTCTGTGCCTACAACATCACTTCTCTCCCTTTGGATCAACCGCAGACTGGGCTTGTTTTCTAGTCTCGGATCTGGCAGTCTTCCTGGACCACCAAAAGGCCAATGCATTCCTAGGGGGTAGAGAGATGCTAAGCAGTCCCAAGTCCAGCCAGTGGAGGAGACTATGGCCAGGCTCACCTGACAGGGCATCGGTGTGCCCAGACCAGTGCTTGGCCAAGGTGCCTTTCTAGTCACCAGACCATCCAGACAGCTCACTCCTTCAATCAGCCTATCAGTGCCAGAGGTCAGGAGTCCTGGGGACTTCCTCTCCCCTCCAGTACACACAGCCCAGAGCCAAAGGCCTCCCTGTGAGCACCAGCCCATCACCTCTGAACATCCTGAGTTCAGGAGCCAGAGCCTGGGCCCTGCCCTCCCTACTCATGTCCCCTTTCATTTGTTTACTGTTTGTACTGCCTACTACCGATGTGAAGGCGATCTGGCTGTGACATCTGTCACCCCATTGATCACCAGGCTTGATTCGGCTGTACTGCCTACTTCTAAGGAGGGCTTCAGGTAGAAATAATCCCAGCACTTTGGGAGGCCAAGGTGGGTGGATCACCTGAGTTCAGAAGTTCAAGACCAGCCTGGCCAACATAGTGAAACCCCGTCTGTACCAAAAAAAAAAAAAAAAAAAAAAAAAAAAAAATTAGCCGGGTCTGGTAGCGGGTGCCTGTAGTTCCAGCTACTCCGGAGGCTGAGACAGAAGAATCACTTGAACGTGGAAGACGGAGGTTGCAGTGAGCAACCAGAGATTGCGCCATTGCACTCCAGCCTGGGCGACAAGAGCGAGACTCCGTCGCAAAAAAAAAGAAAGAAAAAGAAAAAAAAAAGTGAACTCTCCTTAACTCCTCTCTGATGTTCGTCTCCCCTAGGACCCCATAACCAGTCCCTTTTTTGAGTCTCTCCAAACCCATCCATCTTGGCACCCTCCTCACCTCCAAAGCCCTGGGTCCGCAGCTGGCGGTAGGAGCGGTACACTTCCCTCGTGAGGTAGTTGATGAAGCCCTCCCTGGGCGCGAACTTGCACACGAAGTTCTGCTCGTAGAGGCAGTTGATGAGGAAGCAGGCGGCGATGGCGTCCTCCCCGCGGTCGGGCTGCAGCTCCACTAGCGCCAAGTTGCAGTTCTGGGTGGTGCAGCAGGCGCGCACGCAGTCCCAGCCCCGGCGCACGGTGGGGGACTCCAGGAAGGTAGCTCCGTTGCTGACCGAGGCGTTGGTGTCCAGCACGAAGCCAGGCACCCCGGCGGTAAAGCTGTTCAGGCAGTCGGCTCCCGCGGGCAGCCCAGGGGGCGCGGGCGGTGGCCCGGCCTGGGTGCCCTGGAGGCCGAGCGTGCACAGAAGCCACAAGGCGACGGCAGGGATGCCGGCCGGGGCGAGGCGGGCGCGGGCCATCGTCCTCGCAGGGGCCATCGCCTTCCTCCCCAGGGGGGTCACCTTCAGAGCGCGGGCCTCTGGGTTCCGAGGGTGCTGGTGACCTGAGAAGAAGGGAGGGGACAGAGGAGGAGACACACCTGATCAGCCCGGGAGACTTTGGAGGAGGCGGGCCGGCCGGGAGGAAGTGGCGGGGAGGAGGGACCGGAGCACCCCAGGATCGAAGAGGGCGCACGGGCCCGGCCCTCCCACGCGCCCTCCAGGGACCCGGCAGCCAGACAGACGGACAGGCGGACCGCTAGGGAGCTCAAGTACCCGGACACACGCACGAGCGCAGAACAAAGGGCCGGACATGCTCCAGCCCGCTCCGCCTGCGCCTCGGCCTTGCGCGCGGGGGCCCGGGTTACCTGCGCAGGTGAGTTGGGTGGGGCCGGGTCCGCCGAGGTTCCGGTCCCAGCTTCCTGCGCGGCTCGGGTCGCGGCTTCCGACCCGGTGCTCGGAGAGCTGGGGCTCGGCCGCCTTCTCCCCCTGGTTTCTGGTGAAACTGAGTCAGCGCCGTCGGGGCGGGGCCGACATTCACCCTTGCGCTGCCGGCCCCGCCCACGCCCGGTGCGCTGCGGCCGCCTCTAGCGCGGAGCTCCAGGCCCGGCCCGCCCCGCGGCCCCGCAGCCCCGGTGCCTCCCCGGCAGCCAGCTCCCCGGAGGGGCTCTCGGGCTCCACCCAGTCCAGCCTCGCGAGGGAGCCCCGCGCCCGAAGCGCATACCCAGCCGGGAGGGGATGCGGCCGGGACGCGAGGGTCCGGCCTCTGGGGCGGCGGCCTCCAGTCTTCCTTTCCGGCCGGGGCCTGCTTTCCCAGCCCCAGACCTGAGGCCCGATGCAAATGATCTTTCCGGCCCTCAGGAAATCATTTCCATTTCGTGGCGGGAAGGTAACCCAAAAGTTGCGTGGCTGCACCTGTGATAACAGGGATCCGGGATGTCTGCCTCACTGTCAGCTCCGGGAAGCCCTCCCTGCTGTCAGGGTGAGAAACGGAGGCGATTCCCCGCGTCCAGGCTCCCCTGCGTGCTCCACGGGGCTTCCCTGTTGTTCGAGGCCCCTCCTCATCTTGTATGTACAGTTCGGTCCATTCCCTGCTATGGCTCATTGGACTGTTGCCCCCTTCCCTGGAGCCCAGGCTTCCTCTCTTTCACAAAGGGGACGCTGCTGGCTACTTTCTTCCAGGGAAATGTCATCCTTGGAAGCCTGGAGGTTCCAGTTCACCAAGTAGCTGAGTTAATGCCCTTCACGAAACAGTGGACTCCTTGAAGCCAAGCTCATTGCTCCTCCTGAGTAAAAAACTCTTAAGAGACCATTCTCTACGGCAAGGGTCTGAACAGGTGAAAGACAGATGAAGGCAGGGCTGGAGGAAGGAATCACATAGCATGCTCTCTTAAAATACAGATTCCAAACCTTTTCCTGATGGCTTAACAACCCCCAAACCAATGGGAACATTCTTCCCAGTTTCTCATCCAGAGCAGCTTTGCCTAGCAGATCCTGTGGCCAACCCTTGGATTTTGCTGAACTGCAACATCCTCCAGCTGCTCACATGATGCGTGTTGGGGTGGGAATCTGGGGCCTGTCTCCCCTTCTCTGGATGTTTAGGGTTTATCCACAGACCCTGGCACACTGGTGGATATACAACAATGGTGGTATGCTGGGAATGAAGAAAATGATTGTGCAGTCACTGGGAAGAAAGGGTTTTGTTGTGATTTGATTTCCCCTTATGGCTAACACATTCAAGAATCTTTATTTATTTATTTATTTATTTTTTTTTTTTTTTTTTTGAGACGGAGTCTTGCTCTGTCACCCAGGCTGGAGTGCAATGGCACGATCTCGGCTCACTGCAACCTCTGCCTTCCAGATTCAGGAAATTCTGCCTCAGCCTCCCAAGTAGCTGGGCTTACAGGTGGGCACCACCACGCCGAGCTAATTTTTGTATTTTTAGTAGAAACGAGGTTTCACCTTTTTGGCCAGGCTGGTCTTGAACTCCTGACCTCAGGTGATCCACCCACCTCGGCCTCCCAAAGTGCTAGGATTATAGGCGTGAGCCACTGTGCCTGACCTCAAGAATCTTAATACAGGAAAATATTACCTTATGGTAATATTACATCACCATAAATTTATCATTACATCCATTATACACACCATTATAAAAACCAACATGAATTCAGCACTGACAATGCCCAAACTCTGTTCCTAAGCACTGCCCACATATTACCCTATACTCAAAACAAACCTAGGGAGGTAGTATTTTTAGCCCCATTTTACAAATGAGCAAACAGGCTCAGACAGGTAAACTGACTTGTCAGGTCATTCAGCATTGAAGCGGCAGAGTAGGGATTGGAGCCCAGGCAGGCCAATTCCATGGCTTCAGTGCTTAAACCCTGGGCTTTATGGCCTTTGCAATTCTGACTTCATCTGGAAGTTCTGCCCTCACCTCAGATTCAACTTGCTTAAACCCATAACTCACTTTCAAGTGGTGAGCACCCACCATTTGTTGAGATGCCCACTGTGTTCCCTCCAGGCACTTGACATAGGATTGCTAATGCTCAGGACAACTCTAAAAATTGCTTCCACTTTGCAGAAAGGTTCACTGACTCCATCAAGGTCAGGTAGTGAACGAAGAGTGGTGACAGGTTGTAGAGAAGTTGAACTTGTGAGCTTCAGACTCAGACTACTGGATTTAGCTCTTGCATCTGCCACTTACTATTCGTGTGGCCTTGTGCAAGTTATTTGATCTCTCTGCCTTAGTCTCCTTGAATGGGAAGTGGGGCTTCATAAGGTTTTTTATGAGGATTAATTGAGTTAATGCAGACAAAGCATTTGACACAAAGAGTTCTCAATAAATGTTACTTGAAACGACAACAACAACAACAACAAAAACACATGGTGGTGAGGATGCAGAGAAAAGGGAACGCTTATACATTGTTGGTGGGAATGTAAATCAGTTCAGCCACTGTGGAAAGCAGCTTGGAGATTTCTCAAAAACTTAGAACTACCATTCAACTCAGCAATCCTATTACTGGGTATATACCCAAAGGAAAATATATTGTTTTTCCAAAAAGACACATGCACTTGTACGTTCATCACAGCACTATTCACAATAGCAAAGACATGGAATCAACCTAGATGCCCATCAATGATGGATTGCATAAAGATAATGTACTTCATACGTACCATGGAATACTATGCAGCCATAAAATTAACAAAATCATGTCCTTTCCAGCAATACGAATGCAGCTGGAGGCCATTATCCTAAGCAAATTAAGGCAGGAACAGAAAACCAAATACCACATATTCTCACTTATAAATGGGAGCTAAGCATTGAGTACACATGGACATAATGATGGAACAATAGACACTGAGGACTACCAGAAGAGAGAAGGAGGGAGGGGAGCGTGGGGAGCGTGGGCTGAAAAACAACCTTTTAGGTAATATGCTCACTACCTGGGTGACAGGCTCATCTGTACCCCAAACCCTATACCCATGTAACAAACCTGCATGTGTACCCACTGAATCTAAAATAAAAGTTGAGGCCAGGTGCAATGGCTCATGTCTGTAATCCAAGCACTATGGGAGGCTGAGGCAGGAGGATTGCTTGAGCCCAGGAGTTCAAGACCAGCCTGGGCAACATGGCAAGACCCCGTCTCTATAAAAAAAAATACAAAAAATTAGCCAGGCATAGTGGCGCATGCCTGTAGTACCAGCTACTCAGGAGGTTGAGGTGGGGGGATTGCTTGAGCCAGGGAGGTCAAGGTGGCAGTGAGCTATGATCATGCCACTGCACTCCAGCATGGGTGAAAGAACTAGACCCTGTCTCAAAAATAAGTAAACAAAATAAAAGTCGAAATGATTCTTTTAAAAAAGTGACAGAGCCAGGATTGTATCTGAAGTCTTTTTGACATTAAAAGCCATACTTTCCATACTACCTTATGCTGCTTCTTACATACTAATAAGAAAAACTACATGTGAAGAGAAGAAAGACTATAAGGTATGCCATCAAAGTAGGGAAAGTGATGGTATTTGAATGGTGAGACTGTAGGATAACATTTCTTCTTTCTAGTTTTAAAAATATTTTCCAAGATCCCTTCAGTGAACATGGGATGCTTCCATAATGAAGAGAGAGACACACCGTGATGACCTCCACATACCATATTTGATGACAGTCTTCCTTGGTAATCACTCACATCCATCTCTTGTCTGTTCCCACTGCTGCCCTTAATCTAGGCTCTGTGCCAGCTTCCTGATGGAACTCCAGGCCACCCTGCACACTGCCATGTGGTTCCCTCCTCCAGCCCTGCCTTCATCTGTCCCTCACCTGTTCAGACCCTCAGTCATCCCCAAGAACTTCTCTGGCAGAGTGTACAGAGCCAACTGTTCCCTGGACCGACTCATGAAGTTCAGTATTTGCTTAGGCAGAGAGTGTCAGAGCTGTCAGAGGAGAGTCAGCTAAAACCCTTCCCCTGGCTGGGCACCGTGGCTTACGCTTGTAGTCCCAACACTTTGGGAGGCCAAGGCAAGAGGATTGCTTGAGGTCAGGAGTTCGAGACCAGCCTGGGCAACATAGTGTCTGAAAAAATAAATTTTAAAAAACAACCCAGCCAGGCACGGTGGCTCACGCCTGTAATCCCAGCACTTTGAGAGGCCAAGGTGGGTGGATCACGAGGTCAAGAGATTGAGACCAGCTTGGTCAACATGGTGAAACCCCGTCTCTACTAAAAATACAAAAATTAGCTGGCTATGGTGGCAGGCGCCTGTAGTCCCAGCTACTCGGGAGGCTGAGTCAGGAGAATCGCTTGAATCCGGGAGGCGGAGATTGCAGTGAGCCGAGATCGCACCACTGCACTCCAGCCTGGCGACAGTGCGAGACTCCAGCTCAAAAAATAAAATAAAATAAAATAAAAAATAAAAAAACTCTTCCCCTTACATACAGCAAACTGAGGCCCAGAGATTTGGCCTTGGTTTGTTCATAGACACAGGGCCAGCTCCAGACCTCAGGTCTCTTGACTGCCAATCTTAGGCCCTTTCCTTGATTTGAGCTGCCTTCCTGCAAAGTATTTGCAAATGATATTGTTTTTTAATTCTATACTGTGGGCCCAAGGGGAGTTCACTCTTCTCTTTTCTTTTCTTTTCAAGATGGAGTCTCACTCTGTCACCCAGGCTGGAGTGCAGTGGCATGATCTCAGCTCACTGCAACCTCCGCCTCCCAGGTTCAAGTGATTCTCTTGCCTCAGCCTCCCAAGTAGTTAGGACTGCAGGCACCTGCCACCATGTCTGGCTATTTTTTTTATTTTTTGGTGGAGATGGGGTTTCACCATGTTGCCCAGGCTGGTCTTAAACTCCTGACCTCAAATGATCCACCCACCTCGGCCTCCCAGAGTATTGGGATTATAGGCATAAGCCACCGTGCCCGGCCAAGGCTATGTAGCTCTTTTCTTAGGCCACGTAGCTCACTCTTTTCTTAGGCTGTGTAGTTCACTTTCCCAGTGCAAACTTTGGGAAAAGCTCTGTGCCACAGGCTCCATTCCTGTTTGCCACATCACAAATACCAATCATTGCTCTAAGGAGTGGATGATTTGATGAGAATATTCAGTTCTTACACCACTACTAGAGGAGGAACACTGACTGCCTTGTCGTGGATGTGGTCTGGCAGTTTCTGTAGGTAGGAGTGGTGGATTGTCTCCAAATGTGGCCACCGACAGTGCCTCCCATTCCTGTGTGTGCATGCTGCTTCTCCCACTAGAAGGTGTCTTTTACTTTCCTTCTCTTTGCATCTGGAACTTGTTTTGACCAGTTGGACCTAGCAGAAGTGGGGCCCTGTGACTTCCAGGCCTTATGAAATCTTGTAGCATTGTTTTTCCCTTTTAGAGCCAGCTGTGATGTAAAGAAGTTTGTGCTGCATGAGAGAGATAGCACCTGAAGAAAATGAGGCCCTGGAGGATGAGAGACTCTAAAGGAAAAGGGAAGGGCCTGCTGTCTTCCAGCCACGCCAGCCCCCAACTGAGAAGCTGGGTGAAGCCATCTTGCATCTTTAGCCCCAGTCAAGTTACCTCAGCAAAGACTAGCTGACCCTGCCAAGCCCTGCCCAAGTTACAGAATCATGAGCAAATAAATGGCTGTTTCTGTTTTAAGCTTTTAAATTTTGGGGGTGGTTTATGTGTCAATAATAACTGAAACAGATAATATATACAGAATAAACTTTAGTTTTAATAATCTAAGTAAAAGCCCACTAATTCATTATGCAGAAAAAAATGATTTTTTTGAGACGGGGTCTCGCTCTGTTGCCAGGCTGGAGTGCTGTGGCACAACCATAGCTCACTGCAGCCTCCACCTCCCTGGTTCAAGCGATCTTCCCACCTCAGCCTCCCGAGTAGTTGAGACCACAGGTATGTGCCACAACACCTGACTAATTTTGTAAATTTTTTGTAGAGATGGGGTCCTGCCATATTGCTGAGGCTGGTCTCTAACTTCTGGGCTCAAGCCATCCTCCTGCCTCAGCCTCCCAAAGTATTAGGATTACAGGTGTGAGCCACTGTGCCCAGCCAATTTAACTTCTATTTTAAAAAGACAGCCCCTCACAGATACTGCTACAGCTCTGTTAAATCAAATTTAGCCTCCTTACATATTTTGAGTTTGACGTAAAGGTTTCTCTGTACATAGTGAACTGTCACCTAAATGGAGGTGTAAACAGCCTGTAATCTACCCTTGTGCCAAACACCAAGTTTTGGCCAATCAAAAGGGGCCAACTGTTCAAACCCTCTTCAAATAAGGCAAACACTGAGCTGTAACCAATCTGGCTGTTTCTGTCCCTCATTTCCATTTTCTGTACATCACTTTCCTTATGCTGCCCATAAATCTCTGAGCCTACTCTGGCTCAGAATGCTGCCCAATTTACCAATCGTACTTTGCTAAATTGAACTCTTAAATTTAATTTGACTATGGATTTTTTTTTTTGAGACAGAAATTTGCTCTTGTCGCCCAGGCTGGAGTGCAATGGTGCAATCTCAGCTCACCACAACCTCCATCTCCCGGGTTCAAGTGATTCTCCTGCCTCAGCCTCCCGAGTAACTGGGATTACAGGCATGCACCACCATACCTGGCTAATTTTGTATTTTTAGTAGAAACGGGGTTTCTCCATGTTGGTCAGGCTGGTCTCGAACTCCTAACCTCAGGTGATCTGCCCACCTCAGCCTCCCAAAGTGCTGGGATTACAGGCGTGAGCCATTGCGCCTGGCCTAATTTGGCTATGGATTTTCTTTTAACAGCTCTTAAAGGGTTGTTTTTTGTTGTTGTTTTTTTTTTTTTGAGATAGAGTTTTGCTCTTGTTGCCCAGGCTGGAATGCAATGGCTCGATCTCAGCTCACTGCAACCTCCGCCTCCCAGCTTCAAGTAATTCTCCCTCAGCCTCCTGAGTAGCTGGGATTACAGGCATGCGCCACCATGCCCGGCTAATTTTGTATTTTTAGTAGAGATGGGGTTTCTCCATGTTGGTCAGGCTAGTCTCGAACTCCCAACCTCAGGTGATCCACCCACCTCGGCCTCCCAAAGTGCTGGGATTACAGGCATGAGTCACTGCACCCATCCTGTTTTTATTTTATTTTATTTTATTTTATTAAGTTCTGGGGTACATGTGCAGGATGTGCAGGTTTGTTGCATAGGTAAACATGTGCCATGGTGGTTTGCTGCACCTATCAGCCCATCACCTAGGTATTAAGCCCTGCATGCATTAACTATTTATCCTGATGCTCTCCCTCCCTCCAACCTACCCCACAGGCCCCAGTGTGTGTTGTTCCCCTCCCTGTGTCCTAAAGGGTTATTTTTGAGGAATTATTCTAATGTCAGAAATGCTCACATGAGGGTGGAGGGTACAGGGAGGTGATAATGAAAGGATACAATACCTCAGGAGGAAGTTTGATATTTTTGTTTGAGATCTATTGTACATGGCAAATATAACTAATAATTGAGTACTGTACATTTCAAAATTGCTGAGAGAATAAATTTCAAATGTTTTCATTATTAAAAATATTAAACATTTGAAAAAAAAATGTTCACAATATTCCATTGTGGTAGGTTGCTTCTAAATGGCTCCCAGTGATCCATACCTCCTGGTACTCATGCCTTGTATAATTTCCTCTCCTTGAGTGTAGTTGGACCTAGCGACTTGCTTCTAATGGATAGAATCAAGCAAAAGTCATAGGATGTCACTTCCTGGATTTGGTTACAAAGACTGTAACTTTCTCTCTTTGTCTCTCTCTCTCTCTCTCTCTTTTAGTGCCCTTGGTGTGGTGGAAGCAAGGTGCCATGTGATAAGTAAGCCTCCAGAGAGGCCTGCATGGCAGGATCCAATGTCTTTAGCCAACAGCATCTGGGAACCTGAGACCTGCCAACACCCTTGTGAGTGAGCCTGGAAGTGGACCTCCTGCTCTTGAACCTTGAGGTGACTATAGTGCTGGCTGACACCTTGACTGCAGTCCCTGAGCTGGGGGGCCCAGCTGATCTACTCCCAGAATCCCCCCTACTAAAACAGTGATATAATAAATGCTTATTGTTTCAAGCTGGTAACTTTTGGAATGCATTCACTGAAAAAAATTAGAATATCAAACTATAAACCGTTTACTTAGTCAACTTTTTGGGGAACTAATATGGCCATAAATATCAAACCTCCTACAATTTTGCACATTCTTTGACTTTGTAGTTCTACATCTATAAACTTCTCTTAAGGGAAATCATGGATGCCAACAAAGAAATAGTTACAAAAATGTTCAGCAGAGGAGCACTATTTATAATGGCAAATTGGTGGTGATCCATATATCCAAAGATGGGATTGAGTGACTAAATCATGGAATCACCTCTAATAGAACAGGATGGGATTCATTAGTGAGTTTTAAAAACAGTAAAGGGATTTGCCACTGGCATTTGAAAAGACAAAATAAAATGAAATAGAATGAAAAATATCAGAGTAAGGACAAGTTTTGCTTCATAAGAAATTTAGCTTTGTATATGTACATGTGTACATTGTGATATTAAATTCCTTACTCTGAGTCATGGTCCAAATTTTGAATAACTGCAGTGTTAATAAAAGATGTATATAAAACTACTTAGGCCAGGCACAGTGACTCATGCCTGTAATCCCAGCACTTTGGGAGGCCAAGGCGGGCGGATCACCTGAGGTCAGGAATTCAAGACCAGCCTGGCCAACGTGGTGAAACCCTGTCTCTACAAAAATACAAAAATAGGCTGGGTGTGGTGGCTCATGCCTGTAATCCCAGCACTTTGGGAGGCCGAGGTGGGCAGATCACCTGAGGTCAGGAGTTTGTAGACCAGCCTGGCCAACATGGTGAAACCCCATCTCTACTAAAAATACAAAAATTAGCTGGGCGTGGTGTCAGGCGCCTCTAATCCCAGCTACTCGGGAGGCTGAGGCAGGAGAATCGCTTGAACCCGGGAGGTGGAGGTTGCAGGGAGCCAAGATCGCGCCATTGCACTCCAGCCTGAGGGACAAGAGCGAGACTTTGTCTCAAAAAAAAAAAAAAAAAAAAAATTAGCTGGGCATGATGGCATGTGCCTGTAATCGCAGCTATCAGGAGGCAGGGGAATCACTTGAATCTGGGAGGCAGAGGTTGCAGTGAGCTGAGATCACACCACTGCACTCCAGCCTGGGCAACAGAGTGAGACTGTCTCAAAAAATAAATAAATACAACTACTTAATGACATAAAATGTAACCAAAATATATTAAGTTATAAAATGTATTCATAATGTTACAAAATGATCGAATTTTGTGAAAACCCAAACTATGTGAAAAAAATGGAAAGTAAATACACCAGATAATTTATACTTTTCTTTGTTCATTTGTATTTTAGAGTTTTCCGCAATGAGCATATCTTCTTAAAAATTCATTTCTTGAATAATCATACTAATTTAAAAGTTTTCCAAATAACTGTATATAGTATTTAACTATGTTAAATATATATGCATAGAGGGCCGGGTGCGGTGGCTCACGCCTATAATCCCAGCAGTTTGGGAGGCCGAGGCGGGCAGATCACCTAAGGTCAGGAGTTTGAGACCACCCTGCCAACATGGTAAAACCCCGTCTCTACTAAAAATACAAAAATTAGCTGGGCGTGGTGGCAGTTGTCTGTAATCCCAGCTACTTGGGAGGCTGAGGCAGGAGAATAGCTTGAACTGGGGAGGCAGAGGTTGAAGTGAGCTGAGATCACACCACTGCACTCCAGCCTGGGTGACAGAGCAAGACTCCATCTCAAAAAAGTATATATATATATATATATGTATATATAATATATATCATATATATTATATATATCTATATATTATATATATGATATATATTATATACATCATATATATTATATATATCATATATTATACATATCATATATATTATATATCATATATTATATATATATCATATATATATCATATATATGATATATATAAAGACTAGAAAAAATTAGACAAGATATATCATATATATAATATATATATAAAGACTAGAAAAAATTAGACAAGAAAGAAACTTGTCAGAATGTTAGTGGTGGTGGTTTTTGTCTGGTGGGATTATGGGAAATTTTGAATGTTTAAAAAAAATTTTTTTTTGAGACAGAGTCTTGCTCTGTCGCCCAGGCTGGAGTACAGTGGCACAATCTAGGCTCACTGCAACCTCCGCCTCCCGGGCTCAAGACATTCTTCTGCCTCAGCCTCCCGAGTAGCTGGGATTACCGGCACGTGCCACCATGCCCAGCTAATTTTTTGTATTTTTAGTAGAGATGAGGTTTCACCATGTTGCCCAGGCTGGTCTCGAACTCCCGACCTCGGCCTCTCGATGTGCTGGGATTACAAGCATGAGCCACCGTGCCTGTCCATGTTTTAGAAAATTTAGAAAAGTTTCTAAATAAACATGTTTTTCTTCTATAATAAAGTTTTTCTTTCTTTTTTTTTTTTTTTGAGAGAGCTTCTTGCTCTGTCCCCCAGGCTAGAGTGCAGTGGCGCAGTCGGCTTACTGCAAGCTCCGCCTCCTGGGTTCATGCCATTCTCCTGCCTCAGCCTCCCGAGTAGCTGGGACTACAGGCGCCTGCCAACACGCCCGGCTAATTTTTTGTATTTTTAGTAGAGATGGGGTTTCACCGTGTTAGCCACGATGGTCTCGATCTCCTGACCTCATGATCTGCCCGCCTTGGCCTCCCAAAGTGCTGGGATTACAGGAGTGAGCCACTGCGCCCGGCTATAATAAAGTTTTTATAAAAGAAAAGACATTTAAAAAGAGCAGCCTGGTTCTGCTGGAGTCTGCCTGCTGCCCATTTCATCTCAGCACTGGACCTGGCCCAAGCCAGGAGAGCAGGCAGGCACCTTTCTCCCTGCCCAGGCCCCCACCCTCTTTTTCTGCCCTGATGTGGCTGTGTGCTCCTGGTGGCTTTTATCTCTTATCTCATCTTGGATCTTGAGCTCCCTTATCTTTGGGCAAACTTACTGATGAATGGTGGTACCAATAGGCCAGGGAGGAGATGTGGGTCAGTGCTAAGTTGGAAGGATATAATAAGGAGCCTCTTGCTATAAATAATGGACATCACTCATTAGTGTGCCATCAAGCTTCATGGTATCCATGCTGTGTGCTCATATAGAATCTTATCAACCCCCAGTTTACGAATGAAACATGTTTTTTTTTTGTTTGCTTTGTTTTTCGTTTTTTGGTGGTTTTTTTTTTTTTGAGATGGAGTTTTGCTCTTGTTGCCCAAGCTGGAGTGCAATGGCGCGA
Source organism: Homo sapiens (assembly GCF_000001405.40). Classification (NCBI taxonomy): domain Eukaryota; kingdom Metazoa; phylum Chordata; class Mammalia; order Primates; family Hominidae; genus Homo; species Homo sapiens. Next base: position 40,832,783 of record NC_000015.10, on the reverse strand, counting down.
TCTCGGCTCACCGCAACCTCCGCCTCCCAGGTTCAAGCGATTCTCCTGCCTCAGCCTCCCTAGTAGCTGGGATTACAGGCATGTGCCACCACGCCCGGCTAATTTTGTATTTTTAGTAGAGACGGGGTTTCTCCATGTTGGTGAGGCTGGTCTCGAACTCCTGACTTCAGGTGATCCGCCCGACTCAGCCTCCCAAAGTGCAGGGATTACAGGCATGAGCCACCGCGCCCGGCCTGAAACATGTTCACAGAGGCTGCATGTATGCATCTGTCTGTCCCTGTGTAGGCTTTCATAAAGTTTGCATGTTTGTGTGTCCCCAGCCCATTACCAGTCAATATCTGTTAAACGTTACCTCCTAAATAGCTGTCCAATTTGCCTGCTTCTTGCCATTGACAGCACTACCTCCCCTACTAGCTTTACTGCAATGGCCTTCCAACTGGCCTCCACCAGCCCTTCTGTGCCCTCTGATTGTCTTTCTGTGCAACAGCCACGGTGATTGTTTGGAAGTTTAAATCTGAACATGTCAACTTGCCCAAGCACCATTGCTTAAGACTCTTCAGTGCCTGCCCAATGCCCTTAAGATGGAGACAAAATTCCTCAACGTGGCTTACAGGGCCCTGCCTGGGTACCTCAACCCTTTCTCCTGCCTCACTTTTCCCTCTCTCCTCCCTCTGTTCCAGCCCCATTGACCCTCTTAGTCCCTTGTACTCACCATCTCCCTTCTGCCACAGGGCCTTTGCATGTCCTCTGCATTCTGCCAGGCCCATCCCTGCTGGCTCCTAGGCCAGTTTAACTTCTACTCATCTGTCAGAACTCAGTCCAGATGTTATCACTTTCCAGGTTACACCTCCATTAGACATTCATATAGCACCTCCTACTTTTCTTCAAATCACTAAATGAAATTGCAATTTTACATTTATTTGATGAGTTGATTATTGTTTGTTTATTTTCACACTAGACTATAAGTTCCTTCCATGAAGGCAGGGACTGTGTCTCTTTTGTTCTTCTTTGTTTGTTTTTTGTTTTGTTTGTTTTTTGTTGTTATTGTTGTTGTTGTTATTTTTTGGGGTTTTTTTGAGACAGAGTTTCGCTCTTGTTGCCCAGGCTGGAGTGCAATGGCACGATCTCAGCTCACTGCAACCTCCGTCTCCTGGGTTCAAGCAATTCTCTTGCCTCAGCCTCCCAAGTAGCTGGGATTACAGGCACCCACCACCACGCCTGGCTAACTTTTTGTATTTTTAGCAGAGATGAGGTTTCACCATGTTGACCAGGCTGGTCTGAAACTCCTGACCTCAGGTGATCCACCCACCTCAGCCTCCCAAACTGTTGGGATTACAGGTGTGAGCCACCGTGCCTGCCCTTTGTTTAGTTTTTACAGAGACAAGGTCTCACTATGTTGATCAGGCTGGTCTTGAACTCCTGACTTCAAGCAATCTTCTCGCCTCAGCCTCCCAAAGTGCTGGGATCACAGGTGTGACCCACCGTGCCCATCCTGTGGCTCTTGAATAACCACTGAGCATAATGTTTGGCCTACCAGGGGAGCTCATAAAATCTTTGTTAAATGAGTGAGTAAATAAATGAACAAAACACAGTGACTCTTCTCATCTAGTTTCTTTTCCCGAAAGGGCTCTCAAACCCTTCAGAAGATAGGAAACAGAAGAGGCAGGGAACTACCATAATAATGCCTCCTGGCCACAGACTGTTAAAGTGACAGCTGAGTCAACAAGATGCATCCTAGAGGCCCCCCTCCTCCTGCTCAGGAAGAGAGCCACACTGATGAAAGCCCAGGCATTGACCACCAGAGCCTCGCCAGGAGGGCAGGGAGAGTGGGGAGGTAAATAAAGGACAGGAATGAATGTCTACTGACAGGGACTCTGTTTCAGATGCCATGCTAAATGTTTACATGCATCATCTCATTTTATCTTCCCAACAAGCCCAATCTGCAGATGTGAAAACAGGCTATGAAACTTGGCCAAGGATTATAAAACCAATGCAGGGCAAAGCTGAGTTGAACTCAGATTGTCAGCCTTCCTCCAAAGCCTGGGCTTTTCCTGGCTGCCATCTTAGTTTCCAGCCACTCAAACACCTCCCTTATCTTCTTAAGTGAGGGCCTAAAATTTCATCATTAAACTGTCATCCATTCGCCTTTTTCCTTTTTTGAGACAGGGTCTTGCTCTGTCACCCATGCTTAAGTGCAGTGTTGCCATTGTAGCTCACTGTAGCCTTGAACTCCTGGGCTGAAGTGATTTTCCCACCTTCCAAGCAGCTAGGATGACAGGTGTGCACCACCATATCTGAGTAATCTTGCTTTTCATTTTTTACTTTTTTTTTTTTTTTTTTTTTGAGACGGGGTCTTGCTCTGTCACCCAGGCTGGAGTGCAGTGGCATGATCTCGGCTCACTGCAACCTCCGCCTCCTGGGCCCAGGCGATTCTCCTCCCTCAGCCTCCTGAATAGTTGGGGCTACAGACGTGTGCCACCACGCCCGGCTAATTTTTGTATTTTTAGTAGAGACAGGGTTTTGCCATGTTGGCCAGGCTGATCTCAAACTCCTGACCTCAAGTCATCTGTCCACCTCAGCCTCCCAAAGTGCTGGGATTACAGGCATGAGCCACCGTGCCTGGCCCATTGTTTACATTTTTTAATGGAGACAAGATCTCACTGTGTTGCCCGGACTGGTCTTGAACTACTGGCCTCAAGCAATCTTCCCGCCTGGGTCTCCCAAAGCAGCTAATTTTTTGTATTATTATTATTTTTTTTTTTGGTAGAGAGAGAATTTCACCATTTTGCCCAGGCTGGTCTTGAACTCCTGAGCTCAAGCAATCCACGCGCCTCGGCCTCCCAGAGTGCTGGGATTACAGGCGTGAGCCACCATGCCTGGCCCCATTTTAAAAAAATTACAGGCTGGGCACGGTGGCTCACTCCAGTAATCCCACCACTTTGGGAGGCCGAGGCGGGTGGATCATGAGGTCAGGCATTTGAGACCAGCCTGGGCAACATAGTGAAACCTCGTCTCTACTAAAAATACAAAAAATTATCCGGGCATGGTGGTGGGCGCCTGTAATCCCAGCTTCTTGGGAGGCTGAGGCAGGAGAATTGCTTGAACTTGGGAGGCGGATGTTGCAGTGAGCCAAGATCGCAGCATTGCCCCCCAGCCTGGGTGACAGTGCGAGACTCCATCTCAAAAAAAAAAAAAAAAAAATTACAGTGTTCTTCTGTCACTTTTTTTTTTTAAAGTTTAGAAATTTTCATTATAAAAGACTAAACAAAAATACCCTGCCTTAGAATGCAAGTATGTATGCCTGGAAGTATTAGTCCCTGACACCTGTGTATAAGTTAGGTTTGCAGGTTTCCTCTGTGTCAGCAAATACATGAATCGGGGGAGGGTCACGTGGTAATAAACATGGCTTCCTAAGCAGTTGCCTCAGGGGAGCGGGCATAGTAGACAAGTCTTGATAAATTTGCCTTTACAAGCAGGTAAACTGCCTTTATAGGCCAGGCTGATAGCAGTTTACATTCGGACACACCCAGACACTGGGGGCACTGGTCCTACGGGAGCCATCAATAACTGACCTCCAACTCTATCTACCAGCTGGGGCTCTGCCCCCAGTAGTGCTACGCTCTGAGTAAGAATCCCTGCCAGCCAGGGACCCTGCTTCTGCGGAATCTGACCACAGCTTCTCAGAGCCCAGAGTGGATCCAGCCCCAGGAAGGTGGGATACAGAGGGATCTCAGGTGAGAACGACTCAGGTCCCATTCCAGAGCTGGCCATAGAGCAGCGATTGGAGCCCTGTACCCTTCAGGACCCCAGGGCCCCTTCCTCCTCCCTGGGCATGGCAGCCTCTTGACCTTTGCTCATCTGCAGTTTATGCCACTTTGGGCCCTAGAAGCTGCAGAAAGGGAGGCTGGGGCATGGCTCTGGAGTGCCACTCACTGGCTGGCAGTGAGGAGCCAGGAGACTGGCATTCCCAGCACCAAAGTCCTATTGATCTTTGCCCTTGCCCCTCCCTGGGAGCCTTGGCCCTCCTCCTGCCTTCATTTCTTCTCTGCTGGCCTCTCCTGTTCTCTGTCTCCTCACTTCCCTCTGTGGCTCTGCTCAGAACTGGCGGTTTTTCCCAGCTCCTTGCCCAGACCAATACTTCCATGCTGTCTTCAAGCCCTGCTTCCTGCACATCTCCCAGCCCAGATGGGGAGAACCCATGTAAGAAGGTCCACTGGGCTTCTGGGAGGAGAAGGACATCATCCACAGACTCAGAGTCCAAGTCCCACCCGGACTCCTCCAAGATACCCAGGTCCCGGAGACCCAGCCGCCTGACAGTGAAGTATGACCGGGGCCAGCTCCAGCGCTGGCTGGAGATGGAGCAATGGGTGGATGCTCAAGTTCAGGAGCTCTTCCAGGTAGGTAGCACAGCGGATAGTGGGAGGAGATGGGGGCCTGGGGTCCACCCAGGGCACTGAGACCTTCACAGGAGCTGGAGGGCTGATGTGAGGTGCTTCCGTGAAGAGAAAGCTTTTGTAACTGATGAAAGAAAGAAGCATCGGTTTGAAGTCCAGAAGTCTGCCTCCCTCTAGGCTTGTCTGTGCCTCTAATGCTCTTTGTGATCTGGGGAAGGTCTTTTAACATCCCTAATCTATAATAGGGCTGTTAGTGCCTGTCATATCTCCTTTATAGGACTTTCTGAGGCTCAAATGAGACAATAGAAGGGAAAATGCTTGGTCACACTATGTTTCAAAATTTTATATCTTTATTTACTCCCATGTTCAATGCACATACATGTCCGGAGCTACATTTTCGTTTCTTTTCTTTTTCTTTGTTTCTTTCTTTCTTTCTTTCTTTTGTTTTTTGTTTGTTTGTTTGTTTTTGAGACAAAGTCTTGCCCTGTTGCACAGGCTGGAATGCAGTAGTGCAATCTCAGCTCACTGCTCTGCCTGCTGGGTTCAAGCCATCCTCCCACTTCAGCCTCCTGAGTAGCTGGGACTACAGGTGCGCACCACCACGCCTGGCAAATTTTTTTGTATTTTTTTTTGTAGAGACGGCTTTTCACCATGTTGCCCAGGCTGGTCTTGAACTCCTTGGCTCAAACAGTCTGCCTGCCTCGGCCTCTCAAAGTGCTGGGATTACAGGTGTGCACCACCATGCCCAGCCTAGAGCTACATTTTCCAATTCTGTAGCCATCAGCCATGTGTAGCTGTTTGACTTTAAATGAGTTATAATTAAATAAAATTATTCAGTTCCCCAGTCACATGGGCCACATTTCTTTTTTCTTTTGCCTTTTTTTGAGACAGTCTTACTCTGTAAACCAGCCTGGAGTGCAATGCCGTGATTTTGGCTCACTGCAACCTCCGCCTCCCAAGTTCAAGCGATTCTCCTGCCTCAGCCTCCCGAGTAGCTGGGATTACAGGCATGCGCCACTGTGCCCGACTAATTTTGTATTTTTAGTAGAGACGGGGTTTCTCCATGTTGGTCAGGCTGGTCTCGAACTCTCGACCTCAGGTGATCTGCCCACCTCAGCCTCCCAAAGTGCTGGGATTACAGGCGTGAGCCACCGCACCCAGCCAACATGGGCCACATCTCAAGTGTTAAATAGCCCCATGTGGCTAGTGACTACTATGTTGTCAGCACAAATATAGAATATTTTCGTTATTTCAGAATGGACAGTGCGGGACTAGAATGTTAAGAGTAACCAAAGTTGAGTGCCAATACCAGGACCTAAGCAATCTTTGACCCTGGCTCTGACTAACACTCTTCAACCCCACTCTGGGAAAAGGACAGGTCTTGGTCCCTGGTTACTGGAAACGGCACTTTCTTACTTATATACCTTTAAACCTGGATTCTAGAGAGGTAAGAACTGCTGTTCCAGCAATAAGAATAACATTCTGAACACAACTACGTGCTAGGCTCAATGCCAGGCACTGACATGCATTCTTTCATTTAATCCTTCCCACAACTCCATTAAGCAAGTACTGTTTTTCTTTTTTTATAGAGATGAGATCTTGCTATGTTGCCTAGGTTGGTCTTGAACTCCTGGGCTCGAACGATCCTCCAATCTTGGCTTCTCAAAATGCTGGGATTACAGGTGTGAGCCACCATGCCTGGCCAGCAGGTACTGCTTTACAGCTGAGGGAATGGAGGTTTACAGATGTTGAGTAACTTGCCCAAGGTCACACAACTAGGAAACCTTGGGACCAGGTGTGGAGCCTGGCCACTTATTTGAGCAGCCAATGGTTCTCCACACTTGAAATACTTAAGAAAAAAAACAGATGCCCTGGCTCCTCCTCAACTGAATTTAAATCTACTACAGTGGAGTCCAGATACTGGGCATTTTTTAAAAGCCCCACAGTTGGTTCTAATGTGTGGCTGGGCTGAGAACCATACGCCAAGCTAGTCAGGAGTTCAAAATATGTTGTCCTTGTTTCTCTTTCTTGTTGACTCAGATCCTATCTTTTTGGAGCAGCAGGGCCCTATAATTCCTGTGGGTAAGGGTTATCAGCAGTCCTAGGGTTGCAGGTGGTGAAGAATGATTGTTGTGACCCAGTCTATCTCGAAACTAACTGGGTCATGTGTCAGTTTGGTCAAGGTATTGACCAAAGATGCAGCATCCCAAGCATCTACCTCCCAAGCCCACTCACTGAGGGTAGGGAGACCCCTTGGAGCTGGGAGGCAAACTATCTTGGCCTGTATCTGCTCTGACCTCGCAGGACATATCCACTGCTCTTCCCTAATTCCAGCACTCTCCACTGGATCAGTTTCAATTTCAGATTGTTTATTGTGCACTTGCATACAGTCTCAAATTTCTGACATTCCGGGGCAAATCCTTCCAGACATCAAAGAAAGAACCTTGTTTTGCAAGATGAAAGTGGAGGGCTGGAGGCTGTACAGTAATAAGCCTGTAACACAGAAAGCAAGACATGTGGAAGGAGCGTTCCCAGGCAATGACTGGAATAAAATGCCTGGCCTGTGATTGCCATGGTAATTGTCCAAAGGTGCCAGGTGGCAGTTTCTCTCCCAATCCCTGCTCTTTTCAGCAGGAAGCAGTTAAGTGGCTGGGGAAGCCCCAGGTTGTTGGTCATCTTGGGCAGAGGTCAAGACAGCACAGTCTCCAGCCTTACTCTGCTCCATTCCAGTTTACGGAGAGCCCCTGCCCACCCACCAGGGCTCTACCCCAGATACCCACCTTAGACAGCAGCAGTGGGAAAGCATCTAAGGATACAACACTCTACTTGTTTAATATCTTGGGACCAACCTTCGTTTGTTGGAGGGACCTACCTCTTCTCCCTGGATGTGCAGCCTGGTGTGGGGTCTTCAGAGGAACCAAGTCTGGGGACGCAGACTTGGGGTCCTAGAGCTCCTGTTGTCCGGAGGTAGAGCATGATTTGCCTTCTAAGCAGGGACTTAAACACACATGAGTTTCTTCTATTTTATGGAGACCCTTGCCCAACATGCACCCCTTTTGTTACCATCCCCTCTATTTCTTTCTTTCTTTCTTTTTTTTTTTTTTGAGACAGAGTTTCACTCTTGTTGCCCAGGCTGGAGTACAATGGCATGACCTTGGCTCACTGCAACCTCCGCCTCCCAGGTTCAAGTGATTCTCCTGCCTCAGCTTTTCAAGTAGCTGGGATTACAGGCGCCGACCACCACACCTGGCTAATTTTTTGTATTTTTAGTAGAGATGAGGTTTCACCATGTTGGCCAGTCTGGTCTCAAACTACTGACTTCAGGTGACCCACCCGCCTCAGCCTCCCAAAGTGCTGGGATTACAGGAATGAGCCACCGCGCCTGGCCTGGTATCCCCCATTTCTTGTCACTTTAGAGCCAAACTCCTTAAAGGACTTGTCCACACTCACAGCCTTATTTACTTTTTCCCTGCCTGTCATCACTCAATCCACTGGAATCCGGCTTCTGTTTCCACCACTCTTTTGAGAGCTCTGGCCAAGGTCACCAGTCACTGCCTTGGGGGTAAATCTAATCTTCACATTAGCAAGGGACACTGTTGACCATCCCAGAGTTTTGAAACATTCCTTTCCTGTAGCTTCCTTTTTGATATAGTGACATTTTAATTCTATTAATTAGAATTTAATAATTCTATTAAACTTTTGACTTAAAAAAAGTATTGTCAGCTGGGCACAGTGGCTCATGTCTATGATCCCAGCACTTTGGGAGGCTGAGAGGGGCAAATTGCCTGAGTCCAAGAGTTCGAGATTAGCATAGGTAATATGGTGAAACCCTGTCCAAAAAAATACAAAAAATTAGCAGGGTGTGGTGGTGCGTGCCTGTGGTTCCAACCACTTGGGAGGCTGAGGAGGGAGGATTGCTTGAGCCTGGGAGGTCAAGGCTGCAGTAAGCCATGATCGTGCCACTGCACTCCAGCCTGGGTGACAAAGCAAGACCCTATCTCAAAAAAAAAAAAACAGTATTGTCAATGAATGTGTGAAACAAACATTTGTGTTTAACTTGATTGCCTCTATAAAAAAAGGAAAAAAAATTGTTGGTTCATCTGAGCCTTATTTAATTGCTGGTCTCCCTAGTGGAGAGGTCAGGAGTAAGGACCCTGGGTATGGAAAGGAAGTAAGAAAGGGAGTCAAATCAGGCAGCAGCTTCCAGGAAACTACCCTACATGACATAGAGTCACAAGTCTCACACTTGTTCATCTCAGTAGGGGTTGTTTTATATACCTGCTTATGTTCTGAGAGTTCAAAAATTATTTGAGGGCAAGAGTATTTGGACTGTGATATGAGCCCATATTCTCAACACCAGGTTGCCGTAGTAGTCCTTTTTTTTTTTTTTTTTAATGGAGATGGAGTCTTGCTATGTTGTTCAGGCTTGTCTTTAACTCCTGGGCTCAAGCAATCTTCCCACCTTGGCCTCCCAAAGTGCTGGGAGGGGTAAGCCACTGCACCCCAGTGGCAGTCTTGTACTCAGTAATACACATACCTTATATTCAATATATAGTCATGCCCTGCTTAACCACAGGGATACATTCTGTGAAATGCTACATTGTTAAGCAATTTCATCATTGTGCAAACATCATAGAGTGTATGTACACAGACCTAGATGGTATAGCCTACCACACATGTAGGCTATATGGTGTAGCTATTATTCCTAGGCTACAAACCTGTACAGCAGTTTACTGTACTGAATACTGTGGGCAGCTGTAATGTAATGCTAAGTATTTATATATCTGAACATAGAAAAGGTATAGTAAAAATATGGTAGAAAAGATTTTAAATGGCACAACTATATAGGTCACTTACTATGAATGGAGCTTGCAGGACTGGAAGTTGTTCTGGGTGAGTTGGTGAGTGAATGTGAGGGCCTAGGACATTACTGTAGATTTCATAAACACTGTACACATAGGCTGCACTAAATTCTTTTTTTCCTGCTGGGTACAGTGGCTCATAACTGTAATCCCAGCACTTGAGAGGCCGAGGCAGGAGGATTGCTTGAGCCCAGGAGCTCAGGACCAGCCTGGGCAACATAGTGGGACCCCACTCAACAAAAAAATTTTTAAAAATTAGCCAGGGGCCAGGTGCAGTGGCTCATGCTTGTAATCCCAGCACTTTGAGAGGCTGAAGTGGACGGATCACCTGAGGTCAGGAGTTAGAGACCAGCCTGGCCAACATGGTGAAATCCCGTCTCTACTAAAAATACAAAATTAGCCAGGCATGGTGGTGGCCACCTGTAATCCCAGCTGCTTGGGAGGCTAAGGCAGGAGAATCGCTTGAACCCAGGAGACAGAGGTTGCAGTAAGCCAAGATTGCACCATTGCACTCCAGCCTGGGCGACAAGAGCGAAATTGTAAAAAAAAAAAAAAAAAAAAATTAGCCGGATGTGGTGGTGTGCACCTGTAGTCCCAGCTACTTGAGAGGCTGAGGTAGGAGGATTGCTTGAGCCCGGGAGGTTGAGGCTGCAGTGAGCCATGATTGTGCAGCCTGGGTGACAGAATGAGACCCTACTCAAAAACAAAAACAAAAACTCCACAAAACAACAACAACAACAAAATGTCATTTTAAGTTTTAAAAAACTGGTCTTGAGGCCAGGCATGGTGGCTCACGCCTGTAATCCCAGCACTTTGGGAGGCCAAGGCGGGTGGATCACCTGAGGTTGGGAGTTTGAGACCAGCCTCACCAACATGGCAAAACCCCGTCTCTCCTAAAAAAATGCAAAAATTAGCAGGACGTGGTAGGCACCCGTAATCCCAGCATCTCGGGAGGCTGAGGCAGGAGAATCACTTGAACCCGGGAGGCAGAGTTTGCAGTGAGCTGAGATCATGCCATTGCACTCCAGCCTGGGCAACAAGAGCGAAACTCCATCTCAAAAAAAAAAAAGAATCTGGTCTTGAACTCCTGACCTCAAGCGATCCTCCTGCCTTGGCCTTTCAAAGTGTTGGGATTATAGGCATGAACCACCATAACCAGCTGCTACACTAAATTTATAAAAATATTTTTTTCTTTCTTTTTTTTTTTTAGAGGCAAGGTCTCACTATGTTTCCCAGGCTGGACTTGAACTTTTGGGCTCAAGCAATCTGCCTGCCTTGACCTCCCAAAGTACTGGGATTATAGGAATGAGCCACTGTGCCCAGCCTATAACATTTTTTTTCTTTCTTCAGTAATAAGCTAACTTCAGATTACTGTAACTTTTTTACATTATAAACTTAAAATGTTTTTTAAAAAATAGAGATGGGGTCTGCCATGTTGCCCAGGCTGGTCTCGAACTCCTGAACTTAAGCAATCCTCCCACCTCAGCCTCCCAAAGTGCTGGGATTACAGGCATAAGCCACTGCACCTGACCAAGACTGATACTTTTTTAAAGGCAAAGTTCTAATCATTAGAGTGTGTTTTGTTTGTTTGTTTGTTTTTGAGACACAGTCTCACTTTATCGCCCACGCTGGAGTACAGTGGTACGATCTCGCCTCACCGCAGCCTCCGCCTCCCAGGTTTGACTGATTCTCCTGCCTCAGCCTCCCCAGTAGCTGGGGTTACAGGCATGCACCACCACACCCGGCTAATTTTTGTATTTTTAGTAGAGATGGGGTTTCGCCATGGTGGCCAGTCTGGTCTCAAACCCCTGACCTCAGGTGATCCGCCTGCCTCAGCCTCCCAGAGTGCTGGGATTACAGGCATGAGCCACCACGCCTGGCCTAGAGTTTATCTTTATTATAATGCCCACTCACACCCTCTGAGATTCCAGTTACAGATGTTAGACCACTTGATATCCATAGGTCATCGAAGTTCTTTTCTATTCTGTCCTCCCCCACTACCCTGCCCACCCAGGTTTTTTTTTAATCTGTGCTTCATTTTGGCTCATTTCATTTGCTATATCTTCAACTGACCTTTTTTTTTTCCCCACAGTGTTAAACATGCTGTTAATTCTATCTAGTAAGGTTTACATTTAAAATATGCAATTTTTCTTCTCTAGGTGCTCCATTTGGTTTTGTTTGTTTGTTTGTTTTGAGACAGACTCTCACTCTGTCACCCAGGCAGGAGTGCAAATGGTATGATCTCAGCTCACTGCAACCTCTGCCTCCTTGGTTCAAGCAATTCTCCTGCCTTAGCCTCCTGAGTAGCTGGGATTACAGGCATGCGCACCATGTCTGGCTAATTTTTGTATTTTTAGTAGAGATGGGGTTTCACCATGTTAGCCAGGCTGATCTCGAACCCCTGACCTGAGGTGATCCCCACCTCGGCCTCCGAAGTGCTAGGATTACAGGCGTGAGCCACGGCACCCGGCCTGGTTCTTTTTTTTTCTTCTTATTTTTTTTTTAATGGAGAAGAGTTCTTGCTATGTTGCTCAGGCTGGTCTCAAACTCCTGGCCTCAAGCACTCTCCTGTCTTAACCCCCACCAAAGTGCCGAGATTAAGGCATGAGCCACTGTGCCTGGCTGGTTCTTTTATTTCTTTCTTTATTTATATTTTTATTTTATTTTGAGACAGAGTCTTGCTCTGTCACCCTGGCTGGAGGGCAGTGGCATGATCTTGGCTCACTGCAACCTCCACCTCCCGGGTTCAAGCCATTCTGCTGCCTCAGCCTCCCGAGTAACTGGGATTACAGGTGTACGTCAGAACACCTCGCTAAATTTTTGTATTTTTAGTAGAGACGGGGTTCACCATTTTGGCCAGGCTGGTCTCAAACTCTCAAACTCCTGACCTCAAGTGAGCCGCCCATCTCAGCCTCCCAAAGTGCTGGGATTATAGGCGTGAGCCACTGTACCTGGCCTGATTCTTTCTTTTATCTTCTGTATCTCTCATTACTGTGTTTATGTTTTCCTTGTCTGCTAATTCTATCATTTATGTCTTTTCTGGCTCTGCTTTTTAAGTTTTTTAATCTAGGCCAGGCTCGGTGGCTCACGCCTGTAATCCCAACACTTTGGGAGGCTGAGGTGGGTGGATCACCTGAGGTCAGGAGGTAGAGACCAGCCTGGTCAACATGGTAAAACCCCATCTCTACTAAAAATACAAAAACTAGCCAGGCATGGTGGCAAGCACCTATAATCTCAGCTACTTGGGAGGCTGAGGCAGGAGAATTGCTTCACCCTGGGAGGCAGAGGTTGCAGTAAGCCGAGATCGCACCACTGCACTCCAGCCTGGGTGACAGAGCGAGACCCTGTCAGCAAAAAAAAAGGGCTGGGCACAGTGGCTCATGCCTGTAATCCCAGCACTTTGGGAGGCCGAGGCGGGCAGATCACCTGAGGTCAGGAGTTCGAGACCAGCCTGACCAACATGGAGAAACCCCATCTCTACTAAAAATACAAAATTAGCCAGGCGTGGTGGCGCATGCCTATAATCCCAGCTACTCGGGAGGCTGAGGCAGGAGAATCGCTTGAACCCGGGAGGCAGAGGTTGCGGTGAGCCGAGATCATGCCATTGCACTCCAGCCTGGGCAACAAGAGCAAACCTCCATCTCAAAAAAAAAAAAAAAATAGCAATATACACTGGAAAATACCATTAGACTCAACTATATAAACACATACATGTATTTCCCCAACAGCACCCCTCCAGCACAATAGCTATTTCCATCATATGTGGAATCTAGGGTTAATCTGAATTCAATAAGTTAAAAAGAAAGAGTTCTTAAATCAGTAAGAAAAAAACTGAAAATCTCAACAGAAAAATGGATAACATATCAGTTCTTGAAGTGTGGTCTAGTGACCCATGGAGGTTCCTAAGAACTCTTTCGGAGATTCCCAAGAACTCTTTCGGAGGTTCTGTGATTATTTTCATAATAACGGTAATTTTTTTTTTTTTTTTTGAGAAAGAGAGTCTTGCTTTGTCGCCCAGGCTGGAGTGCAGTGGCGTGATATTGGCTCACTTCCCGAGTTCAAGCCATTCTCCTGCCTCAGCCTCCCAAATAGCTGGGATTACAGGCACACGGCACCATACCTGGCTAATTTTTGTATTTTTAGTAGAGATGGAGGTTTCACCAAGTTGGCCAGGCTGGTCTCGAACTCCTGACCTCAAGTGATCCATCTGCCTCAGCCTCGCGCCTGGCCAATGCTAAGATTTTGTTTGCCTTTTTCAGTACGTTGACATTTGTGCTGATAATGCAAAAGCAACAGTGGCCCTTCACATGAATCAAGAAAGTGGCACTAAACTGTACTAGTAGTCGTGTTCTTCACTACTACATCGTTTTCACTTAAGAAAGTCCTCTTCATCTGTAAAATGGGTAAATGAAAAGATAACAGAAAGAATGTCCTTGTTGAAGCAGTAAAATATTAATTTTATTAATTATATTTGAGCTCACGTCCTTTTTTAATAGACCTATTTTTTAGAGCAGTTTTAGGTTCACAGACAAATTGAGCATAAGGTAAAAGATATTTCCCATATCTCCCTGCCGCCACATATGTATAGCTTCCCCCACTATCCCCCACCCAGCAGCAAGGTTATATATTATTTGTTACAATCAATGAATTTACACTGACAACATTATCAACCAAAGTCCATGGTTTAAATTGGGCTTCACTGTTGGTGTTGTACATTCTATGGTTTTGGACAAATGTGCATGACATGTATCCACCGTTATAGTGTCATACAGAAGAGTTTCACTGTCCTGAGAATCCCCTGTGGTCTACTTGTCCCTCCTCCCTCTTACCCCTGTGGCAATCACTGATCTTTTTACTATCGCCATACTTTTTCCAGCAGGTCTTACTGTTGGGATCATAGAGTATTTAAGTTGGCTTCTTCTTTTTTTTGAGACAGGGTCTCTACTTTTCTGCCCAGGCTAGACTCCTTGGGACTATACAGGTGCATGCTACTGTGACTGGCTTCAAACTGGCTTATTTAACTGTCATATGCATTTTAGGTTCCTCGATGACTCTTCCTGGCTTGATAGCTCATTCATTTTTGCACTGAATAATATTCCATTCTCTGGACATACCAGTTTGTTTATCCATTCACCTACTGAAGACTATCTTAGTTGCTTCCATGTTTTGGCAATTATGAATAAAGCTGCTATAGATCATCCGTGTGCATGTGTGGTTTTTTTTTTTTTTTTTTTTTTTTGAGATGGAGTCTCGCTCTGTCGCCCAGGCTGGAGTGCAGTGGCGCCATCTTGGCTCACTGCAAGCTCTGCCTCCCGGGTTCACACCATTCTCCTGCCTCAGCCTCCCGAGTAGCTGGGACACAGGCACCCACCACCACGCCCAGCTAATTTTTTGTATTTTTAGTAGAGACGGGGTTTCACTGTGTTAGCCAGGATGGTCTCAATCTCCTGACCTCGTGATCAGCCCGCCTCAGCCTCCCAAAGTGCTGGGATTACAGGCGTGTGCCACCGCACCCAGCCATCTGTGTGCAGGTTTTTGTGTGAATGTGTTTTCATCTCATTTGGGTAAATACCAAGGGAGTGCAATTAATGGACTGCATGGTAAGAGTGTGTTTAGGGCTGGGCATGGTGCTTACGCCTGTAATCCCAGTGCTTTGGGAGGCAGAGGTGGGAGGATCACTTGAGACCAGGAGTTTGAGACCAGCCTGGACAACATATTGAGACTTGTCTCTACAAAAAATAAAAAATTAGCTGGGTGTGGTGGTGTGCACCTGTGGTCCCAGCTACTTGGGAGGCTGAGGTGGGAGGATCCCTTGAGCCTGGGAGGTCAAGACTGCAGTGAGCCTTGATCATGCCACTGCACTCCAGCCTGGGTGACAGAGCAATACTTTTGTCTCAAAAAAAAAAAAAAAAAAAGTTTAGTTTTGTAAGAAACCACCAAACTATCTTCCAAAGTAGCCATACCATTTTGCATTCCCACTAGCAATGAATGACATGAATGAATGAATGTTTTAATTTGCAATTCCCTAATGACATATGATGTTGAGCATCTTTTTATACACTCACTTTTCATCTATATATCTTATTTAGTGGGGTGTCTGTTCATATCTGTTGTCCATTTTTCAATTGTGTTGTTCATCTTCTTCTTGTAATTTAATTTTTTTTTTTTTTTTTTTGACAGAGTCTTGCTCTGTCACCCAGGCTGGAGTGCAGTGGTGTGATCCATTCTCTGCAACTTCTGCCTCCCGGGTTCAATCGATTCTCCTGCCTCAGCTCCTGGAGTAGCTGGGATTACGGGTATGCGCAACCACACCCAGCTAATTTTTGTATATTCAGTAGAGACGGGGTTTTACCACGTTGGCCAGGCTGGTCTAGAACTCCTGACCTCAAATGATACACCCGCCTTGGCCTCCCAAAGTGCTGAGATTACAGGCATGAGCCACCGTGGCCAGCTTTTGTTTTAAGACAGAGACTCGCCCAGACGGGCTGGAGTGCAGTGGCACGATCTCCGCTCACTGCAACCTCCACCTTCTGGTTGAAGCCATTCTCCTGCCTCAGCCTCCTGAATAGCTGGGATTACAGGCATGTGCCACCAGGCCCAGCTACTTTTTGCATTTTTAGTAGAGACAGGATTTCACCATGTTGGCCAGGCTGGTCTCGAACTCGTGACCTCAAATAATCCACCCACCTCAGCCTCCCAAAGTGCTGGGATTACAGGAGTGAGCCACTGTGCCTGGTCAATAATTCTTTGTATTTTTTGGGTAACAGTCCCTTAACAGATGTCTTTTTTTATTATTTTTATTTTTTTTGCGACGAAGTCTCCCTCTGTCACCCAGGATGGAGTACAGTGGCACAATCTCGGCTCACTGCAACCTCTGCCTCCCAGGTTCTGGGTTCAAGTGATTCTCCTGCCTCAGCCTCCCAAGTAGCTGGGATTACAGGCGTCCACCACCATGCCCGGCTTATTTTTGTATTTTTAGTAGAGACAGGATTTCACCATGTTGGCCAGGCTGGTCTTAAACTCCTGACCTCAGGTGATCTGCCTGCCTCGGCCTCCCGAAGTGCTGGGATTACAGGCATGAGCCACTGCACCCAGCCAAAATATAGTATATGTTTAGTAAATTACTGTTGAATGGAAAACTGAATGGGTGTTCTGAGTGAGGAGAAAGTCTAACCATGGGAAATTGGAGAGAGGTGGGTTGAGTCCCTGACAGTAACCTTCATTCCAGCACCAGCTGGTCAGGCCCCTCTGAGACCCATGTGATTTCCAAATAGGATCAAGCAACCCCTTCTGAGCCTGAGATTGACCTGGAAGCTCTCATGGATCTATCCACAGAGGAGCAGAAGACTCAGCTGGAGGTAGGATGGGGGCTAGAAGCTGGCCTTGGGTCAGTGGGAACCCAGAAACCCAGGTTCTGCCTCCTTTGGTGGAGTGCAGAGAACCAATCCAGAGGGGAGAATTCTTGGGAGATTGGTGGGGACTTGCGGGAAAGTGCTGTGACTTGGGGCCCTGTCTGTGTTCTCTCCTATCTAGGCCATTCTTGGGAACTGCCCCCGCCCCACAGAGGTAAGGGATGTTCTTCTGCTGGTCTGGGGTAAGAGGAGGCCCAATGGGGGAGGTAGCTAATGAGGAGTATTTGAAGGGAAGGCTTGGCTGTGGGTCCTTCTCCCTTCTCTGGGGAGTCAGGGGCAGGGGAAGATTAGGGAGGGCAGGGTGGGGGGTGAATTGTGACCCCAAGCCTGGTCTCACTCCTGTTTCTCCCTCAGGCTTTTATCTCTGAGCTGCTCAGTCAACTCAAGAAACTCCGGAGACTCAGCCGGCCTCAGAAATAAGCCTGAGAGACCATCTTTAGCAGCCTCAGCACTGCCAGGCCTGCCCTGAAACTCCAGATCCTGGCTAAGAGGGAAATAGCTCCTTGGGACACAAACAAGAAATGTGGACAAGGAGGGACATTTGCATACTCCTACTGTCTGTGTGGTCACAGCTAGTTTCTGTCAGCTGGGCTCTCTGGGAGAAAGCTGGCTGTTGTCCAATGCCTTCCTTGGCAGCCAAGTGGATAAAACCTTTAGGAGCCCCAGCTCAATGGAGTGTGGAACATATCTGTGCTGAGGGACAGGGGAGGAGAGAATGAAGTGATACACAGGAAGGCCACAACCTAAGTCACTTGGCTGTGCCCACACACCTCATCCATCCATCCATCCAAAGGACTCAAGAATTCAAAGACGAAAGTCACAGCTCCACTTCAGAGAGATCACAATCTAGCAAGGCCTCGGGGCCAAGCAGACATTATCTGCCTAAGGTACACAGCCTACTGGCATAACCAACAAGAGGGACGCCAATGGCAAAGACTAGTTTCAAATCCCAGAGAGGAAGTAACAGGAAAAACCTAGCTGGATCTGAGAGCCTCAGAAAAGGCTCTTCCAACCAAAAGTGATGCAGGAGGTAGACCTCAGCCCGAGGGCTCTTTATAGTTGGTTCCAGCCAGGGGCAGGAAGAGAAACAGCAGAGGCAATGCAGAGGCATGTAAAGGGTACATGCCGAGAGGTCAGGGGTCCGGTTAGGGCGCATTACTGGAAGAGAGATACTGAGACTGAATGGCAGGCAGGTTGGGACAGGAGCCCTAGGAGCTGGGGTCCTTTGCCAGTAAGGCAGGAAGCAGGGTGTGTGTGCATTGTTCCTGCGTGCATTGTGTGAGTAGTAGAGAGGCTGAGAAATCCAAGATGGTGGGGACTGGTGGCTAAGTGGGGCTGCCCAGAGCTGGAGCACAGTTGAGTTGAATGAATACATGTTTACTTCGTATGAGGCCACCAGGATGGGTAGGGCTGTTCCTGCCTGGAGAAGTTCATAGGATGGCTCAACCTTTTCCCCCATTCCCCACAACTGTGCTTACAGCCTGCTCTGTTCCTGCCACCTCTCACAGGGCCCAGGCTCATAGGGTTGTAGAAATGAGATGCTGGGCCCAATGAATCAACATACTTTATTAGACCCACTAAGTGCCAGGGGAGGGGCCTGTGCCCTAGAGCCAGGTTACAGGGCTCACCCGTAGATTCAGTCTGGTCTCTCCCCATCATGCCTCTCACTTCCAGTCTGGGCTTCTAATAGGAGGGCCCCGACTTCTTCCCTCCCAGTCATTCTCTCGAATGGAGAATCTTTCCTCATTCCAGGGACACCAAGGCTCAGGAAGGGGCCTATCCATCATCAGTAGAGCCAGACAAGCTCTCCCATCGGACGTCCTGTGGCTGGGCCCAGAAATGGGTGCCGCTGCCTGTGGGACTGCCCTTCCGGGAGGACCAGGGTGTCTTCAGTGCTCTTGGCCTGCACGTGGAGGAGAGTAGGCAGATGTCTGGTGCTCTTTAAGCTCAAAGGCATCATGGCCCTCTCTGTGGAACAAAGGGATACAAGTCAGGGATCCAGGCAGCCCTTGAGCTCTCGCACAGAACATTCCACCTGCACCCACCGGAAGCAGCGGGCACAGAAGAGGTCCCCATCGCAGCCAGCGCAGCGTAGGGTGGCATCCTCATTGCAGATGCAGCACCAGGGGAGCTCCTCTTCCTCAGCCTCAGGCCTGGGGTCCACATCCTGGGCCTTCAGGGATCAGAGAGGAATGGAGGAAGTAAGGTACCCAGTGGGGTATGTGAGCTGCTGCAGGAGCAGTCAGCCAGGCAGGAAGCAAGGCTGGGGGGAGCCTGGGGGTCTGCATCTGGGGCTTTTCTCACCTCAGGCTCTGCCCCGCGGGGTTGCGTCCAGGGTCGAGAAGCCTGCTCTGCAGGGATGTTAAAGCCACTTGCCTCATCCAGGGAAGCTTCTTCAGTGAGCTGCGGACAGGG
Source organism: Homo sapiens (assembly GCF_000001405.40). Classification (NCBI taxonomy): domain Eukaryota; kingdom Metazoa; phylum Chordata; class Mammalia; order Primates; family Hominidae; genus Homo; species Homo sapiens. Next base: position 40,813,700 of record NC_000015.10, on the reverse strand, counting down.
TGAAGATGTACTACTCCCCTGCTTCAGGCCCAGGCCCTCCATCTCCCAGTATTTCTGTGCACTGTGGACTTAGCTTCTCAAACTCATCTTTTTCTTTACTTGTGGCCTGTGGCTGCTGATTCCCTATCTCCAGGGACCAGTGGGCAGGTCTGGGTCTGGGTCACAGGAGGGGGCCCAAAGAGAACAGGAGCTTCACAGTTACTGTCCACCCAGCCCCAGAGTAGAGGTGGGGCAATGAGGCGGAGACGGGACAAGGGGTGGCAGGTGGGTAATCCAGGCCCACCTGCTGCAGGACTCTTTGGATGGCTGTCTCCTCATCCTCGTCGTCATCACTGTCTGGGAGGCGATAGTCCTGGAGGGTCACTTGAAGAGGGAGACATGGGAACAGGGGATGGGGGAGTGAGAGTGAGAGATTTCACATGAGTGGCTGCCCTCCTGCCTCCCAGAACTGGTTCGGTTCCCAGGGGCACTTATTCCAGAGCTGAGAAGCCTCTTCAGCCACCCTGATGACCTGTCCCTGCCTGCCCCAGCCCTGCAGGGCTGGGCCATCACTGAAGCAGGCCTGAGGGCTAGGTTGGGGGCTGGAGCGAAAGCCTCAGCCCCTGAATGGACTGAAGGTCCCCTGCCCTCATGGCTGCCCCTGACTCCTCACCCACTGCTTTGCTCTACCACCTTCCTTGTGGCTCTGGGCTGGGCTCAGTAGATCTCTGGGCGCAAATACCCCCAGCACCTGACTCAGCCCTGCCAGGGAGGCCTTGACCAAGGGATACCAGTGAGCAGCTGCTCCCCAGCCTTCACCTCTCTCGGGGTCCTGTCCCCGCAGCATGGCTAGTCGCTTGGCCAGGGCCAGAATCCGTTCCTGCCTCGTGTTCTCCTCCCGCAACTCAAGTGCTGCCTCAGCCAGCAGTCTGCTCTTCTCCTCCTCCAAGGACCAGTTGGCCTGCCTCTTGGAATTAGTGCTCCCTGGGCCACCCTGGTTGAGATCATTCTGGAGAGAGGCAGCTGGAAGGGGTAATGCCATCAGCAAGGCCGAGACATCCCAGTATCTCTCCTCAGAAGCCAATGAGCCCATTTCTCAACCTTTTCTTTTCTTTTTCTTTAATAATTTTTTCTTTCTTTCTTTCTTTCTTTCTTTCTTTCTTTTTTTTTTTTTTTGAGATGGAGTCTCGCTCTGTCACCCAGGCCGGAGTGCAGTGGTGCAATCTCAGCTCACTGCAACCTCTGCCTCCTGGATTCAAGCGATTCTCCTGCCTCAGCCTCCTGAGTAACTGGGATTACAGGCACGTGACACCATGCCCGGCTAATTTTTGTATTTTTAGTAGAGACGGGGTTTCAACATGTTGGTCAGGCTGGTCTCCAACTCCTGACCTCGTGATCCACCCGCCTCAGCCTCCCAAAGTGCTGGGATTACAGGCGTGAGCCATCATGCCCAGCTTTTCTCAACCCTTTCTAATCACAGATCATCAGCTTTTTGCTCAGCACTAGCGCCTATGGTTTCTATCACAAATAAAATTAGTATTCCTCCATTTTTCCAAATGTAAAAAACTAATAATTTTACCCATGTCTTTTCCAACCACATCCATCCCCATCTACCTGATATTTTAACATTCTGCCCTAAGGGTGGGCGTCCTATGGTTTGAGAATCACTGCCCTAAAGGATCAAGACATGATAAGGCCCAGGTTCAGCCGATCTCTTTGCCTTTCAGGGCAGGAATTAGCATCTCCTGGGATTAGCACAGAGAGGGCAATGAAGGAAGCTAAGAGCTTGTATATCACTGGGCAGGAAGAATTTTACCAGATTAGGTGTGGCTCTGACACAGTCACCTTCAGTTTAGTGTTTCAGAGCAAGAGGTTTAAAATCACAGCTTTAGGTTTAAGTCTCATCTCTGCAGCTTAATAGCTGTGTGACCTTGGTCAAGTTCCTCAAGCTCACCAGGCCTGTTTCCTCATTTATAAAAAAGAATAGTATGTACCTTATAAGATTTTTTTTTTAAACAGAGTCTTGCTATGTTGCCCAGGCAGGTCTTAAATTCCCCAGCTCAAGCTATCCTCCCTCCTGCCTCTGCCTCCTTAAGTGCTTAGGATTACAGGCGTGAGCCACACCTGGCCTCATAAGATTATTGAGGATATTCAATGAGATTGTGCCTCTAAAGCAGGACTTCTCAATCTTAGTTCTCTTGACACTTTGGACCGGGTAATTCTTCATCATGATGTGCTGTCCTGTGACATAGTAGATTTAGTAGCATCCCTGGCTTCTATCCTGTAGGTGCCAGTAATATCCTCTGGGTTGTGACAACCAAAAAGTCTCTAAATGTTGCCACAAGTAGCCTGGGGGCAAAATCATCCTTTGTTGAAAACCACTGCTCTGAAGCCTTCAAACAGCACTGTCCAACAGAATGTTCTATGATGATGGAAACATTCCATATCATGTTCTATATCTGTGCTGTCCAAGATGGTAGCCATGAAGCCCATATGGCTACTGAGCATTGAGATGTGGCTGGTTTTACTAAATAGCTTCTTCCTCCTTATCAACATCATGATTGCAGAGAATATTCACTGAGTACTCACTATGAGTCAGGTATGTTCCCAAGCACTTATTGGATTATCTCGTTTACTCCTCCTGATTTCCCTGTGAGGTAGGTTTTTCCATACATACCTTCATTTTACACATGAGGAAAGTGAGACTTAGGTCAAGTAACTTGTCCAGCATCACACAGCTAATACGTGGTAGAAATGGGAATCACTGTCTGATTCTAAAGCCCGTGCACTTAAACACTAGGCTTACACTGGCTCCCTTTGGAGTAAGCACTCAATGAATGGTAACTCTTATAACGTTGATCACTCTCCGATTTATATTCATCTCCCAGAGGGTGGACAGCAGAGCCTCTCCAGTCTGGGGAAAGAGGTAGGGCAGATTCCTAGGGAGCCAAGTGGAGGGGTTACCTGGGCCTCCTCCTTTCCAGCTTTCATCGATAGCCACCTCAGCTGCCAGCTGCGTTAGCAGATCCTGTGTCTGCTGGGCTTGGGTCCTGGTGTCCGGTGTGTGATGTGCCTGCACAGACGAGGAAACCTCAGTGGAGAGCAGGGGTAGCCCAGAAGCAGTCTAGGTCAGGGATGGATGCTAAGTAGTTCTCAAAGCCCAGGGAAAGGAGAGGGATCCAGGGCCCACATAATCAAGTAGGTCTGGCCGTCCCCAACAGGACTGAGGGGCCACTTTTTCCTGCCCTACCCTATCGTGCTGTTTGTCCCTGGTCCCCGGGTCTGGTAGCAGGCCTGAGGATCAGGAGGTAGGGGTGGGAGGCTTTGCCAACTCCTGCAAAGTACATAAAGTACAAAGGTTGGTGCAAAAGTAACTGAGGTTTTTGCAATTAAAAGTAATGACAAAAACCACAATTACTTTTGTATCACCCCAATACCTGTATCTGGGCTTCTGCTGGGTCCTCCCGCTAGCACCCCCGCTTCTCTCCTAAGCCATAACACTCACCGGCTGGGGGGTTTGAGAAGGTAGAACTCTGCCCTGCAACGCTGCAAGTCGTGCCTCCATTTCCTGGGTGGAAGGGATGGAACCCTGACGTTCATCCTTTAGGGCAGCCAGCCGTGCCTCTATCTCTGCCTGTGAGGGGACTAACTCTGCAATTGGCATGGGGGGAGCCTTGTAAGGGCCAGAGGCATCTCAGTCCCAGAAGCCCTGGACTGTGTCCTCTAGGCAACCCCATCTGCCCCTGCTCACTGGGCTTGTTCTCCTGGCGGAGTCGTGCTAGGCGCTCAGCAATCATCTGGTCTTGTCGTGTCAGTCCCTGGCTCTGGGAAGTGCTGGGCTTTTGCTTGGCTTCCAAGGCTGCCACACGCCTGGCAGGATATGAGATAGAGGCTCTTGAAGAAGGCAGAGGGGAAGAGTGAAGGCACCCACTCACTGTTTCCCATTCAAATCAAATCATTTCTGGGCACTTAGGGAGGCCTCCAATGGGCAATCTGCTGTGCCCCTCACTCATGTCACCCTGCAGCCCAACCTGGCTGACCAGCCAGACGGTCCAGCTGAAAGGACAAGCTCTACCAAGTGCCTGTCCTGGAGAGAGGGCTGAAGAGCTGCTTTACCAGCCCAAGAGGGCAGTCAGGAGCCAGAGAGGAGAGAATTCTCCTGATTCTGTGCTCATTTTATCTAGAAGATGGGGGCAGGGTCTTTCCCTATGGCTCCCTTATCCTTTCCCCAATGCTCTTTGTCTTTTTCTCTTCAGCACTTACTTCTTATAGTTCTGAGGTGGTGACCACTTGGAGGCATTGGCAGAAGACCCTCTACAGAGAAGAAATCTAGTGTTATAAATCCTGCCATCCCACCAGGCAGTGCCCCCCACTCCAAACACTTCCTCGGCTGACTCTCGCGACAGAGTACAAAGCTGTGAGGGCTGGCCAGATGCCCACTGCCATACTTGGCTGAACTTTCACCCATGCCTGCCTCTTACCTGGTCAGGACCTCATGGCATTGCTTGCAGACTTTCTGTTGGGTGTTCCCAGTCCGAGGCACTGCTGCACTGAAGCTTAGGCAGCCTGAACAGAAGGCCCTGCCACAATTCTTACAGCCGTACTACAAGAAACATGAAGCGGGAGATCCCCCTCTCACCCGCCCCTGCAGGCTGCTCCCAGGGACTCTCCAAGCACACACAGAGAGAAGTCACTGAAGTTATGACCAGCTGCTGGGAGGAAGAAGAGGAGTGGGGCCCCTAAGGCCTAGGGATGGTGAGTAAAGCAATTCCTCGGTTTCCAGTACCTTATTCAAGCCAAATGAAGGTTTATACAAAATTCCCATGCTTTCTACCCTGTCTTCAATTCCCTGACCCAGGGATGTAGAAGACAGATAGATAAAGCCCAGTATTTCAGGCCACTGACTCTTCCACAAAGGAGAATCAGAGAGACAGGGCAGAGCCGATGCCTCCTCTGCTCTTGCAGAGATGGAGGGAGGCTTGGCTCAGGATGGGCTAACAATAGCCTCCATTTATTAAGCACTTACTATGTGCCAGGCACTAAACCCAGTACTTAACATTCATCATGTGATTTATTCCTTACAATTTACACACATTATTTTACTTAATCTTGATGCCAACCGTGATTATCCTTATTTTGAGAGGGCCAGAGAGGTTACATAACTTATCCAAACCAAGGTCACCGCCTCAATAAGACAGCAGAGCTCAGATTTGAACGCTGACTCCAAAATCCAGGTTGGTGAATGCTGCACGGTCCTGCCTTCCTGCGTGACACTAATTTACTCCATCTAGTTCCCATCATCTCCTGGTCAGAATCCCTGGCCACAACTGAGGCAGAGGGAACCTGCAGTTTACCAGAGGAATCTGGCAGGTCTGTGATAGGGACAGGACAGTCAGCCTTCACCATGGTGCCCCGGAAGCAGGAGGAAGTGTGGTAATCTAACTCCAGCGACCTGGAGAAGGGCAGGCTGCGGGATGGGGAAGATTTCAGAGCAGAGGGAGTAACGGGCTTGGTGTGATGGACACCGCGCTTCGGAGGAGCAGGGTGGAGAGAAGAAAACCGCCAGATGCTACACTGGGCCGACAGAAAAGAGTAGCTTTGCAAAAACGACGGCAGCGCGCTTTACAGTTTATAGGGAACTCTCACCTAAAGCACTTCAGTGGACCCTCACATAAACCCTGAAAGCGAGAGAATGTTAGCCCCATTTTACAGAAATGGAAACTGAGGATCAATGACTTCATCAAAACCACACAGCTGGAAAGGAGCCGTAAGACCAAGTCTTTGGACGTTAAGTCCCGCGCTTTTCCCTCCTCTCCTCCCTGGCCCTGCAGCCCTCGGGGAGGGAAGACTCGCCTCCTTCTTGAAGAGGGTGAACTTGACAGCGCAGCCGTAGCACCTACTCTCCATGGTGGCTCCCAGCACCGCAGGGTCTGCAGAGCTGAGATCACGCCGGCCAAGTCCTGGGCCCCTTGGACCCTCACCCCAGCTCCGCCCTTCCCTTCCCTGCCCTGCCCCGCCCCACACGCCCACTGGCACTGTCCCGCCGCGACCTAGAGCAGGGAATCCGGACGCTCTCCTGCAGCCAGCGTACGGCAGCGGCGGCAACGGGGGCTGCTGGGAGTCGTAGTTCATTCACGACTGCCGGCCTCCCTCAGAGTCAGTCAAGCCTGACCCAGAACACAATTCCCAGAGGGCTAGGCGCCGCTCGGAGCCTGCAGTCCTCACGCGCGCTTAGACTCTTGGGAGTTGTAGTACGAATCCGTCAGGCCGGAACCATGGCAGTGACCAAGGAGCTCTTACAGATGGACCTGTACGCGCTGCTAGGCATTGAGGAGAAGGCAGCGGACAAAGAGGTGAGAACGGTGGCGAGGAAGGCTGATCTTGAGAGGTCTGGCGGTCCTTCCTGTCCTAGCGCCTCGGCCACTGCTGGCATCCGCTCTCCAGGTTCATTCGGGTCCTGGGCGGGGAGCGAGGGTCGGCGCTATGCCCTCCGCAGGCGGGCTCCCAGACATTTCCTGGACGGTCCGAGGGCCTCAAGAGGAAGCGGGGTACAGAGGGCTCTTCGCGCCGGGTGGCTGTGCTCTCCCCGTGGCCCCTGTCTCCTAGAGGCCGCGGGGCGAGGCAGCAAGGAACGCTAGCCTCCTCTGCGCCTGCGCAGTCTCGGCCTCCGTTTCCGCTTCTGCCTTGACTGTGACAAGAGGTGCCTCATTTCAGTCTCTTCTGCAGGCTGATTTAATTCTTCCACTAAGAGCCTAGAACGAAAGAAAAGTAAGATCTCAAAGCCTCTCCACTCCCTTTTCATGCCCCCTTGCCAATGTGACCGATGACCCTGCTGTCTCTATTTTCTTTTCCACTCAAGCCCATTGACTCTTTTCAAGTAGCTGATGCCCTTCTCAGCATGTGCTAGTTAGTGGGCTAAAAGCAGGAGGATCAGAAGGTTAAGGCAGATGGTATAGAGGTCCATGCTACCTTAGGTGGTGATAAAGATGCCAGGGAGTGAAACACTGATCAAGCTGGATTTAGGATTTCTTTTATCTCCCCCTGGATCATGGTGGTAGTTTTAACAATATACGAAGGAGAGGCGTTCATCAAATGAAAATTAGTGCCCAACTGAGCCGAGATCGCGCCACTGCACTCCATCCTGGGCGACAGAGCAAGACTCTTTCTCAAAAAAAGAAAGAAAGAAAGAAAATTAGTGTCTACTAGGCCGGGCGCGGTGGCTCACGCCTGTAATCTCAGCACTTTGGGAGGCCGAGGCGGGCGGATCATGTGGTCAGAAGTTCGAGACCAGCCTGACCAATATGCTGAAACCCCTTCTCTACTAAAAATACAAAAATTAGCCGGGCGTGGTGGCACACACCTGTAGTCCCAGCTACTTGGGAGGCTGAGGCAGGAGAATCACTGGAACCCGGGAGGCGGAGGTTGCAGTGAGCTGAGATTGCACCACTGCACTCCAGTCTGGGCGACAGAGCGAGACTGTCTCAAAAAAAAAAAAAAAAAAGGAAAAAAAAATAGTGCCCACTAATGTCCCAGTACTTCTGGGCTGCCCTGCTCATGGGGTGAGTGAGCTTTTGAGAAGAGGAAGCTCTGGGGCAGAAAATCAGAGAGACCCAGAGGGCCCTTGAGAAATGCTGTCAACCTGCACAAATCTGTCCCCTGCAGCCGCAGCTGAAATCAGAAATGGCCATGGGATGTCTATGAAGCATCAAAAGCATCTGCTCCACCTCTCTCGTGTTTCAATATTTTAGGATTAATAATTCCTAACATCTGTATAATGCTTACTATGTCCTAGACAGTATTTTTTTTTTCTGGATAGTATTCTAAGTGCTCTATGTTTACAAATTATTATTTTTTAAATTCTTTATTATTATTATTTTTTATTATTGTTTTTGAGACGGAGTCTCGCTCTGTGGCCCAGGCTGGAGTGCAGTGGCGCGATCTCGGCTTACTGCAACCTCCGCCTCTCGGGTTCACGCCATTCTCCTGCCTGAGCCTCTCCAAGTAGCTGGGACTACAGGCGCCTGCCACCATGCCCGGCTAATAATTTTTATTTTTAGTAGAGACGGGGTTTCACCGTGGTCTCGATCTCCTGACCTCGTGATCTGCCCACCTCAGCCTCCCAAAGTGCTGGGATTACAAGCGTGAGCCACCGTGCCCGGCCTATTATTATTTTTTGAGACGGAGTCTCGCTCTGTCGCCCAGGCTGGAGTGCAGTGGCGCAATCTCAGCTTACTGCAACTTCTGCCTCCCAGGTTCAAGCGATTCTCCTGCCTCAGCCTCCGGAGTAGCTGGGACTACAGGCATGTACCACCACGCCCGGCTAATTTTTTTTTTTTTTTTTTTTTTGAGACAGAGTATCACTCTTTGGCCCAGGCTGGAGTGCAGTGGCATGATCTCGGCTCACTGCAACCTCCGCCTTCCTGTTTCAAGTGATTCTCCTGCCTCAGCCTCCCAAGTAGCTGGGATTACAGGCACCCGCCACCACGCCCAGCTAATTTTTGTATTTTTAGTAGAGACGGGGTCTCACCGTGTTGGCCAGGCCAGTCTTGGATTCCTGACCTCGTGATCTTCCCACCTCGGCCTCCCAAAGTGCTGGGATTACAGGTGTGAGCCACTATGCCCTGCCTGCAAATTATTTAATTAGTACTTTATTAATAGTGAGAAACTATTTGAGACATTTCACAAAAGATCCAAGTGGGAAATCTGGAGGGTTTTTTTTTGAGACGGAGTCTCACTCTCTTGCCTAGGCTGGAGTGCAGTGGTGCAACCTTGGCTCACTGCAACCTCTGCCCCCCAGGTTCAGGGAATTCTCCTGCCTCAGCCTCCTGAGCAGCTGGGATTACAGGCATGTGCCACCACACCCAGCTAATTTTTGTGTTTTTATCAGAGACAGGGTTTCACCATGTTGGTCAGGCTGGTCTTGAACTCCTGACCTCAAGTGATCTGCCGGCCTTGGCCTCCCAAAGTGCTGGGATTACAGGCGTGAGCCACCGCGCCCGGCTGAAATCTAGAGTTTCTAACCCTGAAGTTGAGAACTCCTGAGGAAGTCAGTTGGAAGTCATTCTCTATTAATTAGAGAAGTTACATAATCAGATTTTATTTTTTTTTTATTTTTATGTCTATTTTTTGAGAAAAGATCTCACTGTCATTCAGGCTGGAATGCAGTGGCACAATCACAGCTCACTGCAGCCTCGACTTCCTGGGCTCAAGTGATCCCACCTCAGCCTCTCATGTAGTTGGGACTGCAGGTGTGCATCATCATGCCTGGCTAATTTGTTTTGTGTTTGTTTTTGCTTTTTTTTTTTTTCCAGAGACGGGGTCCAGCTATATTGCCCAGGCTGGTGTCGAACTCCTGGGTTCAAGCTATCCTCCTGCCTGGTCTCCCAGAGTGCTGGGATTGCAGGCATGAGCCACTGTGCCCTGCCCATAATTGGATTTTAAAGAAAGTATTTGACTGAGTGTGATGGCTCACACCTGCAATCCCAGCACTTTGGGAGGCCAAGGTGGAAGGAACGCTTGAGGCCAGGAGTTTGAGACCAGCCTGGGAAACGTAGTGAGAGCCTGTCTCTCTCTCTATATATAAAAAAAAAAGCTGGGCAGGGTGTTACGCACCTGTAGTCCCCGCTACATGGGAGGCTGAGGTGGGAGGATCACTTGAGCCTGGGAAGTTTCAGTGAGCTATGATTTTGCCACTGTATTCCAGCCTGGATGACAGGGTGAGACCCTGCCACTCTTAAAAAAGAAAAGAAAATTCAACACTAGTGTGCATAATGAAAATGGGTGGGGGTGGGAGGAATGGAAGAGCTGCCACTAGGGGGTCAGATGGGGCTGGTGTCTAGGCAAGAGACCAAGGTCTGAGCTGGGCAGTGGTGGCTGGGATCCAGTTCTAACTCAGATGAGATAAGGGATAGGTGTGAAGCCACTCTATAAAGGGTAACAGGTGCTGCTCCTGCCTTTAATGGGGGGGCAAGATTCACGCATACAAGGGAGACATGGTGAGTTCCTTAAGAGGGGTACAAAGTGCTGTGGATGTTCAGTGTAGGCTGAGATTGCTATTAGTTTGAGAGAAGGAATAAAGGCAGGAGAGAAGGTATTTGGGGCCTTGAAGAATGGGCAGAGTTTGGACATGTGGAGATGGAGGCAGGGCATTCCAAGAAAGCAAATGTATATATTAATACATACAGTCTATTTTGGAGCATAAGTAGGTGGCACCCTCAAAGAGGCCTTACCTATTTTTCTTTTCATAGCAGCCATTCTCCTTTCTAGCACTTACTCCCATTTACACTTTGGATACACTGGCTAGCTTCATGGCAACACACTTTTTGGTAGAAAGCAAGAAAAACCTAGGCCCTGGTGTCCCCGCACCATGGTTTAATACCTGTCATAGACAACCTAGGTTGCTGCCATAGGGCAACCTAGAGGACAAACAAATATTTAAAGTGTATACAAGGAAGAACTCCTAAACTGGTTGTCCAAATAGCCTAGGAGTTCTCAATTTGCCCTCTACAGAAAGGCTCCAGGAACTGGGTGAAGGAACCTCTGAAAATCATGCGTGATTTTTTTTTTTTTTGTATTTATTCTGGAGGAGAGGAGGACTTTTTTTTTCTTTTTTTTTTTTTTGACCCAGGGTCTCTCTGTGTTACCCACGCTGGAGTCAGTGGCATGATTACTGCTCACTGCAAACTCTGCCTCCTGGGCTCAAGCAATCCTCCCACCTCAGCCTCAAAAGTAGCTGGGACCACAGGTGTGCACCGCCATGCCTGGCTAATTTTTGTATTTTTGTAGAGATCGGGTTCCACCATGTTGGCCAGGTTGGTCTTGAACTCCTGGGTTCAAGCAGTCCTCCCGCCTTGGCCTCTGAAAAGTGTTTGGGTTATAGGCATGAGCTACCACGCCTGGCCAGAGGAGGGAATTTTAATCCAAAAGTCAAAGAAGCCCTAATGGAGGCCAAGCTCCCTGTGTTACTGATGGCGAAACTGCAGCTCGGAGAAGGTGGTTAGTGGCAGAATTGGGACTAGAACCCTGATGCCCTGATGCCCTGATGCCCTGATGTCCAGCTCAGGCCTCTGCTCCTTCTGCTAAGGCTCCCTGGCCCTGTCCAGCGCGGTTCAGTGGTAGTGATGAGCACCACCACCAAATTTAACTTGTGTTCAGACTACTTCTCTGAATCTCAAATCTGTGTATCTATCTGCCTGTTTGATCCCTCCATGTGGATGTTTCACAGCGGTCTAAATCTTACTACATCCAAAAATTGGCCAGGCGCAGTGGCTCATGTCTGTAATCCCAGCACTTCGAGAGGCCCAGGCAGGCAGATCACCTGAGGTCAGGAGTTTTAGACAGCCTGGCCAACAGGGTGAAATCCTATCTCTACTAAAAATATAAAAACTAGCCAGACGCGGTGGCACGTGCCTGTAGTCCCAGCTACTGGGAGGCTGAGGCAGGAGAATCGCTTGAACCTGGGAGGCGGAGGTTGCAGTGAGCTGAGATCAAGCCACTGCACTCCAGCCTGGGTGACGGAGCTAGAATCTGTCTCGAAAAAAAAAAAAAAAAAAATTGAACTCTTTCAATTCTCTCTCCAAACCTGCTCCTTCCTTGGATTTCCCCATCTTGTGGCACCACCATCCATCCATTCAAGCTAGGAACCTGGAGTCATTCTCAGTACCTCCCTATCCTCTCACCCCTGCCATCTAGAACATCACCGGGTCCTGATGAGTCAGCCTCCCAAATAATCCCCAAACCTGTTCACCCTCTCTGTCTCCACCACTACTGCTCCAGCCCAGGCCCCCATCCACTCAGCTGAATGTTTAGAGGAGCCTGCCAACTTTTTTCTGCTTTCAGCCTATTCCATTCTGATCTATTGAGCCTCTCCAATTCTCCTCACAGAAAATGGAATGATCTTGCTACTCCCTGAAAACCCTATTTAGCACTTCTAATAAAATACTCAATAGAATTTCTTTTCTTTTCTTTTTTTTTTTTTTTTTTTTGAGACGGAGTCTCGCTCTGTCACCCAGGCTGGAGTGCAGTGGCTGCAAGCTCCGCCTCCCAGGTTCACGCCATTCTCCCGTCTCAGCCTCCTGAGTAGCTGGGACTACAGGCGCCCGCCACCACGCCCGGCTAATTTTTTGTATTTTTAGTAGAGACGGGGTTTCACCATTCACAGGATGGTCTTGATCTCCTGACCTCGTGATCCGCCCACCTCGGCCTCCCAAAGTGCTGGGATTGCAGGCGTGAGCCACCGCACCCAGCCAATACTCAACAATTTCTTAGCTCATTCATACATTTTCCTCTGCCAGGAATGCTCTTCCTCCCCTTCTGCTAATCTGGGTTGCTTTTACTTGTCCTTCAGAACTCAGTCGAAATGGCATCCTCAGAGAAGCCTTGCCTTATATTCTATTTCATGGCAGCTGGTTTTTCTTTTTTCTAGCACTTATTTCAGTTTGCAATTATGTATTTATCTGTGTGATTATTTGTCTCATGCCTTAATCCCCTCTGCACTCCTACTTCTGAGGACCAGATCTGATTCATGCTCTTCTGTAGCAGCCCCTTACCTGGTGACTGGCACATAGTAGGTTCTCAATAAGTATTTGTTGAATGAATGAAGTAGTAGCTAAAGAGACCACTGCAACGACTTTACTTGAGAATCAGGAGACCAAGGGCAGTCACTGCGTCTCTCAGGACCTGACTTTCCCCAAATGTAAAATGAAGGAGTAGGGCAAACTACAGTTTGAGGGGCCAAATGGCCCATGACCTTTTTTTTTTTTTTTTTGAGACGGAGTCTCGCTGTCGCCCAGGCTGGAGCATGGTGGCGCAATCTCGGCTCACTATAACCTCTGCCTCCCAGGTTCAAGCAATTCTCTGCTTCAGTCTCCGGAGTAGCCGAGATTACAGGCTCCTGCCACCACGCCTGGCTAATTTTTATATTTTTAGTGGAGATGTGGTTTCACTCTCTTGGCCTGGCTGGTCTTGAACTCCTGACCAAAGTGCTGGGATTACAGGCGTGAGCCACCGTGCCCAGCTGACCTTTTTTTTTTTTAATGGCTTATGTGCTAAGAATGGGTTTTACATGTTTAAATGATTGTAGAAAAAAAAACACAGCTCAACAACCAAAAAAACAACTCGGTTAAAAAATGGGCAAGCCAGGAGTTTGAAGTTACAGTGAGCTCTGATCACGCCACCATGCTCCAGCCTGGGTGACAGAGTGAAACTCTGTCTGTAAAAAAATTAAAAAAAAAAAAAGAAAAAGACAATCTCAATAGACATTTCCCCAAAGATGATGTACAAATGGTCAATAAACACATGAAAAGATGCTCAACTTCACTAGTCATTAGGTAAATGCAGATCAAAACCATGTTGAGGCCAGGTGCGGTGGCACACGCCTGTAATCCCAGCACTTTGGGAGGCCGAGGCAGGTGGATCACCTGAGGTCAGTAGTTCAAGACCAGCCTGCCCAACATGGTGAAACCCCGTCTCTACTAAAAATACAAAAATTAGCTGGGCGTAGTGGCAGTTGCCTGTAGTCTCATGTACTCGAGGAGGCAGGAGAATTGCTGGAACCCAGGAGGCGGAGGTTGCAGTGAGCCGAAATCGTGCCACTGCACTCCAGGCTGGGTGATGGAGCAAGACTCCATCTCAAAAAACAAACAAACAAAAACATGTTGTGATACCACTTCACACCCATTAAGATAGCTATTATGAAGACAAAAACAACAACAACAACAAAAAAAAAACCCTGGTGTGATGGCTCATGGAGAGGCTAATGTGGGAGGATTGCTTGAGCCCAGGAGTTCCAGGCTACAGTGCGCTATGATTGTGCCACTGCACTCCAGCCTGGATGACAAAGCGAGACCTTGTCTCTAAAAATAAAAAGTAAAAAGAGAGAGAGAGAAATAAATGTTGGTCAGGATGCAGAGAAATTGGAGCCCTGTGCATTGTTGGTGGTGCAGATAATGTTAAGATGGTATGGTGAGTCCTCAAAAAATTAAACATGGAATTACCATATGACCCAACAATTACCATATGATTCATATGGTAATTAAATATAGAAGTAATATGATCCAGCAACAGAAACAAACACAAAACAACAAAGGAGAATATACAACAAAGACTATATGTAGCTCCCTAAAATTTTTACTCTCAACCGGGGGCCTTTACAGAAAAATCTGCTCATCCCTCTTCAAGTTAGGGACAAGTTCAACTCTGCCTTTCTGTACACAGAACTAGCCTTTCTGCAAATGTTCTTCCCTCATATCACAACAAACCTAGCAGGCCAAAAGTGAGCTAAACACCACCTTTCATGGGGATTTAACAATCAGCCATTCTCCTTGTTCCCCATCCAGCCCTAGAGGATACAGGCAGGGCATGGTGTGGTTTTTTTTTTTGTGGGAAAGCCTTAAGTTGAGGACCTGGGTTTCGGGTGGAAGTGCTCCTAGGGAGAGGATCAGTCTGCTAGAGCCTGAAGCAGCGAGCACCAAATTCTTTTTTTTTTTTTTTTTTTTTTGAGATGGAGTCTCGCTCTGTCGCTCAGGCTGGAGTGCAGTGGCACGATCTCGGCTCACTGCAAGCTCTGCCTCCCGGGTTCACACCATTCTCCTGCCTCAGTCTCCCGAGTAGCTGGGACTACAGGCGCCCGCCACCACACCACCATGGCTAATTTTTTTTGTATTTTTAGTAGACACGGGGTTTCACCGTGTTAGCCAGGATGGTCTCTATCTCCTCACCTCGTGATCCGCCCGCCTCAGCCTCCCAAAGTGCTGGGATTACAGGCGTGAGCCACCGCGCCCAGCCAGCAAGCGCCAAATTCTTACACACACACTCACAAGGCGGGGCACCACGGCTGCCAGAATGAAGGATTAAGTCGTGAGTTAACGCTGTTTGCAAACCTTCAAGAGAGATTCCAAAGTAATCTCAGGAATTACCTGAGTGACTGCAGTGACCGTCTAATCCTTTTCCTATTTCTGTTCTTGATCCTTTTCACACAGCAGCCAGAGTGAGCCTTTATAATGTAAATCAGATTTTGTCACCTCTGGTCACAACTCCCAGTGGCTTCTCTCAGTCTTAGAATGAAATCTGAAGTCCTTCCCCTGGCCCACGCGGCCCTTACTGCCTGTCCTGCACGTTCCCTGCCACCACTCTCCCCTTTGCTGACTGTGCTCCAGCCACATCAGTCCTCCTGATATTTCCTACAACATTGTGATAAATAATGTATTTAACGCAAAATTTACTGCTTACCATTTTAATCCTTTTTGATTAAAGGATTCACTGGCATTAAGTACATTTACATTGTTGTGCAGCCATCACCACCATCCATCTCTACAACTTTTCCATCATTTCAATCTGAAACTCTGTACTTAACAAAGAGTGACTCCCTGTTCCCTCCTCCCCCCAGCTCCTGTGAACCACTCTTCTACTTTCTTTCTCTATATGAATTTGACTATTCTATGAACCTCATATAAATGGAATCATGCAATATTTGTCCTTTTGTGTCAGGCTTATTTCGCTTAATTAACATCATGCTTTCAAGGTTCAGCCATGTTGTAGCATGTGTCAGAGTTTCCTTTCTTTTTAAGGTTGAATAATATTCCATTTTATGTATATACCACATTTTGTTTATCCATTCATCTGTTGATGAATATTTTGGTTGTTTCCAGCTTTTGACTATTGTGAGTAATGCTAGTATGAATGTGGGTTAGAAATTTGTTTGAGCCAGGTGTGGTGGCTCATACCTGTAATCCCAGCACTTTGGGAGGCCAAGGGTGGTGGATTGCCTGAAGTCAGGAGTTCAAGACCAGCCTTGCCAACATGATGAAACCCTGTCTCTACTAAAAATAGAAAAACTAGCCAGGCGTGGTGGTGGGTGCCTGTAATCCCACCTACCCAGGGGGGTGAGGCGGGAGAATTGCTTGAACCCAGGAGGCGGAGGTTGCAGTGAGCCGAGATTGTGCTACTGCCCTCCAGCCTGGGCGATAGAGCAAGACTCCATCTCAAAAAAAAAAAAAAAAAAAAAAGAGATCGGCCAGGTGCGGTGGCTTACACCTGTAATCCCAGCACTTTGGGAGGCTGAGGCAGGTGCATCACCCAAGGTCAGGAGTTCAAGACCAGCTTGGCCAACATAGTGAAATCCCGGCTCTACTAAAATACAAAAATTAGCTGGGCATGGTGGCGGGTGCCTGTAATCCCAGCTGCTAGGGAGGCTGAGGCAGGAGAATCGCTTGAACCCAGAGGCGGAGGTTGCAGTGAGCCAAGATTGTGCCATTGCACTCCAGCCTGGGCAATAAGAGCGAAACTCCATCTCAAAAAAAAAAAAAGAAAGAAATCTGTTTGAGTCCCTACTTTATGAATTTTTTGTGGTTGATGAAACAGGGTCTCGCTCTATTGCCCAGGCTGGAGTGAAATTGTGCGATCACAGCTCACTGCAGCCTCAACCTCCTGGGCCCAAGCAGTCGTCCCACTTCAGTCTCCTGAGTAGCTAGGACAATAGGCATGTACCATCATGCCCAGCTGATTTTTAAATTTTTTGTAGAGATGGGGTTTTGCTATGTTGCCCAGACTGGTCTCAAACTCCCGGCCTGAAGTTATCCTTCTGCTTTGGCTTCCCAAAGTGCTAGGATTACAGGCATGAGCTACGATCCCTGGCAGAGTCCCTACTCTAATTTCTTGTTCTAGTGTGGTGGATAATGCCTGTAATCCCAGCACTTTGGGAGACTGAGGCAGGAGGATTGCTTGAGCCTAGGAGCTTGAGATCAGCCTGAGCAACACGGCAAAACCCTGTCTCTACAAAGGAAAAAAAAAGAAAAAATTAGCTCATTGTGGTGGCGCACGCCCGTAGTCCCAGCTACTTTACTCGGGAGGCTGAGGAGGGAGGATTGCTTTAGCCCAGGGGGTCAAAGCTATAGTGAATTGAACCACTCCACTCCAGCCTTGGTGACAGAGTGAGATTGGGTCACAAAAACAAAAACAGTTCTTTTGATATATACCCAGAAGGAGAACTGCTAGATCATATGGTAATTCTATGTTTAATGTTTTGAGGAACTGACATACCGGCTTCCACAATGGCTGTGCCATTTAACCTTCCCACCAGCAATACACAGGAGTTCCATTTTCTCCACATCCTTTCCACACTTAAATTTTCTGTTTTCTTTGGATAATAACCATCCTAATAAGTGTGAAGTGGGCCTCCTGTGATTTTTTTCAAACTCACCTAACACATTCCTGATTTTCAGGGCCTTTATACTTGCTAATCCTTCTGCTAGAAAATTCTTTCTCTGGGCAGTTATCTATCTCCCACACCTAATTCAGGTTTCCATTCAAATATCATCTGCTCAGAGAGGCTTTTCCTGACTACCTATTTAAATGAGCTAGCCCCACACCCTTATCTGCTATTTCGAAGTAGATCTCACTACTACACCTTATAGTACATGCCCATTTGCTTACCATTGCTCTCCCATTAGAATGTAAAAAATCCAGGAAGGAAAGGACTTCCTCTGTTTTGTTTACTACTATGTCTCCAGCACCTAGAACAATGCCTCGCCCTTGGTAGATGCTTAATAAATCTTTGTTGAGTGATTGATGAACATGCATTCTTATTTTCTTGGGCAGTAATATTTTATGATGTAGTGAAATTATTAGACTGAGAGTAAATATATTTACAAGCTTTTGGTTTATAATGCAGAATTGCATTTCAGAAAGGTCATACTGACCTATATTCCCACCCGGTAGGTAGGAAGTCTTCCATCTTTCCACTTGCAGCCCTGACTCTAGAAAGCAGCAATGCTGTGCGCTTGGTGCCTTGCCCAGAGCAGGCACTCACTGAACCTATTTTATTTTATTTTTTGAGACAGAGTCTCACTCTGTCGCCCAGGCTGGAGTGCAGTGGCACGATCTTGGCTCACTGCAACCTCTGCCTTTCGGGTTCAAGCGATTCTCCTGCCTCAGCCTCACAACCTGGGACTACAGGTGCCCACCACCACGCCCAGCTAATTTTTGTATTTTTAGTAGAGACGGGGTTTCACCATGTTGGCCAGGCTTGTCTTGAACTCCTGACCTTGTGATCCGCCTGGCTCAGCCTCCCAAAGTGCTGGGATTACAGGTGTGAGCCACCACGCCCAGCCCACACTGAACCTTTATTAAATTAAACTTGATAGTGTTCTGCCTGGTTCTTTTTCATTTCCCTTCCTTTTCTCCATGAGTGTTTTAGAGGAGGGTTGAAACATTTCCCATAAACAGCATTTTTATTAAGTGCCTATTGTGTGTCAAACTCTGAGCCTGGTGCTAAGGAAACAGATGTGAAGAGAAGCGGTTTTAGGGCCCCCACATCTTGTTTGTTTCCATCTTTTCTGTCTCTTGCTCCTGGGGCCCATCATTTTGAAATGCAGAGGCTAACGTTGGCAGTTCTTCTAGAAATTCATATTTTTCTTCCTTCCCTCCCCCCTCCCTTCCATCCCTTCCTCCCCTTCCTCCCTTCCTTCCTTTTTTTTGAGACACCATCTCCCTCTCCCGCCCAGGCTGGAGTGCAGGGGCGTGGTCATGGAAGCAATCCTCCCGCCTCGGCCTCCTAAAGTGTTGGGATCACAGGCGTGAGCCACTGTGCCCAGCCGAGAAGTTTATGTTTTTTAATCAGCTGATGATTTCCTAGAGAGGAAGTTGGTGCAGAAAATAACAGTTTTTCCAGAGAGGAGCAAGAGTCGGCTAAAAATATATATTAAAAATAAACTTACGGTGGCTCATGCCTGTAATCCGAGCACTTTGGGAGGCCGAGGCGGGGGGCTCACCTGAGGTCAGGAGTTCGAGACCAGCCTGGCCAACACGACGAAACCCCATCTCTACTAAAAATACAAAAAATTAGCTGGGCTTGGTGGCAGGCGCCTATAATCCCAGCTACTCAGGAGGCTGAGGCAGGAGAATCACTTGAACCCGGAAGGCAGAGGTTTCAGTGAGCCGAGATCGTGCCACTGCACTCCAGCCTGGGCGACAGAGCAAGACTCCGTCTCAAAAAATAAATAAATAAATAAATTTAATAAAGAGAGTAACCGTTTTTATTTTTGTTTTTTGTTTTTTTAAAGATGGTCTCGCTTTGCCCCAGCCAAAGTACAGTGGTGCAATCATAGCTCACTGCAGCCTTGACTTCCTGGGCTCAGGTGATCCTCCCACCTCAGCCTCCTGAGTAGCTCGGCTTACAGGTGTGCACCACCATGCCAGGGTAATTTTTGTATTTTTTGTAGAGATGGGGTCTCACCATGTTGCCCAGACTGGTCTTGAACTCCTGGGCTCAAGTGATCCTCTGGCCTTGGCCTCCCAAAGTGCTGGGATTACAGGCATGAGCCACTGTGCCCAGCCGAAAGTAACAGGTTTTGTTCTTGTTTTTGTTTTTTTTTCTGAGATGGAGTCTCATTCTATCCCCCAGGCTGGAGTGCAGTGGCACAATCTCAGCTCACTGCAACCTCTGCCTCCTGGGTTCAAGCAGATCTCCTGCTTCAGCCTCCTGAGTAGCTAGGATTATAGGCATGCACCACCATGCCTGGCTAATTTTTGTATTTTTAGTAGAGATGGGATTTCACCATATTGGTCAGGCTGGTCTCAAACTCCTCACCTTGTGATCCGCCCGCCTCGGCCTCCCAAAGTGCTGGGATTGAAAGTAACAGTTTTTATAACTATCTTTAATGTGTAAGGCTAAGAATTGTTGCTTGTTGCATCTACCATGTGTTGAGAATAGATGGAAATCATGATACAGATGTTAGAATTGTAAATGTGCCTTCATAATCACCTTTGTACTTATTAGCAGTTATAGTTAAGAAAGTGGACTTTGGAGTCAGATTGCCTGGATACTTGCCCCATGACCTAGTTTGTGACCTGGAGCAAATATTTAACCGCTCTGTACCTTGGTTTCCTCGTCTGCAAAACGAGGATGATGATAGTCTGTCCTTGATCGCATTGTTTTGAGGCTTGATCCACGTAAGCATTTGGCACAGTGCCTGGCATAGAGTGAGCGCTCACTATGAGTCAGTTCTTGCTGTTTTCATTGTGAGTCCATCTTCCTTACACTGTAAGCTTGGAAAGTCAAATATGAATCGCCCCCAGCTTGTGTCCAAGGCTGCCCTCCACCTGGACCCCTTCTTTACTCACTCCATTCCTGACACATTAGTGCTGAGTCACCTAACAGCAAATCAGTGATTCTCAATTGAGGCAGTGGTCAGGGTAGGAAGGCGGTGGAGGATCAAGTAGAACAAAATTGAGGATCACCAGAGTTCAACATTTAGTTCACATCAACAAATGAATGGAGTTTCTCACCATGGACAAGGTACTGTTTGAGCATGGTAGGACTTAGAGCTGAGTAAGATACCACTTCTGACTTCTGACAGCTCACACAGTTATATACTCAGTGAACGCTGAGGTGCAATGAATGAGGTTCAGTAAGAGTATATAAGAAAATGCTGTAAGAATAAAGAGGAAGACATGATTTATATGACTGGTGTTTTTATGCAAGATCTTGAAGGGAGAAAAGAATATATTGCAGCAGTTAGAAGGGATCTTCATGGGCTGGGCACGGTGCTCACGCCTGTAATCCCAGCACTTTGGGAGGCCGAGGCGGGCAGATCACGAGGTCAGGAGATCGAGACCATCCTGGCTAACATGGTGAAACCCCGTCTCTACTAAAAATACAAAAAAATTAGCCAGGCGTGGTGGCGGGTGCCTGTAGTCCCAGCTACTCGGGAGGCTGAGGCAAGAGAATGGCGTGAACCCGGAGGCAGAGCTTGCAGTGAGCTGAGATCGTGCCATGCACTCCAGCCTGGGTGACAAGTGAGACCATCTCAAAAAAAAAAAAAAAAAAAAGAAGGGATCTTCATGGTCATTTACTGTCTTATTTTGTAGACTGGAGAATGGAGGTTCAGAGAGGTTACAAAATTTTCCACGACCATCCAGCGAGTGAGCATCAGCCTGAGACTAGAGCTCCAATCAAGATCCTTTCCACTTTTGTGCAGCCCACATGTGTATTTCTGGGGGTCTCACTCTGTCCTCCAGGCTGGGACCACAGGAGTGCACCACCACGCCTGGATAATTTTTAGAAAAATATTTTGTGGAGATGGGGTCTCCCTATGTTGCCCAGGCTGGTCTCGAACTCCTGGGCTCAAGCAGTCCTCCTGCCTCGGCCTCCCAAAGTGCCAGGATTACAGGCATGAGTCAGCATGTCCAGCCTGTCTTTCTCTTCTGTCTGTAGCAGCCTTACCTTTCATTTGAAGCCCTTTGAAGGGTGTGTAGCTCATTCATCTTGGCAGGTAATTACCTGGGGAAGCCAGATGTTTGAAAATGCATTTTGATTGTTTTTCAAGACTCAAAGCTTAAGTCTATTTATCAGGAAAACTACCAGGGAAACTTAATATTGACATTTTCTGGGAGGGAGGTTATATTATAGCATATAAATTACTGCAAGGAAAAGGCTATTTTATCTTTAAGCTAGCTATTATCTTGGTACCACTAGCTACATATTTCTTTTATACCCTAGAAGGTGGTGCATCAACATTGTTTCTTAAAAATTTAAGAAGACTTGGTTTTTGAGGACAGAGGACAGACAAGGGCTTGAAGGAGCAACCGGGGCATGCAGATGTGGAGTGCCTAGCATGACAGGGAATGGGCATGGCCTAGGGTTTGCTGAGGAGGTCGCAGGAGATGAATCTGAGAAATGTGTGTTTGGGCCTCTAGGCCCTAGGGTGGTTACACTTGATTCTGTGAGCATCTGGGGGCCATTTCTGGATCTGAAGTGTGCCTGATGTAATCTGCTGTCTCCAAAGGGGGCTTTTCCCAGAACCTCTTATATCTAGACCAGGTGCTGAGGCCTTGAGGTTGGGTACTGAGCCTGTTTGTTTTGTTTTGTTTTGTTTTTTTCAGATGGAGTTTCGCTCTTGTTGCCCAGGCTGGAGTGCAATGGCGTGATCTTGGCTCACTGCAACCTCCGCCTCCTGAGTTCAAGCGATTCTCCTGCCTCAGCCTCCCCAGTAGCTGGGATTACAGGCGCGTGCCACCACACCCAGCTAATTTTTGTATTTTTAGTAGAGACAGGATTTCACCATGTTGGCCAGGCTAGTGTCGAACTCCTGACCTCAGGTGATCCGCCCACCTCAGCCTCCCAAAGTGCTGGGATTACAGGTGTGAGCCACTGCGACCAGCTGCCTGTTGTTTTTTATTTTATTTTATTTTAGTTTTTTGAGATGGAGTCACTCTGTCACCCTGGCTGGTGTGCAGTGGTGCGATCTTGGCTCACTGCAACCTCCCCCTCCCAGGTTCAAGCAATTCTTCTCCCTCAGCCTCCCGAGTAGCTGGGTCTACAGGCACACGCCACCATACCCAGTTAATTTTTGTATTTTTAGTAGAGATGGGGTTTCACCATGTTGGCCAGGCTGGTCTCAAAACTTCTCACCTCAGGTGATCGCCTGCCTTGGCCTCCCAAAGTGCTGAGATTACAGTCATGAGCCACCGCACCCAGCTTTTTAAAATTTTTTTTGTAGCCTCAATATATTACCACATTATTTATTTGTTTATTTATTTATTATGGTTTTTTAGAGGCAGGGTCTCCCTACATTGTCCAGGCTGATCTCAAACTCCTGGGCTCAAGGGATCCTCCCACCTTGGCCTCCAAAAGTGCTAGGATTACAGGCATGAGTCACCGCACCCGGCCTATTTTTTTTTATTTATTTTAAGTTATTTTTTCCAAGCCTGGTTTCACTTGAAGATAGTTGTTCTTCACCAAGGGCCTGACCAGCTCTGGGTGGATCTAGCAGCTGGTCTCTAAGTCCTCTCAGTATCTCCAAGTCCCCTCAGTATCACTCTTCACCAAAGCTGTCTGGCTGAAGCTCTGGATTTTTGAAGTTACTTAGGTGCCTGTTAAGTCAAAAGGAATGATTCATTTGTGTTTGTAAGCTGTAAGCGATTCATTAACATTCAAGATAATACCTCACATTTCTATGACACCAAAGTGCTTTCACATAAATTATCTCATTTGATGAGACCTTGAAAGCAAGCCTGTGAGGTGGTCAAGGACTACTGGCACCAATTCCTAGATGTGGAAACAAAGACTCCAAGAATTTAAGTGATTCGCCCAGCATAAGGTGGCTGGTACTGCCACCTTATTTTATTTTTATTTTATTTTTATTTGGAAAGAGAGTCTCGCTGTGTCGCCCAGGCTGGAGTGCAGTGGCACGATCTTGGCTCACTGCAACCTCCGCCTCCTGGGTTCAAGTGATTCTCATACCTCAGCTTCCCAAGTAGCTGGGATTACAGGCATGTGATGCGCCACCATGCCCAGCTGATTTTTATATTTTTAGTAGAGACGGGGTTTCACCATGTTGGCCAGGCTGATCTCAAACTCCTGACCTCAAGTGATCCACCCGCCTCAGCCTCCCAAAGTGTTTGTATTACAGGCGTGAGCCTCTGCGCCCGGCCCACACCTGAATTTTCTACTCCTCTTTGAGAACTTTTTCCGTGACCCACACTTCAGGACCAATTAGAGCAACAGGAGACGGGTCTGTGGGCCCCAGAGAGTCTCGCAGCCCCATCTGTAACACAGATAGAGATTTTACCTGCCTGGGACTTGGGTAAACCCAGCAGGTAGTAAGCTGCTCTGAACAGCTTAAGGAACTGTGTTAAGATTTGTGTTAAAACTACCATAGCACAGTTTCCATTTCCTTGAAGTTAGTGGCATTCAAAATGTTTTCCATTTGCATAGCGCTTTCCCTATTTTTGCTGTTCGTAAGTATTGTTATTTAGTTATTTTCACTAAATCAACTCATTTCTTTTCTTTTCTTTTTTTTTTTTTTTTTTTTTTTTTTTTGAGACAGTCTGTCTCTGTCTCCCAGGCTGGAGTGCAGTGGCGCAATCTCGGCTCACTGCAAGATGCGCCTCCCGGGTTCACGCCATTCTCCTGCCTCAGACTTCCGAAATCAACTAATTTCTTTTTACTAATACAAATTTGTTTATAAAGGAAACAATGCATTAAGGGAAGACAGAAATGAATGAGGTGTAGGAAGTACCAGGGCCCAGAGGGAAGGAGTTCTACCCCCTGGGAAAGGGCAGAGACTGGGCAGAGGAAGTGGTTCTGGGGCTAGAGACCCAGGCCTCTAGGAGTTAAGAGTGACAGCAGGCAGTGGGGAGACGTTTCTGGCAGATCTGGGCATGAGAATCTACAAGCTGAGAGAAGGTAGGAAAGGCTTTTGGGGTCTGAGCCTAATATAGCGGTGGTTAGGATAAGGTTAAAAGGGAGGAGGTGGGCCAGAGAGCAGGGTGGTATCTGAGGAGGAGAAAGAGGGCTGTAGACTGGGTTTCAAGTGGGCTGGTTTGGGGAAGTGGACCGAGGAGAGCAGGATAGGAGGGAGTACTGTGGGGGAGTGAAGGAAGGGGGACCTGGAGATGAGATCCGGGGGGATGGGAGGAGCTAAAGAGTGGCCTCAGGATTGGCTGAGGAACCAGAGCCCAAAGGGCGTACAAGGGCCATCATTTGGGGAGAAGCAGGCCAGGCTCCGTGTGTGGTCCCAGCTGTTCTAGGTGGCACAGGCCCCTGTTCTGAGACTGAACCATGGGCCATGGCTATCAGCCTGAGAGGGATGTCAGTGTGAGGCCCAGGTTCTCTGGTATTATCTTGGTACCACCAGCAGGCCCATGTTTTGGGAGCATTGAGCTGAGGGGGCTGTCTGGGGTTGGCCAGCTCTCTGCTTGTGCCAAGCCTTGGGAGCAGCCCATAGGTTGTACAGTGCCCAGGCATTTGGGGACTTCTCTGTAGTGCTGTCCCAATAGGGGTCACAGGCTGTAAGGAATGAAAGGATCAATCTTTCAGGCACAGGGAACTTCTCTTTTATTTTTATTTATTTATGTTTATTTAAAGAGATGGATCTCACTCTGTTGCCCAGGCTGGCATGCAGTGGCATGCAGCCTCAAACTCGTGGACTCAAATAATCCTTCCCAGCCCCACCCAAGTAGCTGGGACTACAGGTGCATGCCACCATGCCTGGCTCATTTAAAAAAAAATTTTTTTTTTTTTTTTTTGAGACAGAGTCTCGCTCTGTGGCCCAGGCTGGAGTGCAGTGGCATGATCTCGGCTCACTGCAAGCTCCGCCTCCCGGGTTCATGCCATTCTCCTGCCTCAGCCTCCCGAGTAGCTGGGACTACAGGCGCCCGCCACCATGCCCGGCTAATTTCTTGTATTTTTAGTAGAGACGGGGTTTCACCGTGTTAGCCAGGATGGTCTCGATCTCCTGACCTCATGATCCACCCACCTCGGCCTCCCAAAGTGCTGGGATTACAGGCGTGAGCCACCGTGCCCGGCCCATTTTTAAATTTTTTGTAGAGGTGGGGTTCGCTTTGTTGCCCATGCTGATCTTGAACTCCTGGCTTCAGGCGATCCTCTTGCTTTGGCCTACCAAAGTGTTAGGATTACAGGCATCAGCCACCATGCCTGGCCAGAGGGGACTTTTAGGCAGGTGCCCAGAGCTCTGTTGTTTGCTTCCTGCGTGTGACATCAGGCAGTCATATACCTCTGGGGTTCCTGCTAGTGAGGGGATGGGGAGGCATCTGCCTCTCCGGGCTTGGGGAGACGTGGCTGCCCCAGCTGTTATCACTCACTGTGCCTGTGACTGGAACTGGGCCTGGCAGTGGGTTTCCAGCTGATTTACCCGGGATGCTTTGTCCATTCAGTGCTTGTTGTCACATAGAGCTGCCTCCCTCTGTGTCCTCCTTATCTAAGTCTAACCTATCAGCCTCGGCCTCTTTACTTGTACCACTTACTTACCTGGCTCCAAGCTTTATTACAAGAAAGGACAGCAACCTTTTAAAAAATAATGATCCCTTCTTTGTAGGGCACCTTTCTTTTAAGTTAATGATGGCTATTTTGTATTTATTGGATCCCTTAGCACTTAGCTTTTTTGGGTGAGTCAGGAGTTCCTTCCCCCATCAAGAGGTGAAACTGGAGGCAGGTGGATGTCAGAGGCCCTGCTGTGTGCTTGCGGCAAAACCCAGTGGAGGTGGCTAGAGACCCAGCTTCCAGCCCTCCTCCCCTGCTCTGGGTTCAGGTTGCTGAAAGTGGTAGAACCGGTTATAGAGCTTCCGGGGAAGGGCTGGGTGGCTGCCAATTTATTATTCATTGTCTGATGTGGGCAATGAGGGGGTAACATTTAGTTCCCACTGTGGTTATCCTGGCAGTCTGCTTTAGTAATTCCTTCCCTTTCCCAGACTTGGTTTTTTAAGAGGAGGTGTTAGCAGGGAGGAGGAGAAATTGTGAAATAGTGGTCAGATCTCCTAGGGTCTGGATGGCACCTACTTCCTTCTGCTCCTCAGTGGGTCTGAAGTAATTGACATAGTTGAGGTTTCCGATTGTGTTTTGGTTGAGAACAAATGAATGTTTGCCAATTCATGCAACAGATATTTATTGTGTGCCTGCTGAATGCCAGGTGCTGTTCACTGTTCTGGACCCTGGGGAGAAGCAGAACTCCCTGCCTCCTAAGTACATCCACTTTATTTGTAAGGGGAACCCCCATACCTTCCTATACCCTTATGCTCTCATTTAAGGTATAGTTATAACCAGCTTATCTGTTTCTCTAGACCATACCAGAAAAGAAGCAGCAGATGAGCAGCACTTCTAGGGAAGGGCTGGCATCTGGCAGTCTAGTAGAGGCCAACTAAGGAAGTAATAGGAAAACTATTAAAAGAGTAGAATTTAAAATCCTCGCCACCTAGGGAAGCAAATGAAAAGCCTGACACCACTCTCCGTAGAACGTGTCATACTATTCAGTAGTTGATGTTCTGGATGATGATCCTGAGACATCAAAAACAGATTAAACTCAACCAGTCTAGGATGGAAAAAGGGTGGTAGACAGTGAGGTTTTTAGAAAGCCATCAGGAGAAAGACCAAGTTTCTGCAAATTGCAGTTCGAAGTACTCACGGAGCTTACATTTATCTGAGATCTTCGTCCTTCTGAGGCTGGGCCTTAGAAAGAGCTTCTCCTCTGAAAAGCCATGATCTGGATGGGGAACTTTGGGTTGGAAACATTTGAACTGTCACCTGGATCCTTTGTGAAGTCTCAGAAATGCAAGTGTTTCTAAGCGCTAGAGAGACCAGGGGATTTAGGGGAAACCTATAGGTAAAGAAGAAAAGCTGCAAGTGAAAAGCCACACCTTGCTGTGGCTGCTTCAGCTCTGCCTCAGTGATCCCAGCACCTGCAGACACAGTTTCTTTCTTTCTCTTTTTAGAGATGGGGTCTTGCTCTGTTGCCCAGGGTGGTCTCAAACTCCTGGGCTCAAGCGATCCTCCCGCCTCACCTTCCCAAAATGCTGGGATTACAGGCGTGAGCCACTGGACCTGGGCCAGAGTCAGTTTCTGGAGGAGCTTCCAACCCGGGATACCTGGCTTTCAGCAGTCCTGTTTATCCTATATCATAAGGAGTAAGATTATAGAGGATGGCCCTTCTATTTCTTGTTCTTCTGAAAGTTCCTCTCCTTCCCAATTTTGTGATAGTTATAAAAAATAATTGTTGTACATTTTTACCCTGAATCTAGCCTTTTGAGCTGTTCATAAGGTAGGATTATTTAATAATAAACAATATTGAGACCGGAAGGTTTTTCAAAGGCCTGCTTTAGGAGAGTTGTGTTTACATGGTGAGAAATTCTTCAGGCAGCAGTCAACTCCAGGAGGGCTGGACAAAGCTGGGAATCTAGTTTGTAGTACAAAGCACCAAATTCTAGGCCAACCGGTTCAAAGTCAAAACTGGTCTTCCAGGCTAAAACCAAGGGATGGGCCCTGCCCAGGGCAGGTTTAACAGTTAAATATAGTAATAACTAGTTAATCAAGACAGACATACTTGACCAACATTCTTAGGCCAGCTGGGTTTTGATTCAAGGCCACTCTGGAAGATCTCAGGCTACCTACCCATCCCTTCTACCCCTTGAATAAGAGTATTTCAGAGACCCTGGGAGTGAACCCAGGATTGAATTTTAGATCTACCCCACAGCAGACTCAAATCCAGCCCTGTCCACCTAGAGAATTCAAATGGAGTTGACCTGCATCCACTGTGGACCAGGGTCCATTCCTGAATTCCTGTCCAATTGGCATCCTGCTGGCCTGGTGTCACAGTTTACCCTCTTCCAGAAGTAGAGGAGAGAAAGGTTTGGGAACTTGTAGGAAGCACCTAGTTTTTGTCAGGTGCTTACACGGATCATTTTCTTTAATCCTTCCAGCAGCCCTGTGTGTAGGATTTATTCTTCTCAGTTTGATGTTGAAGTCCCTAAGGCTGTGTGAGCTTCAGTAATTTGCCCAAGGTCATGCTATCAGTATGTAGAAGATTCCGAATTTGAAAATACATCTGCCAGACTCCAGAACTTGCCCTCTTTTAGTGAACCATGCTGCCTCCTAGCTTAGAATTGTGGAAAGAAGCTAAACAATTTTGTTTTTGTTTCTTACCAGTTTTTTTCTTGTATCACTTGAAAAGTAATACAAGCTTATTATAGAAAGTAAATATCAGCTATAACCCTTTCAGCTGTTTATAAGGTAGGATTATTTAATAATAAACGATACTGAGACTGGAAGCTTTTTCGGGGATATCCCTTTTCTTTCAGAGATGTTGTTGTTGTTGTTGTTTTGTTGTTGTTGTTGTTATGGACTTTCACTCTTCCCTCCCAGGCTGGAGTGCAATGGCATGATCTCGGCTCACTGCAAGCTCCGCCTCCTGGGTTCAAGCGATTGTCCTGCCTCAGCCTCCTGAGTAGCTGGGATTACAGGCTCCCACCACCATGCCCAGCTAATTTTTGTATTTTTAGTAGCGACGGGGTTTCACCATGTTGGCCAAGCTGGTCTCCAACCCCTGACCTCAGGTGATCTGCCCGCCTCAGCCTCCCAGAGTGCTGGGATTACATGTGTAAGCCAACACGCCCGGCCCAGAGATATTTTTATATTTTTGTATTTCCATCTGTTGGGGATGAAAGTCCTAGCCTCCCTGTTTGGCTTTATCTGACACCACTCTGGCAGAGGTTTAGGGTAGCAAGAATGGAAGTCTATGCTCTCTACCTGGCCTTTGATGGCATGGGTGGGGTGGTGTCCACTGTTTTTTCTGTGGTAATTGGCTGGAGTAGAATAGTTTTTGCCTAAAGTAATGTTT
This sequence comes from Homo sapiens, assembly GCF_000001405.40. Lineage (NCBI taxonomy): Eukaryota > Metazoa > Chordata > Mammalia > Primates > Hominidae > Homo > Homo sapiens. The sequence continues at coordinate 40,784,595 of NC_000015.10, read as the reverse complement.
GTATGGCTTTTCATTGAATGGATTTTGGGTATCATAATTAACCCTTATGTCACAGTTTCCTCATTTGTAAAATGAGGAGGATAATAATTTCTACCTCATAGGGGCTTTAAGAATTAAATAAGTTAATATATGTAAAGCATATTTGACAATATGAGTGGATTTTTCAGCTTGAATAATTTTATTTTCCTATTACAGTGAAAAACCAAAATTCCAATATAGAACATTCAAAATAAATTATGAAACACAAAAGAATATTTATCATTCCCTTAGAATAAAATTCAGAAAGCATTCTCTCAAAAAAAGGAAAGAAAATGAAGGAGATGCCACTGCTGGACACCCCTTCTGTCTTGCTTTCTTACTGCTCCTTCTTTTTTTTTTTGAGACAGAATTTTATTTTTGTCGCCCAGGCTGGAGTGCAGTGGTGCAATCTCGGCTCACTGCAACCTCCGCCTCCCAGGTTCCTGCCTCAGCCTCCCTAGTAGCTGGGACTACAGGCGTGTGCCACCACGCCCAGCTAATTTTTGTATTTTTGGTAGAGACGGGGTTTTACCACGTTGGCCAGGCTGGTCTCGAATTCCTGACCTCAACTGATTCGCCCGCCTCAGCCTCCCAAAATGCTGGGATTACAGGCGTGAGCCACCACACCCAGCCTGCTCCTTCTTCTTCACACTCACTTCTACTCCCCCTCTCAGATTTATAACAAGGAACATACAAACTTTTATTTTATTTTTTTGAGACAGAGCCTTACTCTGTCACCCAGGCTGGGGTACAGTGACACGATCTCAGCTCACTGAAGCCTCTGCCCCCCGGAATCAAGTGATTCTTCTGCCTCAGCTTCCCCCATAGCTGAGATTACAAGCATGCACCACCACACCCGGCTAATTTTTATATTTTTAGTAGATACAAGTTTCACCATGTTGGCCAGGCTGGTCTCAAACTCCAGACCTCAAGTGATCCACCCACCTCGGCCTCCCACAGCGATGGGATTAGAGGTGTGAGCCACCATGCCCAGCCTAAACCACTTTAAAAGAGCCCCATGATACAAAAGAAAACATCTTCCACAAAACCCCCCTACATCCCTGGGGCAAGCCTACTAGTCCTAGTCCTGAGGAAGTTCATCTTGAAGGTAGTGTTGCAGGTGATGCCATAGATACTGGGACATGGACCGCCTCCCCCTCCCTTCCTCTCACCCATCCCAGAGAGAGGGTGGAGATAGGATCAGAGAGGAGGGGCCCAGAGGCCAGGAACAAACACCCAACAGACTCCTGTCAGTGTGTGTAGGTGCTTTTATATGTGTTAATGAACCTTGATGTCAGAGGGCTGGGGAGATTGAGAAAGAACATCTTTATAATGTTTTTGGTATTGTTTTACTTATTGAAAAAAAGCAAACAGGGGCCCTGAAATATAAAATATGTTCAGTAAAGGAATGAGGCTGGAGGCACAATAAAGCAGGCAAAGAGAGCAAAAGAAAGAAAAGACGAATGATAAGGGACCTAAAAAGTAAAGATGATATATTGCAAAGATGACACTGTCTTAAGCTAGCACCTCCTTTCCCTTAATATTGTTCTTTTTTGTAGTGAAAACAGAGCTAGGCAGGGAGGGTTAGGGTGGGAGGTGAGCAGGCAGGGCAGATGTGCTTCGGTGGGCGATTGGGAAGGCAGGTGGCACGTCTACACCCTCTCTGCCCAGCGCCTGTCCTGGGTGGTTCCTGCTGCCTCCAAGGCAGTCAGGAGAACCAAACAGCTTGGGCTGCCATGGCAGGTGCCCTGGCTATGGCCCAGCAGGTGGCAGCACACCCCTAGAGGTCCTGGGCCCGGTGGCTGCCTCATGGATGGAGGAGTTGCCCAGCAGGTGCTCACCTTGTGGATGCTGGCTGCTTACCTCTGAAAGTCCTTATTTAGCACACTTGGGTGTAGAAGCGTTTCTTGCGTCCATCTTGGAAGCTTAGAAATCCAATCTGCTTAGCTCTTCCTCCAGGAGGTTTGAGCAGCAGGTAACACACACCAAGCAGAAGGGAGAAAGCAAAGGCCTTGGAGGCAGAGGACGGATTCTGGGGTTGTGTACACTGTCTTCACTTACAACAGCTATTAGGTAGCACACGAAAGAGAATCTTGGTAGCTGTGTTTATTTTTACTTATGTAAGAAATATTGGGGTTTCTTTCTTTCTATGTATTTAAGAGAGAGTCTTGCTCTGTCACCCAGGCTGGAGTGCAGTGGCATCATCATAGCTCACGGCAGCCTCAAAATCCTTGGCTGAGGTGATCCTCCCTCCTCAACCTCCTTAGTAGCTGGTACTGCAGGCACGCACCACTATGCCTGGCTAATTTTTTATTTTATTTTAATTTAATTTAAAATTTTTTTATTTTTATTTTTGAGACAAGGTCTCACTCTGTCACCTAGGCTGAAATGCAGTGGTGTGAACATGCTCACTACAGCTTCAACCTCCCGGGCTCCAGTGATCCTCCCACCTCAGCCTCCTGAGTAGGGGGACAAAGGCACATGCTACCACACCTGGCTCATGTTTAAAAAATTTTTGTAGAGATGAGGTCTTGCCATGTTGCCCAGGCTTGGCTGGAACTCCTGGGCTCAAGCGATCCTCTCGCCTCAACCGCCTGAGTAGCTGGGACTACAGGCATGCACCACCACACCTGACAAAAAAAAATTTTTTTTTTTTGAGACAGAGTCTCATTCTGTCTCCCAGGCTGCAGTGCAATGGTGTGATCTCGGCTCACTGCAACCTCTGCCTCCCAGGTTCAAGCGATTCTCCTGCCTCAGCCTCTCGAGTAGCTGGGACTACAGGCGCCCGCCACCATGCCTGGCTAATTTTTTTGTATTTTTAGTAGAGACGGGGTTTCACCGTGTTAGCCGGGATGGTCTCAATCTCCTGACCTCGTGATCCACCTGTCTCGGCCTCCCAAAGTGCTGGGATTACAGGCTTGAGCCACCGCACCTGGACTAAACTCAAAAGTTTATAATAAGATCTATGTCAGAACATGGATACCTCTGTCTACTATAATATTTTATTTAAAAAAAATTTTAATAAGCGTGGCAAATTCCTGAACAAACTTTTTGAAATTTATTTTTTATTATTTTTTTGAGACAAGGTCTCCCTCTGTCACTCAGGCTAGAGTACAATGGCATGATCTCGGCTCACTGCAACCTCCGCCTCTGGGGCTCAAGTGATTCTCCTGCCTCAGCCTCCCAAGTAGCTGGGTCTACAGGTGCACGCCACCATGCCCGGCTAATTTTTGTATTTTTAATAGAGACAGGGTTTTGCTTTGTTGGCGAGGCTGGTCTCGAACTCCTGACCTCAAGTGATCTGCCCACCTCAGCCTCCCAAAGTGCCAGGATTACAGGCATGAGGATTACAGGATTACATGCCAGGATTACAGGATTACACCATGTCTGGCCAATCATAATCTTTTTTTTTTTTTTTTTTTTTCTGAGATGGAGTCTCGCTCTTGTCCCACAGGCTGGAGTGTAGTGGCACAATCTTGGCTCACTGCAACCTCTGCCTCCTGCATGAATCAAGCGATTCTCATGCCTCAGCCTCCCAAGTAGGGGGATTACAGGGGAATATGTCATCACACCCAGCTAATTTTTGTATTTTTAGTAGAGATGGGGTTTCGCCATGTTGGCCAGGCTGGTCTCCTACTCCTGACCTCAAGTGATCCACCCGCCTCAGCCTCCCAAAGTGCTGTGATTACAGGCGTGAGCCACCATGTCCGGCCTCAATCATAATCTTTTATTTTATTTTTTATTTTATTTTATTTTATTTTATTTGAGACAGAGTCTTGCTCTGTCGCCAGGCCGGAGTGTAGTGGTGCGATTTCGGCTCACTGCAACCTCCGCCTCCTCGGTTCAAGCGATTCTCCTGCCTCAGCCTCCCAAGTAGCTGGGATTACAGCTGCCCGCCACTATGCCTAGCTAATTTTTGTATATTTAGTAGAGATGGAGTTTCACTATGTTAGTGAGGCTGGTCTCAAACTCCTGACCTCAGGTGATCTGTCCACCTCAGCCTCCCAAAGTGCTGGGATGACAGGCGTGAGCCACCGCACCGGCCAATCATAATCTTTTAAATGAGTCTCCCCGTTGATGGGGATCTTGGCTGGCTAGTATCAACAGTGTTGTAGAGAGCATCCTTGTATATTTATTTTTGCCATACTTCTACAAGTCCAGATTCCTAGGACTTGGGTCAAAGGGAAAGAACATTTTAAATTTTGATGGCTGAATTTTCTTCCAGATAGGTTGCCCCAGTTTATATGCCCACCAAGAATGTGTAGAGTACCTGTCTTCGAGTGGCTGTCGAGAAAGCGGGGTACTGTGCTCCTGCCTGTTGCAGCAGCCCCTGGACATCTGCAGTGGTGAGGTTGAGCACTTAGCAGGAGGTGGGCCCAGCTCCTGTGCTGGGCGACAGTGGCTCACTCCCTCCATGGCCTTGGCCTCCTCCATTGCCAGTCTCCCTGGTGGCTAGGAAGTGGGCGCCAGCAGCTTCTCTTTTAGGTGTGCATGGGATTCCCCTTACCCATTGAGCAAGGTTTTCCTGTTTGTCCCTGGGATGAGAGTGAATGGCCATGTCTTCTGTCTGACTCTTCCAGGTAAAGAAGGCGTATAGGCAGAAGGCCCTCTCCTGCCACCCAGACAAAAATCCAGATAATCCCAGAGCAGGTGAGACTCTTCTCAGGGCGTGGGGAGAAAGAAACCCACTCACCCGGGCATTGTGTTTCCCGATGTAAGCTCTGCATGTGAGTGCTGTGGGGTGTAAGCACACATTGCCTGGCTCCAGGCAATGGGTCCCAGGGCTTCCCTCCTGTGAGGGGTGTCTGGTCAGTTGCTGATATGCTCACCCCTCCTTGTTGGTCTGTCATCTGCTGATGTCGGCTTGTCTGCCATCCTGTGACTTCTTTGAAGATTTTTTTTTTTTTTGAGGGAGCACACCATTACGAAGTCTTAACTTTATTTTTCTTCTGTCTTTTTGATCCTTATGTTTAGCTGAACTCTTCCACCAGCTTTCTCAGGCCTTGGAGGTGCTGACCGATGCTGCAGCCAGGGTAAGCACAGCCTCCTTCATCGGAATCGTCCCCCATGGTTAGAGACCACTGCTGCCTCTCAACCTCGGTCCTCTGCCCTTTGCCATGTGGCACAGTCCTTGCTGTCTAAGCCCAGGAGACCCAGTCACCAGGCTGCCACTCTGATGGCTCGTGGGCTAGGGGCCAGGCAGATTGCCGGGGCTCTGTCTTTACTCTCTCACTGACCCTCTGCCCTGTGCCCCTTTCTCCTGCCAGGCTGCATATGACAAGGTCAGGAAAGCCAAGAAGCAAGCAGCAGAGAGGACCCAGAAACTTGATGAGAAAAGGAAGAAAGTGAAGCTTGGTAGGTGCCATCATAGTGCTCGGTGGCCTGTGGTTTCCTGTGGTCATTTTCATTCATCTCCCTCACCTGAAGCTTCACTTCCAGCAACTCATCTCAAAGCCTTTTGGCTCAGGCTCTGGGCAAAACGCTGTTCTTAGAGGTTGGTTCCTAAAGACACTCTTAGGAATAATAACAATAATAAGGTTTAATATTAGCTAAGCATTGTGACAAATGCCTTATTGTCCCTTTAATTATCATAACTATACAAGGAAGTGTGGGTACTAAACCTTTTTTAAGAACATGGTTTTTTGAGACAGGGTCTCACCCTGTCACCTAGGCTGGAGCGCAGTGGCATGATCTCGGCTCACTGCAACCCCCACCCTCTGGGTTCAGGCGATTCTTGTGCCTCAGCCTCACGATAGTGGGACTACAGGCATGCACCACTACGCCCGGCTAATTTTGTTCCGTTTTTTTAGAGATGGAGTTTCACCATGTTGGCCAGGCTGGTCTTAAACTCCTGGCCTCAAGCTATCCACCTCAGTCTCCCAAAGTGCTGGTATTACAGCTGGTGAGCTGCCGCACCTGGCCTCTGAAGCCATTTTTTATAGGCAAAGGAGCTAAGGCACCAAAAGTTTAAGAGCTTGCTGGAGGTGGGATTTAAACTTATCCAGTGTGAGTAAAATTGGTGCTTGTGGCCGGGCGCGGTGGCTCACGCCTGTAATCCCAGCACTTTGGGAGGCCGAGGCGGGTGGATCACGACGTCAGGAGTTCGAGACCAGCCTGGCCAAGATGGTGAAACCCCTTCTCTACTAAAAATACAAAAATTAGCTGGGTGTGGTGGCGGGTGCCTGTAATCCCAACTACTCGAGAAGTTGAGGCAGAGAATTGCTTGAACCCGGGAGGCAGAGGTTGCAGTGAGCTGAGATCACGCTGCTGTGCTCTAGCCTGGGTGACAGAGCAAAACTCCATCTCAAAAAACAAAACAAAACAAAAAAATTGGTGCTTGTATTCACCATTTCTGGCTGAGTCTTCTTCTTCTTTTTTTTTTTTTTAAAGAAAGACGGGGTTTTGTACTGTCACCCAGGCTAGGGTGGCACCATCATGGCTCACTGCAGCCTCAAACTCCTGGGCTCAAGCAGTCCTTCTGCCTTGGCCTCCTGAGTAGCTGGGACTACAGGTGCGAGCCGCTGTGCCCGGCTGGGTCTTTTAATTTGTTCTAACCCCAATTCCTACCCAGACTTTTCACTTTGAGAAGCTCCCTCAGAAGGATTCAAAGAGGTCCAGGCTTTCTCTTCTCTAATAGCTTTATTGAGGTATTCTTTGTATATCACAACATCAACCCATTTCAAGTGTACACTTCAATGATTTTTCGTAAATTTACTAAATGATGCAACTCTGACTATAAATCAGATTTGGAACATTTTCATCAACCCAATAAGATTGCTGCAAGCATTTTTTTTTTCTCACTTAAAAAAAAGTCACTGGTTATAGCAGCATGGTCCAAGCACTCTTTTTTTTTTTTTCTTAAACGGAGTTTCGCTCTTGTTGCCCAGGCTGGAGTGCAGTGGCACGATCTCGGCTCACTTCAACCTCTGCCTCCTGGGTTCAAGCGATTCTCCTGCCTCAGCCTCCCGAGTAGCTGGGACTAAGTTGCGCACCACCACACCCGGCTAATTTTTGTATTTTTAGTAGAGACGGAGTTTTGCCACATTGGCCAGGCTGGTCTCGAACTCCTGACCTCAGGTGATCCACCCCTCTTGGCCTCCCAAAGTGCTGGGATTACAGGCGTGAGCCACCGCGCCTGGCCCAGTCCAAGCATTCTTTACTCAAGTTTCTCCTTTTCCTCTTGCTCTTCAACATCCATATATTTTAATATGTGCATATAGCATCCCAATATCTATTTCTATATTAAAAGAAAAGCAAGTGCCAGGAGACCCCATCTCAAAAAAAAAAAAAAAAAAAGAGAGAGAGAGAAAAGGAGAGTCTAAGTAAGTAAAGTGCACAAACTTCTCTGGACTAAGAGAAGGGTTTCTCACAGCAGCTGGCCTGGCACATGGTTGCAAGCAGGTTTCTCTTGGAAGGTAACGCCCTCACACAATCCAGGACCCGGGGTGATGCCCTAACACTCTGCCCATCCCTGTAGCCAGGTCCACAGTGAGGCTTGGTAAATGTGAGTTGAGGTGGGAGGTAAAGGAGACAGTGAGAACCTGAGCTCAGTGTGTGAAAAGAATCAAAGCCAAAGCAAGTCAAGCTGTGGTGCCAAACCACAGGAATCGAGCCCAGCAGCTCCGCCCATTGGCACCCCTGACACATGGCCCTGGGCTGCTGACATAAGCACCACCCACACCCTGTTCACTAGAGAGAACCAGCTTGGTCAGTGTGAGCTGTTTTTAACTCTTCCAGACCCCTGGCCACTCTGCTAGACCCCATACTTCTGTGCTGTGATTTTTCTCAATGGAAATTGACTCGGGGGCGTGGGCATGGAGGGAGGGGGCAGAGTTACTGTATGATCTCGTCGTGATTGAGACTTTGGGGAGGCAGCCAGAGCTGGGGTGGGCCGAGGCCACATGGAAACTGAACAGACCAGCAGTCTGGTCATTCAACCCTTGTGTCTAGACCTGGAGGCCCGGGAGCGGCAGGCCCAGGCCCAGGAGAGTGAGGAGGAAGAGGAGAGCCGGAGCACCAGGACACTAGAGCAAGAGGTGAGCACTCAGGCACACTGGCCAGAAGGCCACCTGCAGGAGGAGGAGGTGGGGGAGGATGGACCTGGTGGTCGCCGTGGCTAGAGAGGGCATGCTCTTTGCACCTTCAGTGGGAGCTGGGTGATTTGTCCCACCCACAGGTTGCTGAGCCCTAGCTTGCAGGTGGAAGCTCCCAAGGACTTTTTACAAGGTGAGCCAGCCTGGAATTGGACCTGCACAGAATTGTCACCCCCACCCCCTGCTCTGCAGATCGAACGCCTGAGAGAAGAGGGTTCCCGGCAGCTGGAGGAACAGCAGAGGCTCATCCGGGAGCAGATACGCCAGGAGCGTGACCAGAGGTTGAGAGGTGCAGGTCTATCACCCCGCCTATCTCCCCTCCAAGGTAGCTCCAGATTGCTCAGAGCGGCCACACTGGCTGTTCGGTGGAGCTGCTGTGGAGGCTTCTACCTGCTGGAACCCTGGGGTCACCCTATGGTACCTTACTCTGACACATGCCACTTATCCCGTCTTCCTCCCAGTTCTCTGGGGCCTATTTGCTTTTTACTCTGCCTGAGATCTCCTGGCCACATTTGGCTTTGTCCCAAGCAGAGGTGGCCTTGTTTTGGGACAGATCACCACGGGGAGGGGCCCTGGGACACTTTGTGCCCGTAGAACCTCATGGTCTGTCTCTCTGCCTCCTGTCCCTAGAAAGTGTTCCTAGCTCTCCATTCAGAGAGTGCTGACAAGTGGCCTTCAGGAGGCAGCTGGGTAGACCACCCCTGGGGTGGCAGCTTCTCTGGGGATGGGCATCTGCTTTCCCCACCAGGCCCTCACCAGAGCTGGGCAGGCATTGCCCTTGGTCAGGAGTGACCCTTTCCAGACCCTTCTTGCTCTGGGCTGCATTTCCTTTGGGAGAATCTCTGACTCCCTCATATTCTACTTTTCTTCTTTTCCCAATATTTCTAGGAAAGGCAGAAAATACTGAAGGCCAAGGAACCCCCAAACTAAAGGTGAGCCTGGGCAGGATCTGTGGGCCACCTCACACTCACACCGCCTCCCCTCAGCAGGAATAGATGCTTCCTGTGGCTCGAGGGTTTCTGGTGGGGCTGCTGGATCTGCGTGGAGCCCGCACCATTACCACCTCCCTCCATGCTCCAGCCGCCCGGAGATCAGAGCTTGCCACGAAAGGCTGCTTTTAGCCCTGATCACAGGGCAGAGGATTCTCTAGAAGCCCTCTCAGGAGAGGGTCTTCTGGGCGGGAAGCGTCCCTGGGGTGAGCAGGCCATCCTGCCTTCAAGTTCCCAAGGGGAAAATGTTTCTGGTGGCACTCCCCAGATTGCAGGAGCCTTGGAGGCTTGGAGGGTGGGAGGATGTCTGCTCAGACTGTCAAGCTCAGTCGTGGGGTGAGGTACTGTTCAGCCAAGAATCAGTGTTTCATGAGGCTCTCTTTTCAGCTAAAATGGAAGTGCAAGAAGGAGGATGAGTCAAAAGGTGGCTACTCCAAAGACGTCCTCCTACGGCTTTTGCAGAAGGTCGGCCCTGTTGACGTCCACTCTTTCCTATCATCTCAGTCCACGTCTCAGTCCACACCCTAGGTCTCTGCTCTCAATGCCTGAACTTCCCTTAACATATCTACTTGCTTTTTTTTTCTGTCTCATAGACCATGGGACGTCTTAGAGACTTCTCCCCAGGCTACAGCCTTGCTTTCACTTGTGTGGCCATGTGCCCCCTTCCAGCCCGCTGTCCTTTGCTACCTCGGTCTAACCCTTACCCTTAGAAGCAAAGAGCTTGGTTGAGTGGGTTGGGAGGGACGAGGTGCGTATCTGGCACGAAAGCCCCGTCCTTTTCACCACGTTCAACTAGCAAGGACGCTATGCAATGAAATGTGTCAGTCTAAGTCACCAGGGCTTTGCTCATCATTCCTTTGCTGCTCTGTGTTCCTAGAAAAAAATTTCTTTCTTTCCTATCTCTGATCTCACTTCACTAAGATAAGTAGGTGGGGCAAGAAGTTATCTCCCAACTGAAAATGCCCCATGGGCCTCAAGGTAGCCCAGGCTTGTCTCTGGCATGACCTGGGCCATCCTGAAGGCCAAGTCATGCTTATTAGGACCCCTTTGTCCCCACAGTATGGTGAGGTTCTCAACCTGGTGCTTTCCAGTAAGAAGCCAGGCACTGCTGTGGTGGAGTTTGCAACCGTCAAGGCAGCGGTGAGTGCTGCATGAGGCTTGGGGGCCCCTCGTGGCCCTGTCATTCTAGGGCAGGGACCCAATTCTGTGGGCCCTCTGAGTTAGGTGGTCTGCACTCCTAGGGAATCTCCAGGCCAGCTTAGAGCCAAGGCTCTTCCCAGGGGCCCCTGACTCCTGGAAATAGAGGCACCGTGTGTGAAGGGATGGATGGGGGGTGCTCTGGGGAGAAAGGAGAGCACAGACTTGACTCTGCTCCCTGCTGGTGCCTTCACACCCTCCACCTGCACCCCTTGGGGCTGTGAGCCCCAGCACTGCCTTCCCACCCTTTGTGCTCCTCGCCTCCCCACATCAGAAAGCTCCCCCAACCCCTCTCCCGCAGGAAAGGCCAAAGCGTTAACACCCATCACTTGAAGGCTGCTGAGGTTGGCATCTCTGCTTAGAGGGCTAGAACGCTGGTTCCGTTCTCTCTGTGGGGGTAGAGAGAGCCTCTTTATAGCTGACTCAACGGATGGGACAGGACTAGATGCTGTGTTTGGCAGGAGCTGGCTGTCCAGAATGAAGTTGGCCTGGTGGATAACCCTCTGAAGATTTCCTGGTTGGAGGGACAGCCCCAGGATGCCGTGGGCCGCAGCCACTCAGGACTGTCAAAGGTGAGGAGTCAGGCCTCGCCCGGCTGGGCGCTCAGGTCTCGGAGCTCTTCCTACCTGGGCTCCTCTCAGGCTCTTTCCTTCCAAATTCAGATCTTGGGGCCTAGAGTGAGCTTGGCAGGTCCACCAACCCAGGCAAGAGGGGCTGTGATTTCACGTTGAACCCTTTTCCTCTCTGAGGGCCAGAGAGGCCCCACCCACACTGTATTCTTAGACCTTGCTTTCTCTCCATATCTGGCCTCCTGTTGGGACTCTCCTTCTCACCAAAGGGATCTTCCTGGCCCTCAGGTTGCTTGGTTGTGGTGTGTGAAGCATTTGGAGCTTAGACGACCCAGTGCTGCAGAGAAGGGGCAGGTGACTAGGACAGCCACTTCCTTCCCAGCACTTCAGTTTTCTGGATGTGTCTCTGGCTGCCCCAGAAAGGGACCGACTGTCAAGAGGCAATATCTCCTCTTGAAGTAACCCTGGCAGGCTGGGCGCAGTGGCTCATGCCGTTAATCCCAGCACTTTGGGAGGCCGAGGGGGGCGGATCACCTGAGGTCAGGAGTTGAAGACTAGCCTGACCAACATAGTGAAATCCCGTCTCTACAAAAACACAAAAATCAGCTGGGCATGATGGTGCGCACCTGTAATCCCAGCTACTCAGGAGGCTGAGGCAGGAGAATCGCTTGAACCAGGGAGGCAGAGGTTGCAGTGAGCCGAGATCGTGCCATTGCACTCTAGCCTGGGCAACAGAGCAAGACTTCATCTCAAAAAAAAAAAAAAAAAAAGAAGGAACTCTGGCTACCCTGCTGACACGGGGTGGTGCCTGCCCAGAGTCTGGGTGCCCTGCCTGGGTGAAGCGTAGACCTTCCAGCTTGTGTGTAACCCCCAACCTGCAACCATGGCCCTGGTGTCTTTTGGCCTGGATACAAAGGCTAGGGCTGTGGGGCTCCTGGCCACACCTGTCCCCACCTTGGTGGAACAGATTGCTTTGGGGGCAAGATCTAGCAACCTGGTTCTTCCCTTCTCTGCAGTGGCCCAGGGCCTGTCTGGTGTGTCCACAGCCCCTCAGCAGGCTGGCAGGAGGCTGCTCTCATTACTTTACCCACGCCAGCCTGCTCCGTTGCCTGCCCCTCCACTTGACTGGGGTGACTGGAAAGCAGCTTTCTGCAAGTGTGTCCCAGATCCTGGATGGAGGGAAACAAACTGGCCTGGGCCTGACTCAGGGCCCTGCTTTAGAGACCTCATTCCCACCTTCAAGTCCCAGCATTTCACAGCCCCAGATAACACTCCATAGATTGTGTTAGAATTTTATTCATTCTCTCCTGTATCCACAGCTCGGTACCTATACACAAGAGGAGGAAAGAGGGAGGCCACTGATTTAGGTCGTAGAAATGGTGTGTGTCAGAGCTTCCCTCTCCCCTTTGCTACTCTTAGCGAGTCCCGGGGGGCCACCAACACATGGCCCAGCCAGTGCTGCTGGGCTCTGGTTTCTGTGTTCTGGTGAGGCCATGGGGTGGGGCCGTAGCACAGCCTGTGGCTTTGACCCAGTGGGCTTGGCCTGGTTGGCAGGCCCATCGTCGGAGGGTTCAGGCGGCAGAACTGTCTAATCCCGGGAGACGGTTCTGGAAACCAGCTGTGCCGCTTCGCTGTTGAATGCCCATCCCTGGATCCAGTTCTCCTCTCTTCGAGGAAGGAAACCTGCCAGGGCTCCCATCACTAGTAATTCTGGGAATTCCCCAAAGTACCCCTTTGCAAGCCGTGCGCGTGCCTGTGGCTGGCATTCTCTAGAGCTGCCTTCCTTCACCAGGGATTGCTCCGGGTAGCTGTGTTGGCAGACTGAGCCACGTCCTCATTTCTGCTAAGGATTTGCCTGGTCTTTTTCCTGAGTTATACTCTATCTCTACCTATCTCTTCCTATGTGGCCAGCCCCTGTATGCGCCTCCCCTTTGCTGGTGGCTCCAGGCCATGGTCTAGACAGCGCTGTCCATTAGAACTTTGTGCAGCGATGTTTACGTCCATTCTGCACTGACCAGTGTGGTAGCCATTAATCATGTGTGGCCACCGGGCATTTGGAATGTGGAATCTGGAATAACGGTGCAGCTGAGGAACTGAACTGTTAATTTTATTTATTTCAATTCAGTGTCATGCAGTGAGTGGCCACCAGATTAGACAGGGTCAGGCCTTCTCCCCTTTCTTCCTGGGCCTTCCCACTTTCCTCTTCTGCCTGGGTTGGACTGCCTTTACCCAAGCTTGTCCTGTGACCTCTCTCTGTTGACAGTGGCTTCCAAAGAGGCTGGCATGGGGCACTCATCTCTTCTGCTCAGTCTGTGTCCTCCCACTCCCTGATCTGACCCCGTGCCACCTTCTGGCTCTGCCAGCCTCTACCTGGTTCCTGTAGTGCCGCACAGAGCCTCCCTTTCCCGGCACAGCCTCCCTTTCCCGGCATAGCCAGCTTTCTTCAGGGTCCTGCCAGGAAGGGCCGCCCCCCCAACATTTCCAGATTGCCTCTGTCCCTCCACTCTGGGGTGCCTGGAAGGACTGTCCAGGACCCAGAGAGCAGGCAGAGCCCTGGATTCCTATCCTGGAATCCTCCCCCAGGATGAAGAAGCTCTGCCTGCCTGAACCCTCCAGCGATGGGCCTGGAGTCCTGTCCCTGTCCTTTCCTTAATCCCCAGCCTCTGGATCTTCCAGTCACCCCGGCTTTGCCCACCCTCACCCCATTTAGAAGCTGGGCTCGCTAGGAAACTGCTCCCTTAGCATCTGCAGAACTTCCTCAAGAAGTGAAATCCCCAGGTCCACTTTGAAGGAGAGGAAGGGATCACTGAGGTCTGGGGTAGGTGTCCTCTGGAAGCAGGGAGTGTCCACAAGGCCCTTCTCTGAGTGCTGGTGGAGGGCACTCGACAGAGAGAGCGCCGATGGCAGGGTGGCAGAGTAGGCTGCTGTGTAGGCAGGTGGGGGCTCCAGGATGTTGGGGCAGCTTGAGCTCTCTCGGTAGAGGCGTGGGGGCTTGGGTGGGGCCAGCAGGGTGGCCCGGGGCTGCTCGTCCCCCCACAGTGGCAGGCGCCGGCCATCTGGCCTCCCTTGTAGCTCCCGGATGACTTCTCGGTTGCTGTACTCCTCGTGGTCCCCACCTGCTGTGCTGGCCTGGCTAAGCACACTACTCTGTCGCCGGAGCCGCCGTGGCCGCCCCAGGCTCAGCTGCTTGAAGAAGGAGGCGTTGCGGAAGGAGCCTTTCCGCCAGGTCTCCATGGGGCCCAGGGGAGCCAGCAGACAGGTGTTCAGGAGCAGCCAGGGTGCATGTGGTCCCTGCTGGGGCAGTGAGTGCCAGCAGCTGGGGAGGCTCCCCTAGGAGCAGAGGCCTCAGGGTTTCCACTCAGCACAGACCTTTGACCACATCTTGGATGGTGAGAGGAGGGCTCAGGAAGAAGGAACTTTTTTGCCCAGGAGAGCAGACAGCTGGGAGTTCCTGGCAGCAAGAGTTTCCCACAGGGACAGGAGTGGCCTGGTTACTGAATAGGGTAGTGGAAAAAAACCCAGGAGGAAGAAGCAGCACTTACTGGAGCCAGAATGAGGGCAGCTCCGGCGGAGGCAGAGGTGGACCTTCTCGGGCTGGGTGAGGCTGGCGAGCGCTCCTTCCACAGGCAGGCAGCAGATGGCCCGAGCTCACTCGCCCTGGTGTTTGCCTGGCTCCTATATGTCTCTGGGGCAGTGTGGGGCCGTGCCCTCTCTGCCAGTGGCTCCCGGACTCTGATGAGTGGCCTGGCTGTTTGTGGCGGTGGAGATGTGTTTTTGTTCTCAGCTGACTCAGTCAGGTGGGAAGCCAGGTTTCGTGCTCTTGGGTAATTGCAGCATCCGCGTGCAGGGATGGGGCAGCTGGGACCAACACCCCAGGGCAATGGGGAGCTTAAGATTCCTCTGGGGACTCGTGTGGGGGCAGCCCTGCTTTATGTGTCACCACGCGGCTTCCTTTCTGATCACAGCCCCACCACCCTGGGCCCCCAGCAGGTGCGCCTGGCTCCCTGCCCACAGTGTCTGGGTAGGAAGAGTTCGGGGCGGGTGGGAGTTAATTGAAAGGCAGGCGTGTGGAACGATTGTTGGGGAAGGAAGAGACCTGTAGCTGGTATGGGTGACTCAGCCCCGCTGTCAGGCCCTCACGAGCAGGAACAGGAAGGGGGGCAGAGGGTGTGTTAATGGGGAGCAGCGCCATGCCTGTGATGGGCGGGCTCTGCTGCCCAGGGTTGGGCTGGGGGCCCGCCAAGGGTGGCTCCAAGTTTTCTTGGCAGAGCAGCATTAACCTGGGGATGGGAGATGTGGCCTCCTCTTGGCCTGCCATCAGCCTGGCTGCTATTTCCTTGTCCTCCCTTGTTTTACCCTAGAGGGCTCCTGCCAGGAGAGCGGCTGCTGAAGGCCGGGCCGTGTTGCCTCCTACCTGGCTGTGCTCCAGCCCTTCCCCTCTGGCTACCGGGCTTCCTCTGGGGTCCTCCTTCTCTTGCAGGAGGCTGGGCCAGGGAGGCTGCCGTGAATTGTCAGCCGTGCTCTGGGCCAGGCTTAGCAGTCCGGCCTAGCTGGGACTGCTGCAGCCGGGGAGAGGGGAGGGGTGCAGCCATCGGGAGGAACAGGGGAACCCAGGCTGAGTAACACTTCCTGTTTCTCTACACCCCTTACTCCAAACCTGCTGGCCAGGGCCTGGCATCTCAACCCTAGCTGCTCCCTTCCTATTCCCCGGGTCACTGACCACCACATTTTCCTCCTGCCTTGCTCTGTGACAGCGTCCCCATGCGGGGTACCGCGGATCAGGGCCCCACAGCTCTCTGCTACGGGCAGGCCACCGCATCTTGCAATCCCTGGCCTAGCTCACTTCTGTGCCAACTCAGGTGTGCTTCACACTTCTCTGAGAAGCTGTTGGGACCACATGATCATCACACAGCCTAAGCGGCACCGAGGGAGGAAAAGGTTTAATTCCCACCGCAGACCTTATCAGGGCGTGGGTTGGCAGCTTAGGTCCCGCTGTAGAGCTGCTTCTCCACCCTACAGCCTTGGCCCATTCAGATGGTTGTTTATTATTCTTTTGATTATGGGCCCTGCCCTCCAGGAGCCCTGGTGTGTAGTTTTAGAGGCACGCTGGCCTCATGCTTGCCTTTTTCCCCTTCGAGGGTGGGGCATTCCGGGCTGCCTCGGGTAGGGCTCCCTTCTGCATCCTCAGCAAGAGCCAGACCACAGGGCACCGGGCATAGAGAGTGCCAGGGTCAGTGCCCAGCAGAGCCAAGTGCATCCCTGCTCCTCAGACAACTTCCCTTCCTTGGGAACCTAAGAGGCAGAAGCTACGGGGTAGAGGGAAAGGGGTGAAGGGTAAAGGGCCCAGAGGAAATGAAGGGAGACGAGGGCCTGGCTTAGAGGGCCCGCAGGTGATTCCTGAGAAACAGATGGACCGGAGCTGACGCGGCCTGGGGAAAGGGAGGGGGAGCTGGCTGGGTAGAAGCCGGCCTGGAGGCCAAAGGTGGCGTGTTCTGGGGGACACAGGCGAGCCAGGATTCCAAAAGGATGCTCCGGGTTCCTTCCCTTCCTCTGCCGTCCTCCCTCCGAGACTCTTAGAACGCAGCACTGCCTCGGCACCGTACTCGGAGTCTGTGAGGCTGTGCCCTGCTGTCCCTGACCCCTCCCTGTCCCTGCCCTGTCCGACAGGGCTCAGTGCTGTCAGAGAGGGACTACGAGAGCCTCGTCATGATGCGCATGCGCCAGGCGGCCGAGCGGCAACAGCTGATCGCACGGATGCAGCAGGAAGACCAGGAGGGGCCGCCTACGTAGCCCCAGCTCCAGCCATCCACCCCTCAGCCCTTTTCTTCAACGTCACCAATAAATTTTTTTTTTTTTTAAGATTTTACCTCTATCCCATACATAGGTATAAGGTGCTGGGCTCTGCCGCAGAGCGCTCCACCCAGGCCTGGCGCCCCTCCCAGGAAGTGGGCAGACCCCCAGGGAAACGCTCCGCAGGGTGAGAGTCCCAGAGTCCGTGCACAAGCAGAGCACAGGCGCAGCCACTCATCACAGCCCTTTATTGGCTTGGGCTAGCTATGCAGGAGCCACGCGCCAGGGCCGCTGGAGTGCCCAGCTCCGGCCCGGGGCAGCTGCCCGAGGAACATGGCCTACACAAGGCCCTCGGCCCAGGCCCGAAGCAGGAGGGCAGCTGGGAGCACCAGGGCACCGGGCACTGCCCTCTCCCACTGCTTGACGCAGGGTTTCAGAGAAGGCCATTCACTGCCCTTTGGGGCTGGGCCCATGGCGGTGATGATTTGGGAAGAGAGGAGCAAGGCAGACGGTGAGGCAGGAGCTTGGAGGTCAGGGCCCACAGCAGCCCCTCCACAGGGGTGCCCCGTCTGCAAATCAGCATGAGAAGGTCACTCCTTGTGCAGACACCACACCAGCGTCTGGCCCACCCCCGTCATGCTCAGCACACGGAAGCCCCTGCGTTCCAGCTTGTCCAGGACTATGCGGGGAGGGTCATCGACGTAGTATTCATAACTGCAAAGAGACAGGATGGGGGGGGTGAGGAGGGGCACACAGCAAGCTCCTGGTACAAAGCTAGTGTCTGCAGCAGGCAGCCTGGCCACTCTTGTAGTGACTCACACTTGCTGGCTGCTTGCTGGGCGCTGGGGTAAGTGCACGCCCCCTGCCTCCTCCCCTTCTAGGTACTTCACGAGCTATCTCATTTATTCTTCCCAACAAGCTAGTGAAGGTGCCACTGTTGTGGCCATTGATAGATGAGAAAACAGAGGGGTTAATCAGGTTCCCCAGCGTCCCAGATGGTAGACCATGTTAGTCTGACCACAGCCCTGCTGCCGCCCTCCCTGGGCTTGCTCCCCACCCAGGCTTCCAGGTAGGAGGAGGCTGAGGCTGCAGTGAGCCATGATTGCACCACCGCACTCCAGCCTGGGCGACAGAGACTCCATTTCAAAAAAAAATAAGCCTCCAGGCCCCTCACTGCCCTGGCTGTCCTGCAGTTCTGTAGCAACAAGGCTGAGCCCCAGTAGCTCCTGGCTCTGTGCGCCACTCCCTAGCATGGAGAGTGCTGGTAGTCCTTCTGTCAGGTTTAATTGATGCTGAAAGACCATGAAGCAGACAAAGGGCTCAAGCCCCAAGCTGGGCATGGAGAGGCAAGTGCCTCATGGCAAAGGGAGGGGGCTGGCTTCTGTCCCCGAGCCTTGACCCAGGGGCTGGGATCAGCCCTCCTCTTTCCCCGATTTGAACTGGCACTCACTCTGACAACTCTTTTCAGAGAGCCTGTGTAGCTTGGGTTCTCCCTGCCTCCAGGGGTGAGAGGAGGAATGGAAGCAGTAGTCACAGTTTAGACATGGAGGCATTAGGAAGAATGCCAAGGGAAATGGCTAGGTCCCCAGGCAGCAGCCACCCTGGAGGTAGGACGCAGGCTCCCTGCTCCCTGCTTCTAGGGCTTAGCTTTGCGACTCATGCAGATCCTCACGACAAAAACCTTTCTCTCTGTGCCTGTCTGTCCTTGATGGGGTCCAGCTTAGGAGAGGGCAGGGCAAGGAACAGTCTGCTAGTGGAGTCCTAGACCCAGGGAACGGACTCTGTTTCTGCGGTTCCAGTAAGGATGTGGAAAGCTTTCAGAGCAAGCCTCGTGGGGGAGAGGGGGGATGTTGGAGAGGCTACAGATGGGACCAACTCCTCCGGAGAACAGAGCCCCAGGATGCAGGCAGGGGGCTCTGATGCTGGGCCCTGTCCCTGGGCTTGGAGGTTGTATAAAGGGAGCAGAGGCAGGTCTAGGGGCTGGCAGGGAGAGGATACTGAGGGAGGCTGCTACTTACAAGTTGTTTCCCAAGGCTCTTCTCTTTGAAGCCCCCAGATGCTGCATCAGCTCTGGATCCGACTGTTCATCGCCCACCATAGTGGGGCCCACCTCCTGCAAGGTAAGCCACAGTGGCTGCTTGGCTGGCTGCCAGGAGGAGGTGGAAGGTCTTGCCTGTCCTTCCTCCCCTGCCTGCTAGCCCTGAGTAAGGTTCAGGTAAAGGCTACAGAGAGTAGCAAGGATTCTTAGGGGCTGAGCACAAGCTGTGAAGGGGTGGAGCCCATCAATGATCAGGAGGAGCAATGTAGGCGCCCTCCCTAGTGCCTTAAAGCTCAGCTTTAGCCAGGCAAAGTATCACGAGCCTATAGTTCCAGCTACTGAGGCTGAGGTGGGAGGATCGCTTGAGGTGGGAGGAGTTTGAGGCTGCAGTGAGCCATGATTGCACCACTGCACTCCAGCCTGGGTGACAGAGTGAGACTCCATTTCAAAAAAACAAAACAAAATAAACATGTAAATGAAAGAAGCCAGACTCAGATCACATTACCACAGAAAGGTAATTAGTGGTTATCTAGGGCTGAGGGACTTGGGGGAAATCAAGAGTGTCTGCCAGTGGGTACAGGGTTTCCTTTTGGGGTATTAGAAATGTTCTAAAACTGATTATGGTGATGGTTGCACAACTCTGAGTACACTAAAGAAACAACAACACTGAATTGTACACTTTAAATCAAAGAATTTATGGTATGCACATTACATATCAATAAAGCCATATCTTTTAAGAAATAAGAATCACTTTGGGGGGCCATTTCCAAGTATGGGTTCCCAAGCCCCAGACAGAGTTTTAGGAGGTCTGGGAAGGGACCCAGGAATCCACATTTTGGCAGCTGAGCAGATGGCTGCTTCACAAACCGCTGCCCAGGGCTCTGCAAGAGCTCTCTGTTGCGTGGTGAACCCACCAAGGGGGTTGTGTACCCTTTGCTGGTTCACCCCAGCACTGGGCAGTGAGCAAGGGCAGAGAGCACCTTGCTGCCCGTCATGTCTTTCTGAAGCTAAAAGGGGACTCCTGAGGGGCAATCAGAACCTTTTTACAGATAAGGAAACTGCGCCCAGAGAAAGGAACGTGACTTCTAACTCATGGTGTTCCCACCTCTAACTGCACAGCCCCTTCTCGCCTTCCTTTTTTCCAAGCAGGGTGTTCTTTCTTTTCTTCCTTCCCTAAAGCTTCAGGGATAGCCCTTCCTGGAAGTGCCTAAGGGTGCAGCTAGTTGCTGTTTATGGGTCAAGGACTTGGCACCGGGGTTTTAGCGCCTTGGCAGGTCCTTATCTTTTCCAAACCTCTTTCTCTCAGGTTATTCGCCCTTTTTTCCCCTGCGGAGCGGCTCTGTGCAGGGCACTAGGTGCTGCGCGTGAGGCCAGGGCTCCCTGGGTCTCTCCCGCCGACAGGTAGGACAGGAGCCGGAAGCGCCCGGAGGTCGCCCTGTTGCCGGGACGCACGTACCCGGGCCCCTTCGCGGCAATAAAGGCTTCAGGCCGGCCAGAGCTCGCTGAGTCCCGGAAGCCGAGCTGAGCCCGCTTCTCCACTCCCTCTCCCCGGCCAAGGGGGCGTGTCTGGGCGGGTTCCCGGTCCAGTCCCCGGTGGGTGCAGCCCAGGAGGGAGGCATGAAGGTGCAGTCGCAGCCCCCTAGGGCCTGGTCCCGGCTCCAAGTCGCCAGGCGGCCGGTACTCACCATGCGGATCTGGGTGCTGATGAGCAGGTAGGGCATGGTGCACGCGTCCCGGCCTGGCTCCCACCGGGGGCTCTAGGCTGGACGCCGACTCCAGCCCTTCTCGCGTCGGGACTGCGACGCGCAGCTGGGAGTCCCGTTACTCCGGCTCTGGCCACAGGCGGCGTCAATCCCGGGGCACCTTGCCCGTGACCGCCGTGGCCGCCAATCAGGAGCGGCTGCCGTGACGCGCCCTGCAGTCGGCGGTTCGGGGCCCGCCCCCGCCCTCCCGGCGGCGGACTTGGACCCCGGGGCCCACCTGAGGCTTCCGCCGAGTGATCCAGTTGCGGGAAGGTGGAGTGCGGGGAGGAGGGGGCGGTCCCACGACCTGGAAGGACACTATCCTGAAGCTCCAGCGTCCTCCAGGACGCTTAGTGCTGTTTTCTTTGCAGCCTGTGATCTTACTGCGTCCCCGCGCGCGTGTTGCCCCCGCGCCCGCTTCTTGAACACTTCAGGCCAGGTTCCAAAGTCCCCTGCCAGGCAGAGCCCAGAGCAAACGGCGTCCTCACGGAGGCCTCTCCAGGCCCCAGCCCACCCCTCTCAGAGACGCCTCGACAGCTTCAACGGGGCCCCACTTCCCCTCGCCAAGACATGCGCTCCAGAGATTCCTTAAGCGCTGAGGAGGCCGGGGCACGAGGCTCGGAGCTAGCCCTGAAGGCGACAACTAAAATACCACCCAGGGCGCACTGTGCATTCCCCCTCCCAGACTCTAATTCCAGCACAGAGGCGGATCCTTGCATTTCTGTGGACCCGCAGGAAAGTCTGTAAAGGAACCGCGCGCTTGGCTGGGTGCCAGGTCTGGAGTGACTGAATGGATGGAACCTGGCCTTCCCTCCCCTGAGCTTCCCGCGCAGCTGGACAGACGCGGCGCACGCGCAGGAGGTCACTGGGCAACACCTGGGGCAAATGAAACAACTTCCCCCGCACCAGCCACCAATGAGCGGCTGCGAGTTCCCAACCGTGTGTCCACGCCCCTCATCCGCAGTTATCAAAATCTGACAACTCATCCTTCTTTATCTGCCTTGTTGTGATTGGTTTTCTTTTTTCTTTTCTTTTTTTTTTTTTTTTTTGGACATGGAGTTTCGCTCTTATTGTCCAGGCCGGAGCGCAATGGCGCGATCTCCGCTCACCGCAATCTCCGCCTCCCAGGTTCAAGCGATTATCCTGCCTCAGCCTCCTGAGTAGCTGGGATTACAGGCCTGCGCCACGACGCCCGGCTAATTTTGTATTTTTAGTAGAGACGGCGTTTCTCCATTTTGGTCAGGCTGGTGGCGAACTCCCGACCTCAGGTGATCCACCCGCCTTGGCCTCCCAAAGAGCTGGGATTACAGGCGTGAGCCACCGCATCCGGCCTGTGATTGGTTTTCTAGAAAATAAAGCAAAACAAAAACAGCCTGTAGGTAGCCTTCCCTCCCATGGGAGGGTAATAATCTTCACTTTTTAAGAGGGGCCTTTATAGGGGATGCTGCCGTTCCAACACTTTGACAGACGTGGAGAGAGCTATAAGGGAAGCAGGAAGTTGTAATCCTAAACGTTCCTTAACTGGTCTAATTTATTATTCTGTAGTTCCTACCCCTGCCCTCTTACCCACTGACCTAACAAGTTAGCCAGAGAGATAAAACACATTCATGCTTAACAAAGGATGTGTTAAAACTGACGAAAGGGCCGGGCGCGGTGGCTCACGCTGCTAATCCCAGAACTTTGGGAGGCCGAGGCGGGCGGATCACGAGGTCAGGAAATCGAGACCATCCTGGCTTAACACAGTGAAACCCCGTCTCTACTAAAAGTACAAAAAATTAGCCGGGCGTGGTGGGGGCCGCCTGTAGTTCCAGCTACTCGGGAGGCTGAGGCAGGAGAATGGCGTGAACCTGGGAGGCGGAGCTTGCAGTGAGCCGAGATTGGTTGGGCCACTGCACTCCAGCCTGGGGCAGAGCAATACTTCGTCTCAAAAAAAAAAAAAAAAAAAAAAACTAACAAAAGATTGATGCCCAGGAGCTCCTACAACTCAGTGAGAAAAAGATGAACAATGGAAAAAACAGGGGTAACTGACTTGAATAGGCCCTTCACAAAAGAGGAAATAGAAATGACCAATAAACATATAACATGATGCCTAGTATATCATTAGAAATACAGGAAATACAAATTAAAGTCAATTTTACTTTTTTTCATTTTAACCAAATTTATTTAAACCCCAAGACTTTGTAGACACAGTGGCTCACGCCTGTAATCTAAGCACTTTGGGAGGCCAAGGTGGGAGGATCGCTTGAGCCCAGAAGGTTGAGGCTGCAGTGAGCCATGATTTGGTTTATTTTTAAGTAATTTATCCCTACTTAAAGACAGATTACCCTACATGTGAAAGCTATGTACAAAAATCATCCACTGATTAGAAGGATTTTTTTAAGTTATACAATTGTCCTTGGTTTTTACAATGATAAATGAAAAACATTAAAATTCTTCAGTTGAATAAAGTATGGAAGGATTTTTATGTTGTCATTTTTTAGTTAAAACAGAGCAAAATATAACTCACTGGAATATAGAGACAAGAGCTGAGCCGGGCACGGTGGCTCATGCCTGTAATCCCAGCACTTTGGGAGGCCGAGGTGGGTGGATCACTTGAGTTCAGGAGTTCGAGACCAGCTTGGCTAACATGGTGAAACCCTGTCCTACTGAAAATACAAAAATTAGCTGGGCGTGGTGGCACACACCTGTAGTCCCAGCTACTCGGGAGGCTGAGGCAGGAGAATCGCTTGAACCAAGGAGGCAGAGGTTGCAGTGAGCTGAGATCATGCCACTGCACTTCAGCCTGGGTGACTGAGTGAGACTCTGTCTCAAAAAAAAAAAAAAGTCAGATGTGGTAGCACATGCCTGTAGTCCCGCTTGAACCTGGCAGGCGGAGGCTGCAGTGGGCCAAGATTACACCACTGCACTCCAGCCTGGGCAACAGAGCAAGACTTCATCTAAAATAAATATATGAAAAAAAGATAAGAGCTGAATGAGCATGCCAAGAATGGAGAAAGGGGGTATTTTCACAGAAGCAGTATTTTTCCCAGTCCCATCTCCACCTGATGTCAATCAGAACACACCATTGGCCATTTTACAAAAAAACAAACAAAAACACAAATGCAATACGCTGGTGCACACATACCCATTACTGTATGTACAGCAAAGGAAAGGGGAAGGTGAAAATGAAATAAAACTATACTATATTGGTCGGGATGTAGTGGAACCAAATTGCAGTTTTCTAATTGAGGATGTAATCTTGGTCTGTAAGAACAGAGGTTTGGAGTAAAGTAGTAGGTTCCTTTTTTAGTAGACACCTGTCTCCTGCAGGAAAACGTCAATTGTGTATTCATCCTCCATTACCAACTGTGCAGGTATGTCTGTTTCATTGATTGACTGCCCATCAAATCCGAATCTGATCTGCCTCATTGACAAATCCTGTTATTCACAATAGGCTCTCATCAGTTTACTAGGCAGTGTATGCCTCTTAAACTGCGCCACAGAACTATCCTGCCACACCACCTTCAAACAAATATGATCGTTGTTCTCAGTCTTAACTTCTTCCTTGAGCTTCCATGGCCATGGCAAGCACCAGAATCTCTGCAGCTGCTGCTTCACAAAGCAGGTACTGTTACCGCCCTCAAGGGAGGGTCGCTTGACCCGTCCAGTGCAGTTCTTACCAATAAAATGAAACCAGGTTCAGTAAAGCAGAGCAGAAACGTTCATTGGTCAAGAATGGAAAAGGGGAGCTTCTGCTCAAAGCACCTGCTCCCTGGACATTGGGTAAAGGGGGATCTTAAGGGTTTTTTGGGCAGATAGGTGAAGACTGGGGTAGGGATTCCTGGATGGGTTCTTCCAGGAGCAGCTGGAGTGTGTAGATTCTTTTTGCACCTGGCACTGTTTGTGCTTAGCAAGGTACATTTCTCCGCACTGAGTGGAGATTTTAGTATAGCAGTGAAGCAGTAACTCAGGTCAAGGCAGCACTGCTGAGTTCAGTTCATCTTGTGGCTGGTTCCTGGTTATTGGCACCTGGCCTTTGTTTCTGTAAGCAAGCGCAGCTGGGAGGATGGTTAATTTCACAGGTTTTGGGACTTCCTGAAAGAACTGAGGGCCAGCGCAGTGGCCCCCGCCTGTAGTCCCAGCACTTTGGGAGTCCAAGACATGCATATCACCTGAGGCTGGGAGTTAGAGACCACCCTGGCAAACATGATGAAGACCCGTCTCTACTAAAAATACAAAAATTTGGCTGTGCACAGTGACGCATGCCTGTAATCCCAGCACTTTGGGAGGCCAAAGCGGGTGGATCACTTGAGGTCAGGCGTTCAGACCAGCCTGGGCAGCTGCTCTCTGCCCAGCGAAACCCTGTCTCTATTAAAAAATACAAAAAATTAGTTGGGCCTGGTGGCGGGTGCCTGTAGTCCCAGCTACTCGGGAGGCTGAGGCAGGAGAATCGCTTGAACCTGGGAGGTGGAGATTTCAGTGAGCCAAGATCAAGCCACTACACTCCAGCCTGGGTGACAGAGCAAGACTCCGTCTGAAAAAAATAAAATAAAAATAGAAAAATTAGCCGGGCATGGTGGCGTGTGCCTGTAGTGCCAACTGTTTGGGAGGCTAAGGCACAAGAATCACTTGAACCCTGGAGGTGGAGGTTGCAGTGAGCCCAGATCACACTGGGCAACAAAGTGAGATTCCATTTCAAAAAAAAAAAAGAATTGAGGTCATGTTGCGGTAACAGTACCAGATCCAACCAAACAAGCACATAAGCAACACCAGGAGTACAGAAGACTAAATTACTTTTTTTCTTTTTTTTAAGAGACAGGGTCTTGCTCTGTCACCCAGGCTGGAGTGCAGTGGTGTGATCAAAGCTCACTGTAACCTTGAGCTCCTGGACTTGAGGCATCCTCCCACCTCACCTCCCACATGCCACCATCCCCAGTTAATTTTTTTTTTTTTAATTTTTTGTAGAGACAGTCTCACTGTGTTGCCCAGGCTGGTGTCCAACTCTTGGCCTCAAACAATCCTCCTGCCTTCGCCTCCCAAAGTACTGGGATTACAGGCATGAGCCACTGTGCCCAGCCTAAGCTACATTTTTTTTTTTAATTGAGACGGAGTCTTGCTCTGTTGCCCAGGCTGGAGTGCAGTAGTGTGATCTCGGCTCACTGCAAGCTCTGCCTCCTGGGTTCACACCATTCTCCTGCCTCAGCCTCCCGAGTAGCTGGGACTACAGGCGCCCGCCACCACGCCCGGCTAATTGTTTTGTATTTTTAGTAGACATGGGGTTTCACTATGTTAGCCAGGATGGTCTCGATCTCCTGACCTCGTGATCCATCCGCCTCGGCCTCCCAAAATGCTGGGATTACAGGCATGAGCCACCGCACCCGGCCATAAGCTACATTTTAAATCTGCAGTGAGATAGTGCTTTACAGGTTAGCAAAAAATAAAATAAATAAATAAATTTAAAATGTTAAAATCTGTAAATATCAAGTGTTGGTGAAGATGTCAACAATCCCACTACTGTTGGGCTTGCAAGTTGGTGTGAATGATACCCTGTGACGCAGCCAAACCTCTCCTAAATAAACCTCAGGAAAACTCACAGCCATCAGGATACATGTACAAGAATGTTCACAGCAGCACTGTAACCAGTAAAAAACTGGAAACAGCCCTTATATCTATCAAAATTAGACTAAAAGTTTTTGAGCTAGGTTGGGTGGTTCACACCTGTAAGTCCCAACACTCGGGGAGGCCAAGGCAGGAGGACTGCTTGAGCCCAGGATTTTGAGACCAGTCTGCGGAACACAGTGAGACTCCCATTTCTACAAAAAAGAAAGTTTCTGGCTGGGCATGGTGGCTCATGCCCGTGATCCCAGTGCTTTGGAACGCCAAGGCAGAAGGATCGCCTGAGCTCAGGAGTTTGAGACCAGTTTGGACAACATAGTGAGACTCTGTCTCTACTGAAAAATTAGCCATGCATGGCAGCACACACCAGCAGTCTCAGCTCCTCGGGAGGCTGAGGTAGGAGGATAGCTTGAGCCCAGGAGTTCAAAGCTACAGTGAGTGGTGATTGTGCCACTGCACTCCAGCCTGAATGGCAGAACAAGACCCTGTCTCAAAAAAAAAAATTATATATATATATTTCTAAAAGGGCTGGGCATGGTGGCTCATGCCTGTAATCCCAGCATTTTAGGAGGCCGAGGCAGGAGGATTGTCCGAGCCCAGGAGTTTAAGACCAGCCTGGGGAATACAGGGAGACCCTGTCTCTACAAAAAAAGTAAAAAATTAGCTGGGCATGGCGGCATGTGCCTGTAGTTCCACCCCCGGCTGAGGTGGGAGGATATTTTGAGCCTGGAAGGCAGAGGTTGCAGTGAGCTGAGATCATGGCACGCCTGGCTAATTTTTTTTTGTATTTTTAGAAGAGACAGGGTTTCCCCATGTTGGCCAGGCTGGTCTCGAACTCCTGACCTCATGATCCACCCACCTCGGCCTCCCAAAGTGCTGGGATTGCAGGCATGAGCCACCGTACCCAGCCAATTTTTGTATTTTTTAGTAGAGATGGGGTTTCACCATATTGGCCAGGCTGGTCTTGAACTCCTGACCTCGTGATCCACCTAACTAGGCCTCCTAAAGTGCTGGGATTACAGGCGGGAGCCACCGTGCCTGGCCTAGAGAAAGAATTATTTTTTAAGGCATCAAGAACCTTAAACATTATACACAAGGGTAAGGCCACCATCCCAAGGCATTTGACTTGTCACCTCTCTTGGAAGAGCCGGGGTAGATGAGGCAGATGTTCTGGGCAGAGGGCAGGACAACAGTTTGGGGTCTGGTCTGCTCTCTTCTCAGGCTGGGCTGTGGAGGGGGTGGGAAGGTGGGCAGTGCATATCTCAGGCAGCCAGGCCTTTATTACATTTGCAAAGCTAGTCTGCAGATGCAGCACAAGATAAAGAGCTCTGTCCAGAGCCACCCACCACACTGCTGATTGCCCTGGCAGACACGTGCCTGCCAGATAACATCTTTAATATCCAGGGGGAAATGAATTCCCCTGCTTGGTCTGCCCATTTGGCCTAGCCTCTCATCACAATCCGTTTATCTCACAGAGCTGCCTCCCCCCCGTAGAGAGGAGAAATTATTGTTCTGCCACTGAGTTTTCTGCCACAGCTGAGAACACACTGTCAAAGTGGCAGGGCGTGCTGTCGGTCACGCCTTCTTTTCTTCCTTCCTCCATTCAGCTTTTATGGATGCTTTTGCATTAGAGCTGTGCCAGGCACAGGGGACCTGGGATGAATCAGGAGTGAACCCCATCCTGGAAGAGTGGGCAGTCCAGTGGTGTAGACAGAGTAGAAAGCAAATAATCACAGAACAGAGTGTAATGGGTCTGGTGCGGTGGCTCACGCCTGTAATCCCAGCACTTTGGGAGACTGAGGCAAGCAGATTACTTGAGGTGAGGAGTTCGAGACCAGCCTGACCAACATGTAGAAATCCGGTATCTACTGAAAATACAAAAAGTAGCCAGGCGTGGGGGTGCAAGCCTGTAATTCCAGCTACTCCGGAGGCTGAGGCAGGAGAATTGCTTGAACCCAGGGGCGGGGGAGGAGGTTGCAGTGAGCCGAGATCGCACCACTGCATTCCAGCATGGGCGAAAAGAGCGAAACTCCGTCTAAAAAAAAAAAAAAAGTATAATGGAGGCAATAGAGCCACAGGAGCAAAGCAGGGTGAAAAGCTTAATTTCACCAAGGTGGTGATCTGGGAAGGTTTCCAGAGGAAATTTTTATTTCCTCCAAAATAAAGTGTATATATATATATATACTTTATATATATATAAATATATTTTTTGTTGTTGTTGTTTTTGTTTATTTGTTTTGAGAGGAGGCCTCACTCTGTTGCCCAAGCTGGAGTACAGTGGCGAGATCTCGGCTCACTGCAACCTCTGCCTCCTGGGTTCAAGCAATTCTCCTGCCTCAGCCTCCCGAGTAGCTGGGATTACAGGCGTGCACCACCATGCCCAGCTAATTTTTGTACTTTTAGTAGAGACGGAGTTTCGCCAGGTTGGCCTGGGTGGCCTCGATATCCTGACTTCTGTTGCCCAGAGTGATCATGGCTCACTGCAGCCTCGACGACCTGGGCTCAAGTGATCCTCCCATCTCAGCCCCCAGAGTATCTGTGACTACAGTCACGTGCCACCACGGCCGGCCTCCTGTATTCTTATATGTATACAATATCTCACAATTAAAGGGTAAATAAATATAAGATCTAGTCAAGGGTATTGGGAGGACTGGCCTAGATATTTCTTTCACTAAACTAAATTTTAACTCTTAAGAAATGTTCACAATAAAATTGTTATCATAGTCCATAAAATCGGTCTTTTTAGTTGCCACAATTATAAGAAGTTGCATACAATTACAAGAGTAAAACAGAATTATAAGACAGCACGTTAGGTTTAAGATTTATGGCCGGGTGCGGCGGCTCACGCACTTTGGGAGCCCGAGGCGGGCGGATCGCACTTTGAGAGACCAGGAGAGCGGGACCCAGTCTCTACAAAATAAAAATAAAAATAAAATGTGGGGAGAGCGTGACGTTTTCCAGGTACAGAGGGGAGGTCCAGGCAGAAGCGCAGGTAGAAAGTGTGAATATGCTGAGCGTATTCCGGGAGCAGCAAGTTAAGCCGGTGTGACCGGAGGGAAATGGAGGCCTGGCTGCCGGACGGTGAGGGTGACTGCGCGAGCGTCCGCCCAAGAAGTCTCCCTGCCTTCCCGCCTTTCCCCTGTCTTGGGCCCCTTCTTGCTTTCCTTTCGCGCTCTGTGCTGACTCCGCCCCTCCGGCGGCGCCCGTGGCCCCGCCCCTGAGGGAAACAGACAAGGGGCGGGGCCGGCGCGGTCATCTCTCTGCGCCTTCCCGCAGGGCGCCGAGCACCTGGCGCCGCCTGCCTGACGTCACGGTCACTGACAGCGTGAGCCCGCGGCGGCTGCTGCCATGGTGGCTGGCGGCCGGGTAAGGGTCTGAGTGGATCTCCTGCCAGGCCAGAGCGCCTTCGGGGGCCGCGGCGGAAGGCCAGGAGTTTGCAGCCAGGGCGCCGGGTTTGTGGTCTGCAGTGTCGTGAGGCTGAGGTGGGGGTTGAAGGCCCAGAAGCCGGACTCTGTGACCCGGGTCGGGGGGTGTACTGGAGGGGCGGCTACGTCCAGGCTGGGTGAGAAGAGAGGCAGTGGGGCCCAGGAGGCTGGAGGAAGCCTTAGGGTTCAGACTGGGGTGCACGTAGTCGAGAGCTCAGGGTTTGGGCAAGGGGATACCTGCCGGGGTTCAGCCTTGAGGGTGGGTTTACCGGGTTCACGAATCTCTCTCTCTCCTTACCCCCGCCCGCCCGCCCGCCTGCCTGCTCCCGGTGACTTCTGCTGGCCGCAGGTGCAGCATGTCTAGACTGGGAGCCCTGGGTGGTGCCCGTGCCGGGCTGGGACTGTTGCTGGGTACCGCCGCCGGCCTTGGATTCCTGTGCCTCCTTTACAGCCAGCGATGGAAACGGACCCAGCGTCATGGCCGCAGCCAGAGCCTGCCCAACTCCCTGGACTATACGCAGACTTCAGATCCCGGACGCCACGGTAGGAGCCCGTCTCCTGAGACCGCGGTCACTGCAGACTAATGGGCCTGAGGTCTGGGCTGCTTTCGGTGGAGACTGTGGGACAGGGTAACGGAGAGAAGTGCTTTAGGGTTTCACTTTTTTGGAAGCTTGTTGAAAAAGCAGTCGTCGGGCTGGGCGCGGTGGCTCACGCCTGTAATCCCAGCACTTTGGGAGGCCGAGGCGGGCGGATCACCTGAGGTCAGGAGTTCAAGACCAGCCTGGCCAACGTTCAACCAGATGTCAACATGGTGAAACCCCATCTCTACTAAAAATACAAAAATTAGCCGGGCGTGGTGGCGCGGCCTGTAGTCCCAGCTACTGGGGAGGCTGAGGCACGAGAATCGCTTGAACCTGGTAGGCGGAGGCCGCAGTGAGCTGAGGTTGCGCCACTGCACTCCAGCCTGGGTGACAGAGTGGGACTCTGTCTCAAAAAAAAAAAAAAAAAAAAAGCAGTCGTGGTTTTCTCTACTCTTTCGCCTGTACTCACAAGAAAGTATATTTCAAAAAGACTGTTTAACTTTCACTTTTAGTTCTGGCCACAATAGTGCTATGTGGGTATTAAAGGCACTTGCTTAGTGTTGGGTGAGGTGTGTAATAAGTAGAGGAAGAGTCCAAAAGAGGGCAAAAAGAATAATCTTGTAGGGATTAAAAGTCTTGAGGCTTATGTATTAAATCATATATTAGAATTTGAAGACAACTTGGCAACTATCAAGACAACTTGGCAACTATCTCATTCAAGTTTTTTTTTCTTTTTATCCCTCCTATGAGGAAACCAAGATTCAAAAAGATGGTATAACTTTCCTGAGGCTGTCACAGATTAAGTGGCAAGGTTGGGCCTGGTCACCTGGTCCAGTGGACTTTCTACGGCATAGGGCTAGGAGCACGCTTAATGCAATTGAAGCTGAATGTGGCTGGCAGCCTGTACAGCTGAAATGAGTAGTTCTTGCAGATTTGTCAATTCATTTGAGCAAAGGATCTAGGGCTGGTTCAAACTACTACCATCTTTGTGCAAGAGGAGTGTTTTTTTTCTTTTCTTTTCTTTTTTCTTTTCTTTTCTTTTTTTTGAGATGGAGTCTCGCTCTGTTGCCCAGGCTGGAGTGCAGTGGCATGATCTTGGCTCACTGCAACCTCCGCCTCCCTGGGTTCAAGTGATTCTCGTGCCTCAGCCTCCCGAGTAGCTGGGATCACAGGTGCGTGCCACCATGCCCAGCTAATTTTTGTATTTTTAGTAAAGATGGGGTTTCCCCATGTTGGCCAGGCTGGTCTCCAACTCCTGGCCTCGGCCTCCTAAAGTGCTGGGATTACAGGCGTGAGCCACCACACCTGGCCAAGAGGAGCGTTTACATTATCTCACTCCCATGCTAATTGGAAATGAGTGTTTTCTCTGATTGCCAATGTTAGATGGTTTGGAAAAGTTAGTTTTGGAGTCTTCAAAGAGCTATCAGCTTAGATTGCAAATGATTGTCAGCATTTTATAATCTTGTGGTAATCTAGTATTGGAGTGTGCTTCCTTCCCTTGTATTTTGTTTGTAATTGCTTCGCAGTAGTGTTTCTTCTGAGATTAGAAGAAAGTGGCCACATTGCCAGGGATCTTTCTTGCACTACATTCTTGAGCATTATTGGATGTATGTTGTGGCCTGGCCTAGTTTTTTACCAGATTTCCTTTAAGAAGGGATTTATGCTTGCCGTATTGTAGGGTCCTGCCTCTCTGGTTTCTTTTTTGTTTTTGCATTTTCCAGTTCAGTTACCATAGGTGGCTGTCACTTTGCTAGCATTTCACTGCTGGAATTTACTCTGAGATCTAGGGTTGGGTCAGCAGGGCTTAGTGACGGTGTCTTTCTGAGGCAGTTTGGATGGGCTTTTTCTGGTGTACCTTTTCTCTTAATAACTGCCCCCTTTCTCCTAGTCCTTCTCTGATATACTAAATGAAGTTCTGGGAGAAACTCCAAGTTTTCCCTACTATTATTTGTGAAGTGAGAGATCAGAATTTGAGGGAGCTCAGTTTTAGTTTTAGTTTTGCTATGTGGTTGGTATTGACTCCTTGGTATTGGGCACTATATGGTGAGGTGAAGGTTTTTGTTTTTTTTTAACTCTAGCAGGACAGCTGTCCTCCTTCAGGTTCCACACTTGGGCAAGCATGTTACATTATCTATCGTGGTGTGCAGCATTCCTGAAGGGCCCTGGTATGGAAGGTTCTTGGAG
This sequence comes from Homo sapiens, assembly GCF_000001405.40. Lineage (NCBI taxonomy): Eukaryota > Metazoa > Chordata > Mammalia > Primates > Hominidae > Homo > Homo sapiens. The sequence continues at coordinate 40,752,374 of NC_000015.10, read as the reverse complement.
CAGAGGGCTCTCGTTTAGAGATCCCTGGGTAGTTTCTTGAGACTTGTTACCATGACCTGGCTGTGAACGTGTGCTATCTGAGCGTCACTGGGCCTTCTCTTCCAATGGAAAGCAGGTATTCTTGAATTCTGGGTGTGAGATCTCTTCCCCACCATATTCCTGTGTGTCACTGGCTCCCATTCGTTTCCCCCTTCAGTGATGCTCCTGCGGGCTGTCCCAGGTGGGGCTGGAGATGCCTCAGTGCTGCCCAGCCTTCCACGGGAAGGACAGGAGAAGGTGCTGGACCGCCTGGACTTTGTGCTGACCAGCCTTGTGGCGCTGCGGCGGGAGGTGGAGGAGCTGAGAAGCAGCCTGCGAGGGCTTGCGGGGGAGATTGTTGGGGAGGTCCGGTGAGTAATGCGGCTTCTTCTCCTGCTTTATCCCTCCCCTGCAGCTTTTCAGCTGGGGTGTGTTCTGGCCTTCGCTGTCTGTCTCTAAAGAATAAACCAGTTCTATAGCTTCTAGCCTAATCTGGGTTGAAGCTGTACATTTGGTACCTCGCCTTGCACATGCTCCTTGCTGCTTCTGGACTCTCATGGTTGATCTGTTGTAGCAGCTGAAGCGCTCTGTTTGCCTAACCTAGTCTGTCTGTGCGGGCTGGGCCCAGGAAGCTGCCCTGCTTGCCCTCCTGAGGGTTAGAGACTTAGGATTTTCTCTGCTTTTAGCCCTTTAATGAGGAGCAGTAGTAAGAGGCACCCCATGGTGAGCAGAAAGACAAGCTGGATGGGACCTAATGGTACCCTTCGGGATGGGGCCTGCTTTCCAGATGCCACATGGAAGAGAACCAGAGAGTGGCTCGGCGGCGAAGGTTTCCGTTTGTCCGGGAGAGGAGTGACTCCACTGGCTCCAGCTCTGTCTACTTCACGGCCTCCTCGGGAGCCACGTTCACAGATGCTGAGAGTGAAGGGGGGTGAGTTGTCTCTCTTGGAGGCAGTTATGGCTACAGCCAGGTTGTGTTTTGTAAAAGTATTATCAATGGAAAATTCAAACCAAGCTGCTGCAAATGATTTTTGGAACAGGTAAGAGTATAATAAATACAGAAGAGTTGAAACAAAAAACCCATCCAATTTATGTCATTCAGACAAATGTAGATGTTAATAGCAGTTATTGCTTGCATCTGTTATCTTAGTTTATTACATAGTTATGATATATTATTTGGGCATTTTTCTGTGTTATCACAAGGACTTGATAAGCATTGTTTGACTTTGTTCCTTTCCTTGGGTGGCTGAGCTGGTATACGGAGATGTCTAAGCACGAAGCATGCTCCTCCCTGGGAGTCACCCTCTTCCCACAGGGGAGCCTTGCCTGTGATCCTTTGCATTTTTACAGGTGGGAGGTGGATGTCCTGAGTTCTCAGTGGCCCAGGAGGGCTGACGATAGGCCTTTCTGTGAGGCGGGGCAGCTGGCAGGAGTCTGGTGGACAGCCTCCTCCAAGTCTGGTCATGCTAAGGGTGTTTTGAGTTTAAACCACTAGCACCACTTTGAAACTCTGGTCCCAAGGATAGAGTGTGATGTCAGTAGCAGCATCTGACCCATCTGACCTTATCTGCTGCTAGCTCCAGTTATTCAGGTAGCCTGTGTGAGGCCTAGAGGCCGATTTCTCCTTGTCCAGCCTTTATTCTTCTTAAGGGAAAGACTGGTGTAGAGAACAGCCAAGTTTTATGCTGGATCAGAGGAATTAGCTATAAGCAGGTACATGGAAACTAGAAGTTAAAATCAGTCCAGGTGTGGTGGTGGCTCATGGGTAATCCCAGCACTTTGGGAGGCCGAGACAGGAGGATTGCTTGAGTTCAGGAGCTTGAGACCATCCTGGACAAGGCAGCAAGACCACGTCTCTACATAAAATAACTACCTGGGGGAGGCCAAGGTGGGCGGATCACCTGAGTTCAGGAGTTTGAGACCAGTCTGGCCAACATGTCGAAACCCTGTCTCTACTAAAAATACAAAAATTAGCCAGGTGTGGTGGTGCATGCCTGTAATCCCAGCTAATCGGGAGGCTGAGGCAGGAGAATTGCTGGAACCCAGGAGGCAGAGGTTTCAGTGAGCCGAGATTGCGCCACTGCACTCCAGCCTGTGAGACAGAGTGAGACTCCATCTCAAAGAAAAAAAAAAAAAAAAAAAAAAACGAGCTGGGCATGGTGGCATGGGTCGGTAGTCCCAGCTACTTGGGAGGCCGGGAGTTTGAGGATGCAGTGAGCCATAATTGTGCCACTGCACTCCAGCCTGGGTGACAGAGTGAGACCCTGCCTCAGAAAAATAAAATACAATGTAAATACTAGGTGATAGGAATTTTTCAGCTCCATTATAATCGTATGCACCCACTGATATGCGCAGTCCGTGGTTGACTGAAATGTCATTATCACCAACGCTGGATTTGATGAGTGCTCCGGGGTCTCCAGAAACCTGTGGAGTGGTGGTGAAGAGCTCTCTGCTCTTCCATGGGGGACTGCTGTTGCCTGGGTTGTCAGATCCCTGTTATCTGCATTCTCAAGGGCAAACAGAGGTGGCCCTTTTCTATTCAATTTACCTAAATGGCTCTGGGCCAAGAGATGCTTCCAGAAGTTGTGTTAAAGAGGGGGCAAAAATGAAATTAATATTTGATACATCTGAATTGAAGAGAGAGACCGAGGAAGTAGTTGATAGTGGGCACTGAGATGTAAAGAACATCTCTGCAACCCAAGGAAGCAGGCCACTTGGGTGGGGAATTGATGTTTGAACTCTGTAAGGAGGTTGAACAGAAGGAGAGGTCACAGCTCTGCCCAAAATCAAAGAAAGCTTGAGGCCCTTCACAACTGTTTTTGTTTTTGTTTTGTTTTGTTTTGAGACAGGGTCTCACTCTGTTGCCCAGGCTGGAGTTCCATGGTGCCATCACAGCACAGCAGCCTCAACCTCTTGGGCTCAAGTGGTGCTCCTGCCTCAGCCTTCTGAATAGCTGGGACTACAGGCATGTGCCACCATGCCCAGCCAATTCTATTTATTTTTTTTGTACAGATGGGGTCTCACTGTGTTGCCCAGCCTGTTCTTGAACTCTTGGCCTCAAGCAGTTCTCCCACATCAGCCTCCAAGTGCTGAGATTACAGGTATGAACCACCGCACCTGGTCCTCTTTGTGATGATTTAAAGAAGTTGTACTAGGCCAGGCGCGGTGGCTCAGGCCTGTAATCCCAGCACGTTGGGAGGCCAAGGCAGGTAGATCACCTGAGATCAGGAGTTCAAGACCAGATGGCCAACATGGTGAAACCTCGTCTCTACTAAAAATACAAAAATTAGCCAGGCATGTTGGCAGGCACCGGTAATCCCAGCTACCTAGGAGGCGGAGGCAGAAGAATCACTTGAACCCAGGAGGTGGAGGCTGTAGTGTGCCAAGATGGCACCACTGCACTCCAGCCTCGGTGATAGAGCAGTACTCTGTCTCAAAAAAAAAAAAAATTACTGAGGCTGGGGTGTGGAGGCTCATGCCTATAATCCCAGCACTTTGGGAGGCTGAGGTGGGCAGATCACTTGAGGTCAGGAGTTCGAGACCAGCCCGGCCAACATGGTGAAACCCTGTCTCTACTAAAAATAGAAAAATTAGCTGGGCGTGGTGGTGCATGCCTGTAATCCCAGCTATTCCGGAGGCTGAGGCAGGAGAATCACTTGAACCCAGGGGGTGGAGTTTGCTGTGAGCCGAGATTGCACCACTGCACTCCAGCCTGGGTGACAGAGAAAGACTCCATCCCAAAAAAATAAAGAAGTACAAACTTCTGGGGTCAGTGGGAGCCAGAGCAGTTAACCAGGGACACCTGGGGGTCCTTCACTGCTAGGGGTGCTCACTGGGACTCCCAAGGCCACAAGGAGCAGGCCAGGGCTGCCAGACACCTGTGATGGGGCAAGGGGAAGAGTGGATTTCTTAATTATAGCGCCTTCAGGCTGTGTCCCATGCCCAGTCCCGTGGCATGAGAGCAGGTGGTGGTGCAACACTGTGTGGTTGAGCCGGCTGTTCTCTAGGGCAGTGGCCGTGGTGAATGATTCTTTGTGCCATGGTCATTGCCATGTAGGTCAAGGGGGGAGCTCTAGGAGTCTACAAACTCTGAAATGGCTTTGAACATGTGTGTCTTGGGGCAAGGAGAGCTGCTTTGAGGGATGAAGGGCTGAGATTTGATGGGCTGCTTGATTTCACTGAAAGCTGTATTCCTTCCTTCTTCCAAATAACAACTTTGAGGTCTCAGGAGATTGAGGGTGGCAGAGGCAGAATCACTGTGCAGCTCTGTGAGCTTGTTCCCCGGGCATTGTACCAAACACAGCTTGAGTTCCCTCTGTCAGAACCCAACTTGCCCTAAAATACCAGCTCCTCCAGCAAGCCTTCCCAGGCATCTCAGCCAAGAGAAATTGCCTGCAGCCTCATCGTGAAGACTCCTTCTTGGGCATTTATGACCTCATTAAGTTGGGTCTTATCTCAAGGTCAGGGTCCATGTGCCTGGTTATCTTTGAAGGCCTCATACTCAGTCTCTAACATGGTTTAGGTTAAGAGAAACTTAATTGCCAGGAGGAGAGATGTGTGTAACTGAGTCCTTCATTACTGCTTAAGAGTAGAGTGGCAGTCTCTGCTCAGAGGGAGCCTTGGGTCTCTGGCCCACTGTGGGAACTCCTGTCCTCCGGAGTGCACAGGACCAAAGGGCCTTTTCAAAGGTCCCTGCTCGTCTCTGGCAGATCTCAAAAGCCTCAGGGTATGTTAAAAGGGTCACTCCTCTCTGGTAGATTTCTCCAAAGGCTGGCTGGGTTAGTCTGGGAGGTGGAAAGTGAGAGAGAATGGTGTAAATGTGGTAGCCCTTGGCATGTGATTAATCTCTTCTGAGGCCCCAGAAGCTGCCTCAGGCAGTAGGGTTTCAGATTGTTGAGGGTTCCTTAAAGTGGGGCTGAGATGCAATTAAAGTCTACTTTCTATGCCAGCTTCCCTGGAGCCTCCCTGCCTCACAGGGCTCTACCATCTTTCACTCTGTTTGTGGCAGCAAGGCTCCCTGACCTCTCTTCTTGGCTTTGTGAGCTGGGCCTTTAGGATCCAGAGGGATGGCAGCATCGCAGCTCAGGTCCCAGGGGATTCTGTGCTGATGCCTGGGCTCCAGCAGGGCTAGGTCCCTCCCTGGGAGTGCTGGAGGCAGAGAGACTCCTCTTTGGACTCCTGATTGGCTGAGGCAGCCCTCAACTCAGCAAGAAATAGGGTCTCCCCCTCCTTCTAGCAAAGGGAGATGATGCAATTCCAGCTTCCCGTTCCAGATAAACCATCTACCCATTTTGCATTTGGGCCTGGCTGGGCAGAGGAGACTCTGGTTTGATTTTTCTCAATCTGGCAGGTGCAGTTGGGAGTTTCATTCTCTAGGTTGCCTGTGGGTGGTCTCCCTCATCAGTACCCAGGTTGGTTACGAAATCTAATGACACTTATCCTTGTCCCTTTGATTTCTAAAGGTGTTTTTTTTTTTTTCTAATAACTAAAGGGGAAATCTACTTGGATAACCTCTTAAAAAACAAAGGTGCAGTTAGGAAAGGTTTTAAATACCTTACAAGTTCTTGTAGTAGATGTGTCTGGGGCCTCTTTTTTAGATGAGGCTGAAGCTCCTCTGTAAGGATGCAGTCAGCACGGACTGGGTACCAGGTCTGGCTGCTCACTTCCAGAGCCTTCAGAGCCTGCCACCTTGTGGTTTCTGGTTTTCTGGGCAGGACAGCACTTCTGCCCTGACATTAGGCTGTCAGTTGTTGACTTTATTTGTAGGTGGTGTGTCATCTCTCCTTCAGTCCTGTTTTGCTCCAGCCACAGGGAGCCTATTCTTTTTTTTTTTTTTTTTTGAGACGGAGTCTTGCTCTGTCGCCCAGGGTGGAGTGCAGTGGTGTGATCTCCGCTCACTGCAAGCTCTGCCTCCCGGGTTCACGCCCATTCTTCTGCCTCAGCCTCCCGAGTAGCTGGGACTACAGGCACCTGCCACCATGCCTGGCTAATTTTTTGTATTTTTTAGTAGAGACAGGGTTTCACCGTGTTAGCCAGGATGGTCTTGATCTCCTGACCTCCTGATCCGCCCGCCTCGGCCTCCCAAAGTGCTGGGATTACAGGCGTGAGCCACCGCCCCCAGCCTTGTGTTTGCTTCTGACCCCCAGAAGTCCTACCTTTTCCCCTGCTCAGTCCTTATCTATTTTAGGCATTTAGGGAAAACACCCTAATCAGCTGCTGGTGGCTGAGATCCAAGAGAAACTCAGCTTCCTCTTTAGTGGGTGCATCAGGGTTGGGGCTCCTTAGGAGCCACCTGGCATATGGCAGCCCCCCAAACACCTTTTCAGGGGGTAGTTTGCATTGTCTTCCCCTTCTTGCTTCTGGCTGCAAAGTGGTTCCTATCACCTCTCCTCACACCCTTAAGTTCTCAAGGTTACTATGGGCTACTCCTGTTGCGGTTTAGGTTTGGTTGTTGACTTGGGCCAGAGGTTGCGAGTTTGTGGATGTGTGTGTGGCTGCCCATGGCCTGAGGCTGCACCCACCCATGTTGGTTGTGGCAAGTGTCTCTGACTGATAAGGCAAAAACGAGCAGGGACTTCTCACATTTGCCTTAACTGTCACAGGGCCTCAGCTGGTTGTCTGCTCTTTCCTTCCTGGATCATTTTCCCAGCCCTTAGTTCCCATAGGAAACTTTCTCTCAAATAATGATTTCTGCTGGGCATGGTGGCTCATGCCTGTAATCCCAGCACTTTGGGAGGCCGAGGTGGGCGGATCACTTGAGGCCAGGGGTTTGAGACCAGTCTGGGCAACATGGCAAAACCCCGTCTCTACTAAAAATACAAAAAAATTAGGTGGGAGAATTGCTTGACCCCAGGAGGTGGAGGTTTGAGTGAGCCAAGATCGAACCACTGCACTCCAGTCTGGGTGACAGAGCGGGACCCTGTCTCAAAAAAAAAAAAAAAAAAGAAAAAAAGTCTGCCCTTAAGAGGTATGAATGATTGTGATTTGGTGCTTTGGACAATGCCATGTAGAGTGCTTCTTTGGGGGTGAGGGATAGACAGACCCTAGGGGCTCTGAGCTGAATAATCCTCTTGTTGTCCCTTACATTTCTCTGCCAGTTACACAACAGCCAATGCGGAGTCTGACAATGAGCGGGACTCTGACAAAGAAAGTGAGGACGGGGAAGATGAAGTGAGCTGTGAGACTGTGAAGATGGGGAGAAAGGATTCTCTTGACTTGGAGGAAGAGGCAGCTTCAGGTGCCTCCAGTGCCCTGGAGGCTGGAGGTTCCTCAGGCTTGGAGGATGTGCTGCCCCTCCTGCAGCAGGCCGACGAGCTGCACAGGGGTGATGAGCAAGGCAAGCGGGAGGGCTTCCAGCTGCTGCTCAACAACAAGCTGGTGGTGAGGCTCCAGCTGCCTGTCTCCTTCTCCTTCCCTCCCTCCCTCCATCTCTCTGTTCCTGACCCCTGGGGAATGAAGGCCCGTGTGGTTACTGCCCCTACAAGGTGACATGGGACGAGAAATGGTGAGACAGCTGGTTTTGCATCTGTCCCCCAGGTCACATATCCTCTTCCAAGGAGGCCCAGCGTGGATCCTAGGGCCAGTGTACTGCTTGCCCCAGAGCTGCCTCCCCTCTTGGGAGGGGGAGTGTAGTTCTCTGCTTTCTGTAGAGCTACTGCAGAAAGAGCTCTACCTCTCACCTCTAGGGGGAAATGTGGAAAGAACTGTATTTTTTTTTTCTCCTCATTTCCCTTGAGGCAGAGTCCAAGCTGCCAGCCCCATTACAAGCGACAACTGTGTAGGTCACTCAACCATAATTCTCTTGTCAGGTTCACTGACAGAATATATGCCCACCCAGGTATAAATGCCCCCCCCCCAGAAGTTAGAAGTTTCCCTTTTCCTTTCACACTTTCTTCATGTGTCAGCAAAAGACCTCTCGTGCCTTATGACATCTTGGAGTTGACCTTTCCTCCCAGCAGTTCTAGGAGGTCAGAATGCCCTCACCCCGTAATTGTGCAAGCTACTGGCTAGACAGAGAATGTGTCATACATTAACTGCACGTGGGAAGGGATGACTGGGGGGAAGGCTGCGTGTAGGAGCTGGCCTGATATTGATGACTGTAACATACTAGCTTGGAAATTCAAACCTAGGGTGTGGGGGAAGGCCAAGGCCCCCATTCTCCACAGTTGAGGAAAAAGGGGCCTCACCCGTTTCTGTCTGGTCTGCAGTATGGAAGCCGGCAGGACTTTCTCTGGCGCCTGGCCCGAGCCTACAGTGACATGTGTGAGCTCACTGAGGAGGTGAGCGAGAAGAAGTCATATGCCCTAGATGGTAAGTGCTGACAGCTTCCTGTGGGAAGGTGACTGACTGATTCAGGGGTGGGGCTGGCCCATCTGCCTGGGGACCCGGGGAACCACCAAGATGCTGTCAGCAGTTGTGGCTCAGTTACCCACTAGGGACAAACTCTGGCTCCCAAAGACCCTTGCTTTCTCCTCTGGAAGAAGAGAGCAGTCTTTGCTTATCTGTATATCATGCTGATTAGTAACACACGTGCATGTGTTTCTAGGAGTAGTTGTATCCTATCAATGTTATTCGTTTTTCTCACTCTAGCCACAGAGGGCAAAACCTTTTTTCTTAACCTGAGGTTTTTTGCTGCTGCTTAGAAATCTGGTTTCAGTTTTCTGAGCTGGTGGGGCAGGTGTTCTAAGAATATAGCTAGCTTAGAAGACTCTGGAATCCACTTGGCAAGTCTGTTGGCAAAGGCTCCACCCTGGAGGATAGGGTGCATCTGACCTGTGCCAGGCTCAGGGCTTGGCCTTATCTGTCATGAGGTCAGAGAATGCTTGGACTTTAGAGACTGATGTGTCCTGCTGAACTCCACACACTGAGTCAGGTACCATCAATGGGTAATGGGTTTCTAGGTCTGTGGTTCAGTTAATATCTATTTTTTTTTTTTTTTTAAACAGTCTTTCTCTGTTGCCCAGGCTGGAGTTCAGTGGCCTGATCTCGGCTGACTGCAACCTCCACCTCCTGGGCTCAAGCAATTCTCCTGCCTCAGCCTCCCCAGTAGCTGGGATTACAAGCACATGCCATCATACCCGACTAAGTCTTGTATTTTTAGCAGAGATGGGGTTTCGCCATGTTGGCTAGGCTGGTCTTGAACTCCTGGCCTCAACTGATTCACCCACCTAGGCCTCCCAAAGTGCTGGGATAACAGGCATAAACCACTGTGCCTGGCCAGTTAACTGTCTAAAATGGATTTGTCTACCTTTCTATTGTAAGTACAGCCTTACAAATATTATTGAATCCTTGATAATGTATACTCAAACAGTACCTCAAAGTTAACATTCTAAACATTTGTAGAATTCTGTCAATGGAGAAAGAACAGACCAATTGAGTAGGATGTCTCTGTAGACCCTCAGAAAAATTCCTGGAAGTTTTAACAAAAGATGCTTATTTATGATTACTTTTTCTCTCCAAAAGTTTGTTTTCCCTCCTAAATTTCAGATGAGGATTCTCAGCTTTTGGGCTGATTTTTGGACTCTTCATGTCAACAACCTTTCCTTTCCCTCTTGATCATTGGTCATCTCTTATTAGTGCTAGTAGCCAGCATGAACCCCAAAGACAGAAGTGGAGGCAGTGGTTAGCAGGGCAGCACTTGGTTGGTCTGGCCTCCTGAGCTTAGCACCCATGGACAAAGCTTTACCTGCTGGAGGTCAGATGACTATGGAATGTCTTTGAAGGTTCTGCTCTGAGATCACAGCCTTTAAGAATTATCCTTACTGGGTATAAAGTTTATTTCATTGTATCTCTAGGAGCTGGACCACCAGGAGGCAGTCATTCTGTGGGGTCTCAGGCAATGTCTTGTCTACAACACTGTCTGTCTAGCTTGGCAGGAACTAGTTGTCTCATTCTTTGCTATTATTTTCCTAGTGAGACAGTACTTTGAAGAGGGCAGAGAGAAATCCCCAAAGAGGCAGCGTCCCTCATTGGTGGGGCCATGTGGTCCCTCTCTTTGGGAAGAGAGGTAGAGTCTTTCACAGCATCAGTTGTCTTAAGAATGCATTTGTGGCCAGGTGTGGTGGCTCATGCCTATAATCCTAGCACTTTGGGAGGCCAAGGCAGGAGGATTGCTTGAGCCCAGGAGTTAGAGACTAGCCTGGGCAATATAGTGAGACCTTGTCTCTACAAAAAAAAAAAAAAAAACTTAAAAAATTAGCCAGGCATGGTGGTGGAACATGCCAGCAGGAGGATTGTTTCAGCCCAGGAGGCAGAGGTTGTAGTGAACTGAGATTGCACCACTGCACTCCAGCCTGGGCAACAGAGAGAGACCCTGTCTCAAATAAAAAAAGGAAAACATTTCAGATTAGCCAGTTTACCACCTCAATGCATTACATTTGTTCCATTTTCTCCATGTTCCCTTCCAAACTTGTTTTCTTCAAAGAATTCTTGGCTGGGCACGGTGGTTCGCACCTGTAATCACAGCACTTTGGGAGGCTGAGGTGGGCGCATCACCTGAGGTCAGGAGTTTGAGACCAGCCTGGCCAACAAGGCAAAACTGTCTCTACTAAAAATACAAAAATTAGCCAGGTGTGGTGGCACACACCTGTAATCCCAGCTACTCGGGAGGCTGACGCAGGAGAATCACTTGAACCTGGAGGCGGAGGTTGCGGTGAGCCTAGATCGTGCTATTGCACTCCAGCCTGGACGACAGAGTGAGACTCTTGTCTCAAAAAAAAAAAAAAAAAAAAAAAAAATCCTATGTTGCAGTGTCTTCTCCAGTGCATAGGCATGATGGTCCTTATCTGGTGGTCCGTAAGCTCCAGCCTCGATACTCTTAAGTGACGCTTGTCAGAACTTTCATGTTTATGGGCTTTCATTTCTTTGTTAGAACACTAACCTAGAAAACTCGGGTAAGACTAAGTGAACGTCATCTCTGGTCAGACCTCAGTCCATGTGGCTCTTGTGAAAGAGTTTTGGCCTAGAGCTAATTAATATTGTTGGATCGTGGATCCTTTTGAGAATTTTTTTTTTTAAAGAGATGGGGTCTGCCTATGTTGCCCAGATTGGTCTTGAACTCTTGGTCCCAAGCTATCCTCTCCTTGGCCTCTCAAAGTTCTAGGATTACAGGTGTGAGCCAATGTACCCATCCCCTTTAGGGAATTTTTTCAAAGCTGTGATCTCTCTCCCCACTTACTTAAATTTTATACAACTTGAGATTCATGGACACTGCCCCTCCAGAGTAAGGTCTGTTGGGGACAATTTCTGATTGTGTTGGATCCGTTGTTGTTGTTTTTTTTGAGGTGGAGTTCGTCGCCCAGGCTGGAGTGCAGTGGTGCAATCTTGGCTCGTTGCAACTTCTGCCTCCCAGGTTCAAGTGATTCTCCTGCCTCAGCCTCCTGGGGAGCTGGGACTACAGGATGTGCCAACATGCCTGGCTAATTTTATATTTTTAGTAGAGGCAGGGTTTCACCATGTTGCTCAGGCTTGTCTCAAACACTTGGCCTCAAGTGATCCACCCACCTCGGCCTTCCAAAGTGCTAGGATTACAGGCATAAGCCATCGTGCCTGGCTGGATCCTTTTATATTTTAAATGCTAAAATCTGCTTCAAGCACATCAGGTGGGCATTATAAAAAGAAGGTAACTGGGGTTTCTAATGACAGATGGGGAAGCCAAGGTGAAGCAGAAGTCATCCCTGAAGTCTTCCCTTAGAAGCCGTTTGCAGCCTTTTCTGAGACAGTCTTGCTCTGTCACCTAGTCTGGAGTGCAGTGGTGCAATCTCGGCTCACTGCAACCTCTGCCTCCTGGGTTCAAGCGATTCTCCTGCCTCAGCCTTTTGAGTAGCTGGGACTACAGGCGCCTGCCACCACGCCCAGCTAATTTTTGTATTTTTGGTAGAGATGGGGTTTCACTGTGTTGGCCAGGCTGGTCTCCGACTCCTGACCTCAGGCGCTCTACCCGCCTCAGCCTCCCAAAGTGCTGGGATTACACAGCACAGAGGCGTGAGCCACTGTGACTGGCTTCTTTGCGGCCTTTCATTCTGCTCAAGTTCACAACTATTTCCAAACAAGTCCAAGCTGGGTAGGGATTGGTGAGAGCTAAAGCAGTCATTCTTCCCACAAGCCTTCCTATGAAAGTGTGCATAAGAGCTATGTCAACTCTGGATCTACCTTCGTCCTACAGGAAAAGAAGAAGCAGAGGCTGCTCTGGAGAAGGGGGATGAGAGTGCTGACTGTCACCTGTGGTAATAACACCCTGCAGTGTTCTGGGAAGAGCCAGCAAGGGCCAAAGCAGAGGACAGCCCTTTCTTTTCTCTGCCTGGGCCACAGAGGCATTTTCCAAAGGATCCAGGAGAGGGAGTTCTGGCTTGTATCTCCACATGCCTCAGTCTACCCCTAGCCAGAGACAAGGGAAGTTTCTGGTAGGGGAGGTGGCTTAGGGATGAGGCAAGCGGGGAATACAAGCTTTTTTTCTGATGGGGCTTGGAGAAATGAGTAGCTTTGTTAAGAGTCATCCTAGCTACAAAACTGGAGTTCTTGGCTCTCAGGAGGCTGGGACAATCTGCAGCTCCCCTATCCTGCATAAGCTCTTCTTTCCCCTGCGTGTGATCCCTGGCTGCTGGTACTTTGGCTTCTTTGCTTGGTTCATGTGAGGAAAAGTAGATGTGAGCTCACCCCCCAGAAGTTTAGTGGTCAATTTATTAGGCTGCAAAAACATCAGCCCTTTTTGTGGTCTCATGTGAGGCAAAGTTCTGTCAGCTTACCTGGGCCACGGCTAACTCATATCCTGGGGTCTGGTTCCAGCACCTGAGTTTTAGTGAAAATGTTCCTTTCCTTTCCCACCGCCACCCTTGCTTTCCATGTCTCCACCCTCAGACTGTGAGCTAAGTGAGAGGCTGTGTTTCTCCATCTGTTGCTGAAACTTTTGTCTCTGCAAGGGTTCTTCTCAGAGGCCAGGTAACTGTTTCTTGGGTGTCACTGCTTCCCTGGGCTTCCAAGGATGAACAGCTATTCCTGAGGAACAGCTGTTTGGATTAAACATGGAAATGAGCCTCTAGAAGTATCTGATACCCCCCGGATACTTAGCATATACATGAAAAAGCAACTTGGGCTGGTTACTCATCGAATGTCAACTGTGCTGCTAGGAACAATGCTGGGGGGATGGGGAAGTAAGACTTTGTTTCTGAAGACAGATGATGGGAAGCTGGCTGGCTGGTTCCCTTTGGGAGGGGGGATGTGGGGGAGAAGGCATATATAGGAGGTCTTTCTTCCTCTGGTTCTGTTGGTTTCCAAGTAACATCAGAAATTCCTAGAATATCCCCTCCCAATGTGACTATCCTAAGAAATTGCTTCCCAAGTCCCAGTGATACACCTGTATGCTTAAAGGCTAATGAGACCCACTTTTTTGTCTGCCCAGAAGATAAGTAGTATAGTCAGGTCTCATACTTTTATGCTGATTGTTTTCATGCTTTTCAAGTTTTTATTAATGCCTGTGGCTGTACTCCTTATGAGTGTAGGAGAGATTTACTGTGTAAGAGAGATTTACTGTGGTGAACCCAGCTTTTTTTATACCTAGAATACTTTGGAGACTTGTAAGCCTACCATTATCTACTAAAGAATACTAATTGGGGCCAGAGGTCCGTAAAGAATGGGGATTACGTACAGATGAAAATTAGGTATTTTCAGCTCTAGTTGAGGGTACAGGGATAGGGGACAATGCAACTAGGCTGTGGTTGGGGCATCCATTCCTTGCAGTGATGGTACTCAGCCCTTGTCCCTGAGCTTGCTGCTTCCCCCCTAGGTATGCGGTGCTTTGTGGTCAGCTGGCTGAGCATGAGAGCATCCAGAGGCGCATCCAGAGTGGCTTTAGCTTCAAGGTGAGGACAGGCTTTTCCTCCTTCCTTGTGCTGGCCTATCCCAGATTCCCCACTCCTTTCCAGCTCCCTGCCAAAAACTTTTCTACAGCCTCAGTGACTTGCCTTTCTTCTTTTTTTTTGAGACAGAGTCTCACTCTATCGCCCAAGCTGGAGTGCAGTGGTGTGATCTTGGCTCACTGCAACCTCCTGGGTTCAAGCGATTCTCCTGCCTCAGCCTCCCAAGTAGCTGGGATTACAGGCATGTACCACCATGCCCGGCTAATTTTTGTATCTTTAGCACAGATGGGGTTTCACCATGTTGGCCAGGACTGGTTTCGAACTCCTGACCTCAGGTGATCCACCTGCCTCAGCTTCCCAAAGTGCAGGGATTACAGGCATGAGCCACTGCATCCGGCCCTTGCCTCTCTTTTAGCAACTCTGGTGTCTGATGTTAGTTTATATTTACATTTTCCCCTTAGGAGCATGTGGACAAAGCCATTGCTCTCCAGCCAGAAAACCCCATGGCTCACTTTCTTCTTGGCAGGTGGTGCTATCAGGTAAGCTGCGTTTCAGTGCTTGACATAATGGTCCTAAATGCCTTCTGACACCGATTTCCTTGCCAGGAAGAACAAGATCCTCAGCCTTCTCTGGCTCAGGTGCCCTTTCTTCTGAATGCTCGTATTATTGGTGGTTCGACCCAGCCCCGTTTGACCCTATTTTCAATATATCCCCAAAGATTTAAAGAAAAAAAACCTTTTAAAACCTCTTATACACACCTTGATCTTTTTGTGGCAGGTCTCTCACCTGAGCTGGCTAGAAAAAAAAACTGCTACAGCCTTGCTTGAAAGCCCTCTCAGTGCCACTGTGGAAGATGCCCTCCAGAGCTTCCTAAAGGTATGAGAGGGGCAGGTGGCAGGCAAAAACACCAGGGTAACCTTGTTTTTTCCTAAGGACATTATTGAGACCCTTAATGGGAGGGGTTTTCCTAGTCGGGGGCAATTTTGTGTTTGCCTGTTCTATGGGAAAACCAGAATCACTTGCACAGCTTATCAAAAATATAGGTTTCTTCAGACCCACTGAATCAGCCACATGGTTGGGGACTAGAAATCTAGTTTAATAAACTTCAGCCTGATTAGAATATAGGAACCTCTTACTGAAATATCTTTGTCCCTTTTCCCAGGCTGAAGAACTACAGCCAGGATTTTCCAAAGCAGGAAGGGTATATATTTCCAAGGTAAACTCATTTGTCTACTTCAACATAGATCTGGGAACTCCTGAAAGTACACAGTATCAGGTTTCACTGTTGTCTCTTTTCAGTGCTACAGAGAACTAGGGAAAAACTCTGAAGCTAGATGGTGGATGAAGTTGGCCCTGGAGCTGCCAGATGTCACGAAGGAGGTAAGGCTTTTTAATACTGCCTGTTGGGCAGATCACCTGAAGTCGGGAGTTCGAGACAGCCTGACCAACATGGAGAAACCCCATCTCTACTAAAATTACAAAATTAGTTGGGCCTAGTGGCGCACGCCTATAATTCCAGCTACTCGGGAAGCTGAGGCTGGAGAATCGCTTGAATCCGGGAGGTGGAGGTTGCAGTGAGCTCAGATCGTGCCATTGCACTCCAGCCTCGGCAACAAGAGCAAAACTCCATCTCAAAAAAAAACCAAACAAAACTGCCTGTCATCACTGAATCATCATGTGACATTTTTAGAAAATAATCTTTCCTAGAGGTCTTATTTCCCTAGTAAAAAAGAGTCTACCTCTAGGGGAAGAGACAGATTTAATAGGCTCCAGGCTATCCTGGGGAAGTAGGAAAAAGACTGTAGCAGAGCTCAGGAAGGAAGCAAAGGGCCCCTCTTCTTAGGTTCCACTGGTTTGGGAAAATGCTGGTTTAAATTTTGAGCCCTAGATTTGTTCTTTGTCTCCCTAGGATTTGGCTATCCAGAAGGACCTGGAAGAACTGGAAGTCATTTTACGAGACTAACCACGTTTCACTGGCCTTCATGACTTGATGCCACTATTTAAGGTGGGGGGGCGGGGAGGCTTTTTTCCTTAGACCTTGCTGAGATCAGGAAACCACACAAATCTGTCTCCTGGGTCTGACTGCTACCCACTACCACTCCCCATTAGTTAATTTATTCTAACCTCTAACCTAATCTAGAATTGGGGCAGTACTCATGGCTTCCGTTTCTGTTGTTCTCTCCCTTGAGTAATCTCTTAAAAAAATCAAGATTCACACCTGCCCCAGGATTACACATGGGTAGAGCCTGCAAGACCTGAGACCTTCCAATTGCTGGTGAGGTGGATGAACTTCAAAGCTATAGGAACAAAGCACATAACTTGTCACTTTAATCTTTTTCACTGACTAATAGGACTCAGTACATATAGTCTTAAGATCATACCTTACCTACCAAGGTAAAAAGAGGGATCAGAGTGGCCCACAGACATTGCTTTCTTATCACCTATCATGTGAATTCTACCTGTATTCCTGGGCTGGACCACTTGATAACTTCCAGTGTCCTGGCAGCTTTTGGAATGACAGCAGTGGTATGGGGTTTATGATGCTATAAAACAATGTCTGAAAAGTTGCCTAGAATATATTTTGTTACAAACTTGAAATAAACCAAATTTGATGTTATCAGCTCTTTATTCTTACTTGACACCTCCATAATTGTTTCTACCTACAGAGGCTGTTGCAGGCAGGTTATGGTTAATGCTCTTTACAGTATATAAAATACAGGTATCGAGCTTATTTTTAGCCTAAACAAGGCCTATTGCAACTAAGCAGGTACTCCCTGCCTTTCTCATGTTCATTTTTAGGGCCACGAGCACAAACCCCTAAATCCACCTAGAAGAAAATTTAAGACTGAGATGCATAGGCCGAGCGTGGTAGCTCATGCTTGTTGCTTGTAATCCTAGCACTCTGGGAGGCCAAGGCGGGTGGATCACTTGAGGCCAAGGGTTTGAGACCAGCCTGGCCAACATGGTGAAACCCCCATCTCTACTAAAAATACAGACAGAAAAAATTAGCTCGGTATGGTGGCGCACGCCTGTAATCTCAGCTACTAGAGAGGCTACAGCAAGAGAATCACTTGAGCCTGGGAGGCAGGGGTTGCAGTGAGCTGAGATCACACCCTTGCGCTCTAGCCTGGGCAACAAGAGCAAACCTCTGTCTCAAAAAAAAGATTGAGATGCTTTCATATAAGAACCAACCCCTTAATCTAGAATGTCACTGTGTCTTTATTATACCAACCCAGATTTTTTTTTTTTTTGCTGGAGTCTCGCTTTGTCACCCAGGCTGGAGTGCAGTGGCGCGATCTTGGCTCATTGCAACCTCCACCTCCTTGATTCAAGCAATTCCCCTGCCTCAGCCTCCCAAGTAGCTGGGATTACAGGGGCATATCACCACGCCCAGCTAATTTTTTTTGTATTTTTAGTAGAGACGGGGTTTCACCATGTTGGCCAGACTGGTCTGGAACTCCTGATCTCAGGCAATCCACCTGCCTCAGCCTCCCAAAGTGCTGGGATTACAGGTGTGAGCCACCGTTCCTGGCCCCCAGATTTATTTTGTGTTGTAGTAATGAAAGAGGACCTGAGATATACTCAATTCTAATAATAAAACATTCTTTTTTGGTCTAAAACCTAGATTTGGTGGGTCTGGGAATCCATCTATCTCCAGGTGATATTCCCAAAGAACAGGCAAACACAAAATTGCCCCTTACCAGAAACCCCTCCCACCAAGGGTCTCAATAATGTCCTCAAGGAAAAACAAGGTTACCCTGGTATTTCTGTCACCCACATCCCTCATATCCCCGAATACCTTTAAGGAAGCTCTGGATGGCATCCTGCACAGTGGCACTGAGAGGAAATTTCAAGCAAGGCTGTAGCGGTTTTTTTTTTTTTTTTTCCTAGCCAGCTCATGTGAGACCTGTCACCAAAAGATTAAGGTGTGAATAAGAGGTTTTAAAGGTTTTTTTTTAATCTTTAGGAACAGACTATTCTGTACAGAAAACAAACAGGGCTTGGCCCAGCCACCAATAACACGAGCATTCAGAGGAAAAGGTACCTGAGCCAGACCAGGCTGAAAACTGTTCTTCCTGGCAAGGAAATCAGTGTCATAGGACACTTAAGACCATTTAATTATAATGTTTTGTTTTTTTTTTTGAGATGGAGTCTCGTTCTGTACCCAGGCTGGAGTACAGTGGTGCGATCTGGGCTTGCTGCAACCTCCGTCTCCTGGGTTCAAGAGATTCTTCTGCCTTAGCCTCCCAAGTAGCTAGGATTACAGGTGTGTGCCACCACACACAGCTAAGTTTTGTATATACATATTTTTTGAGACAAAGTTTCTTTCGCTCCTGTCGCCCAGGCTGGAGTGCAATGGCACAATCTCGGCTCACTGCAACCTCCACCCCCGGGGTTCAGGCAATTCTCCTGCCTCAACCTCCTGAGTAACTGGGATTACAGGCATGTGCAACCACGCCCGGCTAACTTTGTAATTTTAGTAGAGATGGGGTTTCTACATGTTGGTCAGGCTGGTCTCAAACTCCTGACCTCAGGTGATCTGCCCGCCTCGGCCTCCCAAAGTGCTGGGATTACAGGCGTGAGCCACCACGCCTGGCCAGTTTTGTATTTTTAGTAGAGATGGGGTTTCGCCATGTTGGCCATGCTGTTCTCAAACTCCTGACCTCAGGTGATCCGCCCACCTTGGCCCCCCAAAGTGCTGGGATTATAGGCATGAGCCACCATGCCTGGCCTCCTTATATGTATTAATATCTCATAACATCATGTTGTATACCTTAAATATACAATAAACTAATGTAACAAACAGGAAAACGTTTTGGGTGGGTCACTGAGCACTTTGGGTAAGATCTGGATTGGAAGTCCTAACTAGTGAAAAGAGGTAAAGGGGAAAAAAAGAGTCCCATAAACTCCATTTGGCATCTGGCTTCCAGGGACATTGACAATGCTACTTTTCAATCTGATTTTTTTTGAGACAGGGCCTTGCTTTCTCACCCATGCTGCAGTGCAGTGGTGTGATCAGGGCTCACTGCAGCTGCTACCTCCCGGCCTCAAGGGATCCTCCCACCTCAGCCACCGGAGTAGCTAGGGACTACAAGTGCGTCCCACCATGCCCAAATAATTTTTTAATTTCTAAATTTTTTGTACAGGGTTTCACCATGTTGCCCAGGCTGACCTCAAACTCCTGATTCAAGTGGTCTACCCACTTTGGCCTCCCTAAGCATTGGGATTACAGATGTGAGCCACCGCACCTGGCCCAGTCCCTGATTTATTTATTTATTTATTTATTTAGAGACGGAGTTTCGCTCTTGTTGCCCAGGCTGGAGTGCAATGGCGCAATCTCGGCTCACCGCACCCTCCGCCTCCCAGGTTCAAGCGATTCTCCTGCCTCAGCCTCTCCAGTAGCTGGGATTACAGGAATGCACCACCATGCCCAGCTAATTTTGTATTTTTAGTAAAGACGGGGTTTCTCCATGTTGAGGCTGGTCTCGAATTCCTGACCTCAGGTGATCCACCCACCTCGACCTCCCAAAGTACTCACACCTGTGATCCCAGAACTTTGGGAGGCCGAGGTGGGCGGATTACCTGAGGTCAGGAGTTCAAGATCAGCCTGGTCAAAATAGTGAAAAACTTCTCTACCGAAAATAAAAAAATTTGTCAGGCGTGGTGGCACGTGCCTGTAATCCCAGCTACTCGGGAGTCTGAGGCAGGAGAATTGCTTGAACCTGGGAGGTGAAGGTTGTAGTGAGTTGTGCTACTGCACTCCAGCCTGGGCAACAGAGTGAGAGACGGTCTCAAAAAAGACTAGAACGGCTTTTAAAACAAAGCATTGTAGAGCTATGTGTGGTGGTTCGTGCCTGTAATCCCAACACTTTGGGAGGCCAAGGCCGGCAGATCACTGAGATCAGGCGTTCGAGACCAGTCTGGCCAACATGGTGAAACCCCATCTCGATTAAAAATACAAAAATCAGCAGGGCGTGGTGGCGGGCGCCTGTTGTCTCAGCTACTTGGGAGGCTGAGGCTGGAGAATTGCTTGAACCCAGGAGGTGGAGGTTGTGGTGAGCCGAGATCACGCCATTGCACTCCAGCCTGGGCAACAAGAATGAAACTCCATCTCAAAAACAAAAAAAAAAAAAAAAGGAAAGGGGGGCCACAAGGCAACCCATGGTATGTCTTTCTTTTATTTTTCCATTAGCTTTTAAGCACAATCATCTGCAAGTGGGACTTTCCTTTCTGGTTTCAAATCTTGAAGCAACAGAAACTGATCACCCCTATACAGTGCCAAAAAGATTATGGAAACCCTGTCTTGAAATAGCTTGCACTGCAATAATTGCTATAAACAGCACATTCACTACTAATAACTACTTTATTAGAAGCCTCACAATCAAATCTGTTTACTTACCCTCTGAAATGTTTCTTGTTTGAAACATGGTCTCACTCTGTCACCCTGGCTGGAATGCAGCAGTGCAATCTCGACTCACTGCAACTTCCACCTTCCAGGCTTAAGTGATTCTCCCACCTCAGGCTATCGAGTAGCTGGGACTACAGGCACGTGTAACAGTGTGTCCAGATTAAGTTCTGCATTTTTTGTAGAGATGGGATTTCACCACCTTGGCCAAGCTGGACTTAAAACTCCTGGGCTCAAGCGATCCACCTGCCTCGGCCTCCCAAAGTGCTGGGAGTACAGGCGCAAGACACCACACTGGCCTGAAATGCTTTAAGACTCTAGGATTATCTTGAGTTAGTCTTAGCAATGAAAGACCAAGCAGGTAGATGGTGAAGGGCTAATGGCCTAGTAGGTTTGGCACAAGACTCCATAACCAAAACCTTACACAAGATCATTCAGACAGACAACTTAAAAACCTGCTTGAGAGTTTTACTGACAGAAAAAAAGAATCTGTGCAGACCCATTCCCTTTGCTACATAGCTGAGGCATTTTATTTTACCATTAATTTAGAAGTGAGAGAAGGGTCAGGTCTCTCCAGCTTTAGTTCTCTTGGAAACATAAGATTGTCCAGTAGACAGCTTGTTAAACCCAAGTCATTCCTAAGGCACCATGTCAAAGATACTTCATACCCCTCCTCCAAAACCAAAGAAAACACACAGAGATTAATACACTACAGAAGGAATAAACATTTTAGATCAGTTTGTGACTACTGACCTGTCTCCTGTTTATACCATCAGAAAAGCTGATATAATAGCTGTTTTCCCGGAAGCTTTATCCTGGCAGTCACAACAGGAAGAGGCCTGTAGAGAACCCCAGGGAGCAGTGCACTCTCATTAGGCTGCAGCACTTAAGGTTTTTAACAGAGGAAAAACCCAATGATTCAGTCTTTGGCATCTCCCACTCCATCTGCATTAATGGCGAACATAGCTTCAGCTTCAGGAAGACAGGGAGAGTCGTAGATTTTGCAGATTCTGGTTTCCCCTCTTCCTTTCCTCAGATACAATCTGACCCAAAGACACAGACCAAAGCACCAATTTATTATAATTAAACAATTCCGTTCCTGACTTTGTAACAGAGCTGAAAATTTTTTAGACATATATTCTTCCTAGAAGGACCCTGGGAATGTTTCTGTACTGTTTTCCTTAGTGCATTTCCAACCTGGCAGAATCCATTTTTGCCCTGGCCCCTCTCAGTGGATTGTCCATATTGAAACAAACATTAAAAAAAGAAAAATTTAGGCCGGGCATGGTGGCTCACGCCTGTAATCCCAGCACTTTGGGAGGCTGAGTTGGGCAGATCACGAGGTCAGGAGATCGAGACCATCCTGGCTAACACTGTGAAACCCCATCTCTACTAAAAATACAAAAAAATTAGCCAGGTGTGGTGGCGGGTGCCTGTAGTCCCAGCTATTCGGGAGGCTGAGGCAGGAGAATGGTGTGAACCCGGGAGGCGGAGCTTGCAGTGAGCCGAGATCGTGCCACTGCACTCCAGCCTGGGTGACACAGCGAGACTCCATCTCAAAAAAAAAAAAAAAAAAAGAAAAAAAATTTTTTCAAGACAGTGTCCTGCTCTTTTGCCAGGCTGGAGTGCAGTGATGTGTGATCATAGCTCAATACAGCCTCGAATTCCTATGCTCAACTGATCCTCCTGCCTCAGTCTCCTGGGTAGCTAAGACTACAGGCACACGCCACCACACCAGCTACTTTTTTTTGTAGAGACAGAGGCCTCACTTTGTTGCCCTTACTAGTGTCGAATTCCTGGCCTCAAACCATCCTATCACCTTGGCCTCCCAAAGTGTTGGGATTACCAGTGTGAGCCACTGTGCCCAGCCCAAACATTTTTTAAATAACAGGGGAGAGGCATATCAATTACTCATATTCATTCTTCCACACTTGTGGGTTTTTAATTCTTTTATGAACTAAAACATCTATACCAACGAGAGCATGTTAATTAGATTAGCAAGAGTTCCTAAGTGTCTATACAACAGTAGCTTTAACAGGGCTTAAATGAAAATGTTATATCTTCATGTCTTCACAGTTAATATGACATTCCGAAAAGAAGAACTGATCCCATCAACACCTTACCTGGTTGTTGATGCATGGGCGATGATATTTCCTCCAATAGGTTTTTTGGGATCAGCAGCAAACAT
Source organism: Homo sapiens (assembly GCF_000001405.40). NCBI lineage: Eukaryota > Metazoa > Chordata > Mammalia > Primates > Hominidae > Homo > Homo sapiens. The sequence goes on along the minus strand of NC_000015.10, from coordinate 40,729,909 downwards.
CGCTGCTCCATCCACTTGAGCTACCACCTGATTAGTGATTACCACTGCTACACCAAACTGATGGGGAAAGGATAAATGTCAATTTTGTGGCCATAGACACTCCAAAAGCCTTAATGCTGCCACCACTTTCCCCCACAAAATAACGAATAACTAATGTCTCTCTTCTTCCTAAGAGCTTGATGATCTCAGGCACTGATGTCTTAGCCTCCTAGCAAGGCTCCTGGAATTCACAGCCACTGAAAGTAGGCATTCTCTGTCCCTATCCCACAACTTACCTCATCAGCGAGTCGCAGAAGCATCCGCAGAAACCTGGCCAAGTGCATCTGCCTGGCTGAAAGCTCACCTCGACCCGAGTAGTCTGTTCTGTAAAGGGCGGTGGCACTGTCTACAATAAGCAGTGCATACCTACAGGAAACAAGGATTCTCTGAAGCCTATTTCTAGCCTGTGTCAGATTCTGGTCCCTTCCTTACCACCCTAAAATCTCATATTCATAGTTTTTCCTGTATACAGATTTTTTTTTTTTTTTTTTTTTTTTTGAGATGGAGTCTAGCTCTGTCGCCCAGGCTGGAGTGCAGTGGGGCATTCTTGGCTCACTGCAAGCTCTGCCTCCCGGGTTCACTCCATTCTCCTGCTTCAGCCTCCGGAGTAGCTGGGACTACAGGCGCCCGCCACCACACCCAGCTAATTTTTTTGTATTTTTTTAGTAGAGACGGATTCACCGTGTTAGCCAGGATGTTCTCGATCTCCTGACCTTGTGATCCACCCGCCTTGGCCTCCCAAAGTGCTGGGATTACAGGCTTGAGCCACCGCGCCCGGCCTGTATATAGATGTTTTATTAAAATATTTGCACAGTACTAACATCTGAGGCACCGTTTAACAAGATTTCCAGCAAGTTCAAGTAGATTATGGTTTCATTTTTAATAGTGACTTGACCTAAACTACAAAGCAAGAGTGTCAACACAGGAATTATACTTAAACCTCCTCATTTCTAATTCAAACTACTATCAATCTGGCCAAATAGCCATTACAAGATTCAGGGAAGGACTCTTAAGAACATATTTGGTGTCTTATACTGAACACATACCTAGATTCTACCATCATGGCTGATGCTTGATAAAGGAGCTGGGTCTGGTGGTCTGTGTTGAACGCTCGAGCATATGCTACATTATCCAGGACATCACTGCCAGAGAGACCATACCTATGAGAGAGGAGAGAACATTTTTAGGCTGCACACAGAACTCAGGCAGATGAGCAATTTGTTTCTGACACTTAAATTACCTGAATAGGTAGGGAAGAAGTGGTACTGACAGTAGTTTCAGGACCAAAGAATGTATTTCCCTTTCTATTAAGAAGTTCAGGCAAACTATAAGCAGAGAGATGATAGCACCCAACTACTCTGGAGCTCTACCTGGCAAGTCTTTGGGATAAATCAAATCCATTCTTTTTTTTTTTTCTTTGAGACGGAGTCTTGCTCTGTCACCCAGGCTGGAGTGCAGCGGCGTGATCTCATTGCAACCTCCACCTCCTGGGTTCACGCGATTCTCCTGCCTCAGCCTCCAAAGTAGCATGGAGCTATGCAGCACCATGCATAGCTAATATTTTTATTTTTAGTAGAGACAGGGTTTCACCATATTGATCAGGCTGGTCTTGACCTCCTGATCTCATAATCCGCCCACCTTGGCCTCCCAAAATACTGGGACTACAGGCGTGAGCCACCACGCCTGACCTAAATCAAACCTATTCTTTGAGGGCCAGGTGCGGTGGCTCACGCCTGTAATCCTAGCACTTTGGGATGCCGAGGCAGGTGGATCACCTGATGTCAGGAGTCGGAGACCAGCCTGGTCAACATGGCAAAACCCCATCTCTACTAAAAATACAAAAATTAGCCGGGCGTGGTGGCAGGCACCTGTAATCCCAGCTACTTGGGAGGCTGAGGCAGAAGAATCGCTTGAACCCGGGAGACAGAAGTTGCAGTGAGTCGAGATCATACCATTGCACACCAGACTGGGTGACAGAGTGAGATTCCATCTCAAAAAAAAAAAAAAAAAGAGAATGTTTACATAAAACCCAGTGTGCTATGATTATGTTCTAGGTTCACGATTCTGTCATGAGGATAAACAGATGGCATTAGGATAGAGTTACACCTTACGATCCTGACCAAATAAAACAAGAATGAAGAGATATAAGTTTTCTCTATTTAGATCATGAATGTATGGTGAAAAAAAAAAGATGTAACAGGTGTAAGTACTTTACTGCACAAGTCTTCTAGTTCTGCCTCAAGAAACACTGATATGGCTGGGCGCAGTGGCTCACACCTGTAATCCCAGCAATTTGGGAGGCTGATGTGGGCAGATCACTTGAGATCAGGAGTTTGAGACCAGCCTAGACTACATGGTGAAACACCATCTCTACTAAAAATACAAAATGTAGCCGGGTTGGTTGCAGGCGCCTGTAATCCCTGCTTCTCAGCTACTTGGGAGGCTGAGGCAGGAGAATCGCTTGAAACCGGGAGGCAGAGGTTGCAGTGAGCCGAGATCGCACCACTGCACTCCATCCTGGGTGACAGAGCAAGACTCTGTCTCAAAAACAAACAAACAAACGAACAAAAAAATACACTGATATAATCTACTATCAGAAAGGGAGAAAAGGCTGGGCACGGTGGCTCATGCTTGTAATCCCAGCACTCTGGGAGGCTGAGTGGGGAGGATTGCTTGAGCTCAGGAGTTTGAGACCAGCCTGGGCAACATGGCAAAACCCCATCTCTATTTATAAAATTAAAAAAAAATTAAAAATTAAAAAAGAAAGGGAGATTATCTATTTGCTATAAAAACAGAGAAGGTTTACCAGAATAAAGAGTTATCCTAGCTTTTCTCTCAGCGGCACTCACAAAAAAAACTATGGGAACCTCTGTGCTTAGGCTCCAGAAGCAGGACATGGAATTCCCACAGCTTGGGACAAGTTGGCTGGAAATACCATCCTCTTTTTTTTTTTTTTTTGAGACGGAGTCTCACTCTGTCGCCCAGGCTGGAGTGCAGTGGCACGATCTCGGCTCATTGCAAGTTCCGCCTCCCAGGTTCACGCCATTCTCCTGCCTCAGCCTCCCGAGTAGCTGGGACTACAGGCACCCGCTACCACGCCTGGCTAATTTTTTTATTTTTAGTAGAGACGGGGTTTCACCATGTTAGCCAGGATGGTCTCGATCTCCTGACCTTGTGATCCACCCGCCTCGGCCTCCCAAAGTGCTGGGATTACAGGCATGAGCCACCGCGCCCGGCCATAGCATCCTCTTTCATAGTGTTTCTTGAACTTCCTTAAAGATAATAACCTGGAACACCCGTTAGAAAACAAATTCCTGGGCAGGCTGTGGTGACTCATGCCTGTAATCTCAGCACCTTGGGAGGCCAAGGCAGGCGGATCACTTGAGGTCAGGAGTTCGAGACTAGCCTTGCCAACAAGGCGAAAACCCATCTCTACTTAAAAAATACAAAAATTAGATGGGTGTGGTGGTGCACGCATGTAATCCCAGGTACTTGGGAGGCTGAGGCAGGAGAATCGCTTGAACCCGAGAGGCGGAGGTTGCAGTGAGCCAATATCACGCCACTGTACTCCAGCCTGGCAGCCTGGGAGACAAGAGTGAAACTCCGTCTCAAAAAAAAAAAAAAAAAATTCCTGGGCCTAACCTAGACTCAATGAATTACAATTATCAGGGAAGAGCCTGGTAATCTGTATATTTAACAAATACCTCAGGTTATTCTTAACATATAAGTTTGAAAAACTAAGCTCATCTCAAAGGAGTTCTGTCATTCTTTCACAGTACTTCAGACTTTCAAGAAAGGCTAGCAATTGTGGTCATGGTTTTCAAACTTTAGCAAGCATCAGATTACCTGGAGAGCTTGCATTTTTTTTTGTTGTTTTGTTTTTTTGAGATGGAGTCTCACTCTGTCGCCCAGTCTGGAGTACAGTGGCACGATCCTGGCTCACTGCAACCTCCGCCTCCTGGGTTCAAGTGATTCTCCTGCCTCAGCCTCCCGAGTAGCTGGGATTACAGGTGCCCGCTAACATGCCCAGCTAGTTTTTGTATTTTTAGTAGAGCAGGGTTTCACCATGTTGCCACGCTGGTCTCAAACTCCTGACCTTAGGTGATCCACTCCCTTGGCCTCCCAAAGTGTTGGGATTACAGGCGTGAGCCACCGTGTCTGGCCCTGGAGAGCTTGTTAAAACAGGTTGCTAGCCCGAGTATCTGATTGTTTCTGATTCAGTAGATCTGAAGTCCCATCAGACAATTTGCATTTCTAACAAGTTCTCAAGTAATGATAATGCTGCTGTTCTGGGGACCATGTTCTGGGAACCCCAGAGCTACAGTAACATGCATGTGGGCTAATATTCTTCAACAGGGCACGGCAAAAATTAATCAGTAAGGGCTCTTTTGTTGTGAATGAAAGAGGGCTATTTTTATTAGCTTAAGGAGGCCTTGTGACATTCTCAGAAATATAATTCAATTATAAAATTTTTTTCTTGATAAAGAGACCTGATTAAAACAAATTAATGAAATTTCTATGTAAACATATTTTTCAGCGAGGCACAGTCACTTATGCCTGCCTGTAATCTCAGCACTTTGGGAGGCCGAGGAGGGAGAATCACTCTAGGCCAAGAGTTTGAGACCAGCCTGGGCAACACAGCAAGACCTCATCTCTACAAAAATAAGAAATAGGCCAGGCACGGTGGCTCACGCCTGTAATCCCAGCACTTTGGGAGGCCGAGGCGGGTGGATCATGAGGTCAGGAGATCGAGACCATCCTGGCTAACAAGGTGAAACCCCGTCTCTACTAAAAATACAAAAAATTAGCCGGGCGCGGTGGCGGGCGCCTGTAGTCCCAGCTACTGGGGAGGCTGAGGCAGGAGAATGGCGTGGACCCGGGAAGCGGAGCTTGCAGTGAGCCGAGATTGCGCCACTGCAGTCCGCAGTCCGGCCTGGGCGACAGAGCGAGACTCTGTCTCAAAAAAAAAAAAAAAAAAAAATTAAAAAAAATTAAAAAAAATTAAAATTAAAAAATACAAAAAAATTAGCCGGGTGTGGTGGCGGAAGCCTGTAGTCCCAGCTACTTGGGAGGTTGAGGCAGGAGAATGGCGTGAACCTGGGAGGTGGAGCTTGCGTGAGCCGAGATCGCACCACAGCACTCCAGCCTGGGCGACAGAGCGAGACTCTGTCTCAAAAAAAAAAAAAAAAAAAAAAAGAAATAAAAAAATTAGCTGGGCTTGGTGGTGTGTGCCTGTAATCCCAGCTACACTGAGGAGGGGGGACTGCTTGAGCCCTGGAGTTAGAAGCTGCAGTGAGCTATGATTGCACCATTGCATTCTAGTGGGGGCAGAGTGAGACCCGTCTCTAAAAAAACAAACAACAAAAAATTTTTTGTCAGCAAAATATTCATTAACAAATCCTGAATGCATTGCTCTACTGCTTGGGCATCCAATAGGTGACCAAATCAAAGTTCTTGTCCTCATAGCCTATATTCTACTAGGTCATCTATCCTATCTGAATACTTATTTATGTTACAAGAGAATGTTTTAGTGACTCTGTCCAAAAGCTAATCCTTAAACTACTAAAACAGTATACTTAAAAGTATGAATGCTGTACATGATTGCCAAAACAATTTTGAGAGGGAAGACACAATTAAGTATATACATCCTCAGAAAACTAAGATCAGACTGCAAAAGAGTAATTCCTTTTCCTTCATAGGAATTTTGTAGGCAGAGACAAAAAGCTGCAATTACCATTCCAACCTAATTTTATGCTTCAGTGGTATACATTCAATAGGTTGCAGTTCTCAAATTATAAGCTGGGAAAGATAATTCGATTATAAAACGAGAGAGAATATTCTCCTCATTTAGGCAGGTTCCAACTTGAGTCTGACATCTCAGCAGACAATTAAATTGTTTTATCACTGGGTTTCCATAAAATGTGTGGCAGGGACTAAATTACCACATTTGACCCTAGACAAAGGAAAAGAAGTGAAACAGTTTTGAGGATGTATTTAAAAACTTTATTTGATATAGAAACTTACAAACTCTTCACGAGCTTTACTCAGGTATAATTAACATACCTCAAAAATGACCTGCTGTAAGTATAAAATTCATTGAGAGCTTTAGTGAATTTGCAGAGTTGTATAACCATGAACACAATCCAATTTTAGAGCATTTTCATCACCCCTAAAAAATCTCTCAACTTCATTCACAGTTATTCCTCATTCCTATCGCCACTAACCACAATTCTTCTATCCCTTAGATTATCCCCTACTGGAAATTTCATATAAATGGAATCATACATTGTGTGGTCTTTTGTGTTTAACTTCTATCATTTAGCATATTTGAAACCTCATCCATGTTGTTAACACGTATCAGTACTTAAGTTCTTTTTTATTGCTGAAGAGTATCCCATTGTATGGAGAAAACAAATTTTGTTTATTCATTTACCAGCTGATGAACATTTTGGGCTATTATAATGATACTATAAACATTATCATACAAGTCTTTGTATAGACATGTTTTTATTTCTCTTGGGGTATATAACTAGAGTGAAATTGCTGCATCATATGGTAAATTTATATTTAACTTTTTAAGAAGCCACCTATTTTGCAAAGAGACCACCGTTGTATATTTTCACCAGCAGTATATGAGGGTTCCAGTTTCTCTACATCCTCCCAGTATTTGTTACCATCTTTTTTATTATAGCCTTCATAGTGGGTGTGAAGTGGTAGCTCACCATGGTTTCAATTTGCATTTTCCTGATGACTAATGATGTTGAGCATCTTTTTATGTGCTCATCAACCATTTGTATATCCTCTTTGGAGAGATGTCTATTCAAATCCTTTGCCCATTTAAACAACTGGGTTATCTTTTTATTGTTGGGTTATAATAGTTCTTTATATATTCTAGATACTAGACATTTATCAGATACGTAATTTGCAAATATTTTCTCACATTCTTTGGGTTATCTTTTCACTTGCTTCATAGTGTCCTTTGAAGCACAGAAGTTTTTAATTTTGATGAAGTGAAAACTAACTCTATTATCAATTTATTCTTTCATGGACTGTGTGTTTGGTGTTGTAGCTAATAAATCTTTGCCTACCCCAAGGTCACTAAGATTTTCTCCCATGTTCTCTCTGAAAAATTATAGTTAGGCTCTTATTTAGGACTATCACCCTTCTAAAAACAGTATAGTAAAACGTACACATATAACATTAAATTGAGCATTTTAACTATTTTAAAGTATACAGTTCAGGCACATTAAGGACATTCATGCTGCTGTGCAACCATCACCACTATTCATCTCCAGAGCTTTTTCATCATCCCAAACTGAAACTGTACCATTAAACAACAACTCCCCAGTCTCCCTACCCCCAGAAAACCACCATTCTACTTTCTGTCTCTTTGATTTTGAAGTACCACATGTTAGTGGAATCATACAGTTTTTGTCCTTTTTTTTTTTTTTTTCCCCGAGCCAGAGTTTCGCTCTTGTTGCCCAGGCTATAGTGCAATGGCATGATCTCGGCACACTGCAACCTCCACCTCCCAGGTTCAAGCGATTCTCCTGCCTCAGCCGCCAGAGTAGCTGGGATTACAGGTCTGTGCTACCACACCTGGCTAATTTTTTGTATTTTTAGTAGTGACGGGGATTCACCATGTTGGCCAGGCTGGTCTCAAACTCCTGACCTAAGGTGATCCACCTGCCTCGGCCTCCCAAAGTGCTGGGATTACAGGCATAAGCCACCACGCCTGGCCTCAGTTTTTGTCCTTTTGTGACTAAATTATTTCACTTAGCATAATGCCCTGAAGGTTAGTGGATGTTAATAGCATGTGTCAGAATTTCCTACCTTTTTATCTGCAGGACTAGGTCTAAGAAAAAAAATGTGTTTTCTTCCTTTTAAGGCTAAAATGATATTTCATTGTGTGTATGTACATTTTATCTATTCATTTGTCAATGGACATTGGGTTATTTCCAAAGCTATTGTGAGTAATGCTGCTATGAACATCGCTGTCCAAGTATCTGAGTTCCTGTTTTCAATTCTTTATATAGCTGGAAATGGAACTGCTGGATCACATGGTCATTCTGTGTTTAATTTTTTGAGGAATGACCACACTGTTATCTATTTTAATTTTTATGTGTGGTATATAGTAAGGGTCTAAAGTTATTTTGCATTTGGAAATTCATCTACATCAGCACTGTTTATTGAAAAGACCATTTTTTCCCTCATTAAATTGCCTTGTCAGCCAGGTTTAGTGGCTCACATCTGTAATCCTAACACTTTGGGAGGCTGAGTAGGGATGATCACCTGAGGCCAGGAGTTCGAGACCAGCCAGGGCAAGACAGCGAGACCACGTGTATTTGTAAAAAATTTTAAATTTTAAAAAAATTGCCTGTTACCTTTGTCAAAAATGAAGTGACCATAAAGGTTTCATTTCCGAACTCTCCATATTTATCCATATGCCATCACCATATTGTCTTGGTTATTGTAGCTTTATAATAAGAATTTAAACCAAAAAGTCTAAGACCTCAAATTTTCTTTTTTTTCCAGACATTTCGGCTATTCTGGGTCCTTTGCATTTCCACGTTATGTTCCATAAATATTATGATTACTTTGTAAATTTCTGCAAAAAAAGCTTGCTGGAATTTTGATAAGGATTGGGTTGAATCTATAGATAAAATCTGAGGAGAACTGCCTTTTCTTGAGATAGAGTCTCGCTTTGTCACCCAGGCTGGAGTGCAGTGGCGCGATCTCAGGTCACTGCAACTTCTGCCTCCCTGGTTCAAGTGATTCTCCTTCCTTACCCTCCCAAGTAGCTCAGACTACAGGCAGTGTGCCACCATGCCTGGCTAATTTTTGTATTTTTAGTAGAGACAGGGTTTTGCCATGCTGGCCAGACTGGTCTCGAACTCCTGACCTCAGGTGATCCGCCCACCTTGGCCTCCCAAAGTGTTGGGATTACAGGTGTGCACCACAGTACCTGGCCAAGAATGCCATTTTAGTAATCTTGAGTTTTCCCATCCATGATGTGGAATGCTTCTCTTTATGTAAATCTTCAATTTTTCTCAGTAATGTTTCAGAGTTTTTGCTGTACAAATCTTACATTTCTTTTGTTAAATTTATTCCTAAGTATTTTATTCTTTTTCTTGCTACTGTGAATGAAGTTTTTTTTTCAAGTTTTACTTTTGAATTGTTATTGTCTAGTATATACAAATACAATGGATTTTCGTATATTGATATTGTATTCTGCAACTTTGCTGAACAGTTATTTAGTTCTAGTTTTTCTTGTGGATGGATTCCTTAGGATTTTCTACATATGGCACCATGTCATTAGCAAATAGTTTTCCTTCTTCCATTCCAATCTGGATGCCGTTTATTTCATCTGCTTGTCTGACTACACTGTCTATAATCTTTGGTACATTGCTGAATGTAAATAGTGAAAGTGGGCATCCTTGCCTTGTTACTGACTTTAGGGGGAAAAGCATTCAGAATTTCACCATTAAGGCCGGGTGCAGTGGCTCACACCTGTAATCCCAGCACTTTTGGGAGGCCAAGGCAGGCAGATCACTTGAGGTCAGGTTTGAGACCAGCCTGGCCAACATGGAGAAACCCTGTCTCTTCTAAAAATACAAAAATTAGCCAGGCTAATTTTTGGCTGAGGCAGGAGAGTCACTTGAACCCAAGAGGTGGAAGTTGCAGTGAGCCGAAATAGCACCACTGCATTCCAGCCTGGGTAACAGAGCACCATTTAGTATGATGCTACCTGTAGGTTTTTCACAGATGCCCTTTAGCAGGGCCTCTGATACATGTTATATTCATTATTGAGAGTGAAATATTGAAGCCTGTATCCATTAATGAAAATGAAAAACTGGTCCCTTACTATTATTGATGAGTTGTCTATTTTCCCCTTTAATTCAGTTTTTGTTTCATGTTATTTTGGGGTTTTGTTGTTAGGCGTGTGTGTATCTTTACAACTGTTATATCTTCCTGACAAACTGACCTTTTAATTATAAAATGTTCCTCTTTGTATATAATGTGTTTGTCTTTTTTTTTTGAGACGGATTCTTGCTCTGTCGCCCAGGCTGGAGTGCAGTGGCGCGATCTCGGCTCACTGCAAGCTCCGCCTCCCGGGTTCAGGCCATTCTCCTGCCTCAGCCTCCCGAGTAGCTGGGACTACAGGCACCCACCAACACACCCGGCTAACTTTTTGTATTTTTAATAGAGACGAGGTTTCACTGTGTTAGCCAGGATGGTTTCGATCTCCTGACCTCGTGATCCACCCGCTTCAGCCTCCCAAAGTGTTGGGATTACAGGCGTGAGCCACAGCGCCCAGCCAATGTGTCTGCCTTAAAGTGTACTTTGTCTGATATTAGTATAGCCACGCAGTGTCTCTTATGGTTACTATTTGCATGCAATATCTTTCTCCATTCTTTTACTTTCTAAAGGGTTTCTCTGGAAGAAAACATATAGTTGGATTTTTTTTTTTTAAATCCAGTCTGACAGCAACTCTAAAGAATGCCTTTTTCTGGCCGGGTGCGGTGGCTCACACCTGTAATCCCAGCACTTTGGGAAGTCAAGGCAGGTGGATCACCTGAGGTCAGGAGTCTGAGACCAGCCTGGCCAATATGGTGAAACCCCATCTCTACTAAAAATACAAAAAATTAGCTGGGTGTGGTGGTGTGCGCCTGTAATCCCAGCTACTAGGAAGGCTGAGGTGGGAGAGTTGCTTGAACCCGGGAGGCAGAGGTTGCAGTGACCTGAGATCACGCCACCGCACTCTAGCCTGGGTGACAAGAGCGAGACTCCATCTGAAGAAAAAAAAAAAAAAGAATGCCTTTTTCTACTAAGGAAGTCATTCTTTTGAACCACACATACAACTTTGGGACGTGGGGTTATAGAAGAGACATTCTTCGGCCAAACTAACCCTGGCAATCACTACATTGATAAGTGTAGCCATAGTCTCTCTTATCTAAACCAGTAACCTACCTCTCAGCCACTGCCAGCAGCCGTTCTGGCCTAAAGGTACCCTCAGTGTCAATGTACATGGCCTTTCCTTCACCTCCACCCCGGTCAATGGGAAGCTATAGAGAACAAAAACAACAGTAGAAATGAACATTGTATTTCTGATACAGCTGACCAAGCTCCTCATGACATCTTTATAATTCCTCCAAGGCAAAGGGAAAAAAACATTTAAAAATGACAGTGGTAGGAAGGAGGCATTCCCTTCTGATATTAATAGAAATACAGCTAGAAAAATATGTAAAGCTGATTGTGTCTCAGTACATACAGCTAGTCCTGTCAGAACTGGACTGCTTAGAAATATAGCCCAAAGTAGGTAATAAAATTCTTTTCTTCTTTTTTTTTTTTTTCTTGCGATAGTCTCACTGTTGCCCAGGCTGGAGTGCAGTGGCGTTATCTCGGTTCACTGCAACCTCCACCTCCTGGGTTCAAGCAACTCTCCTGCCTCAGCCTCCTGAGTTGTTGAGATTAAAGGTCCATGCCACCACGCCCAGCTAATTTTTGTATTTTTAGTAGAAACAGGGTTTCACCAAGTTGGCTAGGCTGGTCTTGAACTCCTGACCTCAGGTGATCTGCCTGCCTTGGCCTCCCAAAGTGTTGGGATTATAGGCACGAGCCACTGCACCTGGCCTTTTTTTGTTTTGGAGACAGGGTCTCACTCCGCCGCCCAGGCTGGAGTGCAGTGGTGCAATCTTGGCTCACTGCAACCTCTGCCTTCCGGGCTCTGGAGATCCTCCCATCTCACCTCCCAAATAGCTGAGACCATAGGTGTGCACCACCACACCCGATTAAATTTTTTTATAGATAGGGTTTTGCCACATTGCCCAGGCTGGTCTTGAACTCCTGGACTCAAGTGATCTGCCCGCCTCGGCCTCTTAAAGTGCTGGGATTACAGGCGTGAGCCACCACACCTGGCCAGTAATAAAATTCTAGAACTGCATACCAACACAAGACTGATCAATTCAAAAGTACAGAAACTTGGAAGACCATTTACCTTAGCTTTAATCAATAATGGGCCATGATCCAAAGCCCAGTTAATTTTAGCATGTCTATATCAAACTTATACTTCACTTTATTGAGCAGTTCATTCTTTAGGGGTACTAAAGGGACTAGTCAATGCCCTCGGAGTGTCTATAGCAAATTTCGAGTGTGAGCAAGAAAGAAGAAAAAAACATATTTACTCCAATAGTATAAACAAGATGTTTAAAATGAACAATTGGAGAAAACAGAAAAATAAGTAGAAAGAATTTTAAAGAGAAAACAAAAAGGAAAGAAAAGAGAAGTAAATGAAATGCCATGAAAACTGTCTTATGAGCCACTCAAGGAAATCTCTGCTTTAGACTACCCATTCCATACCAGATACCTTTGAATTTTTCTACAAAGTTTAAGTGAATGATGCTAAAGGGTAATTTCTACTCTAGAAATCTACTTTGGAGTCATAATTCCCATTTAAATTATGAGGAAAATCCTTTAGAACATTTTATGTTAAAGGCCTAGGAGAACCAAATTTTTTCTTTCTTTTTTTTCTGAGACGGAGTTTCGCTCTTGTTGCCCAGGCTGGAGTGCAATGGCATGATCTTGCCTCACCACAACCTCTGCCTCCCGGGTTCAAGGGATTCTCCTCCCTCAGCCTCCCAAGTAGCTGGGATTTCAGGCATGCACCACCACGCCCGGCTAATTTTGCATTTTTTAGTAAAAATGGGGTTTCTCCACGTTGGTCAGGCTGGTCTTTAACTCCTGACCTAAGGTGATTCACCCACCTTGGCCTCCCAAAGTGCTGGGAGGCGTGAGCCACTGCACCCAGCCCAAATTTTCTTTCTTATCTTTGAGAATTTTTTTTTGAAATTACAAAACAACTATATGCTTATATTAAAAATCTAAACAATATAAAAGTAGAGGGCCGGAGGCCAGGCGCAGTGGCTAACGCCTGTAATCCCAGCACTTTGGGAGGCCGAAGCAGGTGGATCACCTGAGGTCAGGAGACCGAGACCATCCTGGCTAACATGGTAAAACCTTGTCTCTACTAAAAATACAAAAAATTAGCCGGGCGTGGTGGCGGCCACCTGTAGTCCCAACTACTTGGGAGGCTGAGGCAGGAGAATGGCGTGAACCTGGGAGGCAGAGCTTGCAGTGAGCCGAGATCGTGCCACTACACTCCAGCCTGGGTGACAGAGCGAGATTCCATCTCAAAAAAAAAAAAAAAAAAAAAGAAGTAGAGAGGCCAGGCATGGGGGCTCACACCTGTAATCCCAGCGAGTGGATCACCTGAGGTCAGGAGTTCGAGACCAGCCTGGCCAAAATGGTGAAACCCTGTCTCTACTAAAAATACAAAAATTAGTGGGGCGTGGTGGTGCACACCTGTAATCCCAGCTACTCGGGAGGCTGGGGCACAAGAATCACTTGAACCTGGGAGGCGGAGGGTGCAGTGAGCGATATCATGCCACTGCACTCCAGTTTGGGTGACAGAGTGAGACTTTGTCTAAAAAAAAAAAGAGGAAGTGGCGGAGAAAAAACTGAAAGCTCTTCACCACTCTCCATCTCCCAGAAATAATTTCCCAGATTATTTTCTATGCATTTTCATATACTTCTTTTATATAAGTGGTTCTTCCACTTACTATGTGACTGAGAATATTGTTTCCTTTTCTGTAAAATGTAAATAAAACCGACCTTATGGGATTGTTTTAAAAACTAAATAAAATAATTCATGTAAAGCGTTTAGCACGGTACACTCTGAAGACATGATTTTCCCAACCTTTAGGGCACTGACTTTAGTGTATACAGTTACGGAAGGCTTTGTTAATTTGGAAGGGAAAAATTACGTTACTATTTGGCAGATAAAATCTCTCACATCATGGGAATCCATGGAAGGAGCAAAGGACACATATACAACAAAAGAGGGTCATGCCTAAAGAAAGACTTGGAACCAGTGGCCAAGAGGACAGAGAGCAGAATCTGCCTCAGTTTCTTGGAGAGGAGGAAATATTAACACTCTGGGGACTAAGTCCCCAGGAAATAAGATGAACGAAGTTCTCCTTTCTCCTACCTCCAGGTAATATTAAGTGCTAACATGACAGGGGATTCTTTTCCAATTGAATAGACTTCCTTGGCAAAGGAAAGGCCACAGATGATTGGGAATAGGTAGGTAGACTGACAACAGGATAGTGGACAAGCTCCCAGGGTAAGATCATGGGGATGGATTGCATGCTCTGTTCTCCAGCTTATTTGGCCCTTTCTACCTTGCCCTCCCAGTGCCATCATAGCCATCTTCTGTTACTGGATTGGGATACCATCAGGTTAGCTCTTCTTAATAACTGCTTAGGAGCATAATTTAACACTTCTCATTTTATAGTGATGCAGTATGTTTCTAACTTTTACCATTTTAATTATGCTTTGGTATAAATTATTTGTACATTTATCTTTGCATATATGTGAAATGTTCTGTAAGACAAATTTTCTGTCAAAGGGTATGTGATTTTTTTGTTTTGTGGTTTTTTGGTTTTTGGTTTTTTTTTGAGACAGAATCTTACTCTGTTGCCCAGGCTGGAGTGCAGTGGCACGATCTCAGCTCACTGCAACCTCCACTTCCCAGGTTCAAGCAATTCTCTGCCTCAGCCTCCCAAGTAGCTGGGATTACAGGCGCCCACCCCCACGCCTGGCTAATTTTTGTATTTTTAGTAGAGACAGGGTTGCACCATCTTGGCCAGGCTGTTCTTGAACTCCTGACCTTGTGATCCATCCACCTCAGCCTCCCAAAGTGCTGGGATTACAGGCGTGAGCCACCATGCCCGCATGGGCATGTGCTTTTAAAACTGGTACTTATGTTAAATTGTCTTCTCAGAACTGTTTTTATTTTTTAATTGAAATGGGATCTCGCCATATTCCCCAGTCTTGTCTGGAACTCCTGGGTTCAAGCAATCCTCCGGCCTCAGCCTCCCAAAGTGCTGGAATTACAAGCATGAGCCACCATACCCGGCCCAGAATTTTAAAACTACTGCAGTACTTTGAACAAGCATGGGCTAATTCATTTTGTAACCTAACTGTAGCTCTCAACTTTATGACTTTTCTATTAGAGAGAGACCTAACATATAATGGGGTTTTACTTCATTAAATTGAGAAAACAAATGAGAGTAGATAATATTTAGATTTAAGTAATAGTCTAACATCCTCTCTATATCCCTGGTTCCAGCTCTTAGGCTGATGAAATGTAATCTTTTCTATTATTAATTAATTAGCATTCTTTTTCTTTAAAAAAAGTCAACGATCTATATAGTTGTTCAGCCATCTGTAAATGTTATTTTAACAGGCTATATTTACTTGAGAATTTTGCTTTAGTTTATTGTTGACAGACATTATCTGACTACTTAAACATTCTCAGATTAGGATTCTATTTGTACAACTTTGGAGTGTCAGCATGCTATGCTGAGTTGCCATGGCAACTATAGATATTATGTACTGTAGTCTAAATACTTATTCTACATAAGTCCCTGTCAAAACATGGGAAAACATTTCTATTTAAAAAGGTCACATATCATGTCAAATGACGGATGTAAGAGTGACATTTTAAACAGCCCTAATTCCCTTTAGCTATCAAATTTCTAATGGAGCTCACGCAATAGCTATAGCTTCTATAACTTACTCTTCCTCTTCTCAATGTTTCCTCCCTTATTATCATAAAAGGTCTCCTAAGCATCCTCCTCCACCCCTCCCCCTCAGCTCTTTCTTCCTAATGATTATGAGGATCTGGGTGCAGAGGCATTCACCTGTAATCCCAGCTATGTGGGAGGCTGAGGTTGGAGGATTGCTTGCGCTCAGGAGTTCAAGAACAGCCGGTGCAACATAGTGAGACCCAATCTCAAAAAAAAAAAAAAAAAAGAATTTATTTCTGAGGAGAGTTAACAATGGATTAGGTCTACTCGATACTGACATGCTAGCTTGGCTGTCTCATAAGACATATGGCAGCCAGCCAGGCACGGTGGCTCACACCTGTAATCCCAGCATTTTGAGAGACCAAGGTGGGCGGATCACAAGGTCAGGAGATCGAGACCATCCTGGCTAATACGGTGAAAACCTGTCTCTACTAAAAATACAAAAAATTAGCCAGGCGTGGTGGCGGGCGCCTGTAGTCCCAGCTACTCGGGAGGCTGAGGCAGGAAAATGGCGTGAACCCAGGAGGCGGAGCTTGCAGTGAGCAGAGATGGCACCACTGCACTCCAGCCCAGGCGACAGAATGAGACTCCGCCTCAAAAAAAAAAAAAAAAATTGTAACATTTTGGTCTGCAAAGAAAATATCAGTGGAGCAATAAACAATTAAAATGACAACAAAAAGCCGGGCATGGTGGCTCACACCTGTAATCCCAGCACTTTGGGAGGCTGAGGCGGGTGGATCACCTGAGGTCAGGAGTTCAAGACCAGCCTGGCCAACACAGCAAGACCTTGTCTCTACTAAAAATACAAAAAATTAGCTGTGTTGGGTGGCAGGCACCTGTAATCCCAGTTTGGGAGGCTGAGGCTGGAGAACTGCTTGAACCCAGGAGATGGAGGTTGCAGTGAGCCAAGATTGCGCCACTGCACTCCTGCCTAGGCGACAGAGACTCCGTCTCAAATAAAAAAAAAAAAAAAAAGGAAAATAAGAAAAATGGGAGGCTATCAAGCTAGGTTACTTGATGTTAAATTTAAATAAACTTGGGCCAGGCACGGTGGCTCACTCCTGTAATCCCAGCACTTTGGGAGGCCAAGGCGGGCAGATTAACTTGAGGTCAGGAGTTTGAGACCAGCCTGGCCAACATGGTGAAACCTCGTCTCTACTAAAAATACAAAAATTAGCTGGACGTGGTGGCCGTCATGCCTGTAATCCCAGCTATTCGGGAGGCTGAGGCAGGAGAATGGCTTGAACCTGGGAGGCAGAGGTTGCAGCAAGCCAAGATCACACCACTGCACTACAGCCTGGGCAACAGAGCAAGACTCTTTCTCAAAAAAAAAAAAAAAAAAAGAAAAGAAAAGAAAAAAAAACTCAACAGAGTTGAGTCCCGAGGATAGAAAAACACTAGGAAGCCTCTTCTGTAACACTGATATAAGGCAGATTTTGTTTCAGTTGTTTTGATCTCCAACAGTAAGTTGTGCCCATGGCAGAAGTGGGTATAATCTATCTAGATTAAAATAATGCCATGTTTTTCAAAATAACTAAAATTATAATAAAGCTTCAAAAGATTATAACAGAAGAGTTGGTCCATGGGCATGGGCCAGGTTCAAGGATACTTTGTGGACTGGCCACTTATGCAGCACATCCTTAAAGCCAGAGAACATTAAGACTCACTTAGACAAGGAAAAACGGCTCCCCATTACACTGCCTGAAGTTGCAGAAAAGATGAAAGTTTGTTAGCTTTCTCTTCTATATCCTACTCCCTTCCTTTCTCATGGATCTTTCGTTTCCAGATTCCATTTTTACTTCTCTGTGTGACTTAGTTCCACATCTCTCAATACAGCTAGAAATTTTCACTCGGGGTTTGTCACCTCAAACCTGTCATCTCTAAACCTGTACTCATGTTTCCAACAAAACTGTCTTCCCCTCTCAAACACTTTTTAGGTTTACTAAGTTACTGTAATACATTGTTGGGCTGAGGTGTATTTTTTATTGTCAGTCATCAAGCGCTGCCCTTTACAACATCTTTTCCCTACTTCTCTTTATTGTCACTATCTTAGTTTCCTGACCAGCTAATGCTTACTCTTCATAAAATCAAGTTTAAACTTCTTAACCTTCTGAAATAGGATCTTAATTTTTTTTTTTTTTTTGAGATGGAGACAAAATCTTGCTCTGTTGCCCAGGCTGGAGAGCAGTGGTACAATCTTGGCTCATGGCAACCTTGGCCTCCTGGGCTCAAGCGATTCTCCCGCCTCCACCTCCCAAGTAGCTGCCACTACAGGCACAGCCCACGTCTGGCTAATTTTTATATTATTTGTAGAGATAGGGTCTTGCCATGTTGCCCAGGCTGGTCTCAAACTCCTGAGCTCAAGCGATCCACCCACCGTGGCCTCCCAAAGTGCTGGGATTACAGGTGTGAGCTATCATGCCCAGTTTGATGTATCTTTTTAAGGGTCATCTCCTACAACTTTTCTACACAAACTCTAAACCAGTTAAATGACCTTGCTTATTTATTGTCTTTTCCTTCTAACTTATGCCTTCCCATCCTCTGTTCATCCCATTCTATACAGTTAAATGCTTTTAATTTCCTTCCTTCCCAAATTTAGCATTCTTCAGAAGTCTGGTCCAAAATCTTTTCTCCATAAAGTATTCCATGATCACTCTAGGGTGAAATTACCCCTTTCTATTCCTTAAACAGCTAACCCATTTCCTCTGTGACATTCATTTTATATATCAGGCATGTTTTTGGACATCTATTATCTCCACTCATTCAAGCATTTATTGTTTACTGAGAGCCAAACACTGCCTTAGGCACTAGCAATACAGCAGAAAACATGCAGTGGCACGATCCCAGTCACTGGAGCCTCGACCTCTTGGGCTCAAGAGATTCTACCACCTCAGCCTCCTGAGTAGCTAGGACCACAGGTACACATCATCATGCTGGGCTAATATTTTTAATTGTCTGTTTTTGTTTGTTTGTTTTTAGAAATGGCATCTCAGAAACAGGGTCTCACTATGTTGCCCAGGCTGGTCTCAAATTCCTGGTCTCAAGCAATCCTCCCACTTTGGCTTCCCAAAGTACTGGGATTACAGGCATGAAACACCATGCTGGCCTCTTATGAAGTTTTAAGAACATCATCTCTGAAGTCTGGTTTGAGTCCAGTATTTGCTACTTAAATACAATGTATTGGGCAATTATTTAACCTACTGTGTCTATTTCCAAATCTTCCCACCAATAGGAGCATAAGTAAAGGAAAAAGAAACTGAAGGGGTCCAGGGAAGGTTTTTTCCTAATGGAGGAGACACTAGACATATTTGTATACTGATGAGGATAATCTCATAGAGAGGTACAAGAGAAAATGGAAGGAGTAGAGTCCTTGAGAAGGTGGCAGGAGATGGTAACCAAATCATATTGATAGAATGGGCCTTTGAGAAGAAAAGGGACACTTTCTCAATTGTAACCTGAGATAAGAAAAGATGGGCACAAATGTAGATTTGATGCAAAGAGCAGGTTAGGTTTTTGGCTAAGAATGAGAGTTGAAGAGGAGCATAAAGTTCTGATAACAGAAGACGAAGTATGAGATATGAGATGCCTGTCTAACTCAGTGGGAAAGTACACCTAAATGGAGAAAGTAGACTGCCAAGAAGTTTTGAATGTTAATCTAAAGTTTTGTCATCTTGAATTTTTTTCCTTTTTTCATTCTTTTTTTTTTTTTTTTTTTTTTTGAGACAGAGTCTCGCTTCTTTGACCAGGCTGGAATGCAATGGTGCGATCTCAGCTCCCTGCAACCTCTGCCCCCCGGGTTCAAGCGATTCTCCTGCCTCAGTCTCCCAAGTAACTGGGATTACAGGCACGTGCCAACACGCCCAGCTAATTTTTGTATTTTTAGTAGAGACAGGGTTTCACCATGTTGGCCAGGCTGGTCTTGAACTCCTGATCTTTTTTTTTTCTTCTTCTTTTTTTTTTTTTTTTTTTTTTTTTTTTTGAGACAGAGTCTCGCTCTGTCGCCCAGGCTGGAGTGCAGTGGCGCAATCTCGGCTCACTGCAAGCTGTGCCTCCCGGGTTCACGCCATTCTCCTGCCTCAGCCTCCCAAGTAGCTGGGACTACAGGCACCCGCCACCACGCCCAACTAATTTTTTGTATTTTTAGTAGAGATGGGGTTTCACTGTGTTAGCCAGGATGGTCTCAATCTCCTGACCTTGTGATCCGCCCACCTCGGCCTCCCAAAGTGCTGGGATTACAGGCGTGAGTCACCGCGCCCAGCCAAACTCTTGATCTCAAGTGATCCACCCGCCTCGGCCTCCCAAAGTACTGGGATTACAGGCGTGAGCCACCGTGCCTGGCCTGTCATCTTGAATTTAAAGTGAAGTCAGTCAGCTGTATGATACGATTTTTCTCCAGTATAATCAGCTATTTGGGTACAGACACTGAGAAGATAGATGAGTTTCATCTAAGGTTGGCATCTCTTCAAGTGGGTATGTAAACTGAGGCTATCTGCAAGAGAATTACTTTAATGATGAATCATAAAATCTAGACTAATGAAGAAGATGGAGGGCTGGGCGCAGTGGCTTACGCCTATAATTCCAGCACTTGGGAGGCCAAGGTGGGTGGATCACTTGAGATCAGGAGTTCAAGAGGAGCCTGGCCAACATGGTGAAACCCCCTCTCTACTAAAAACACAAAAATTAGCCGGGCATGCTGGTGGGCGCCTGTAATCCCAGGTACTCGGGAGGTTGATGAAGGAGAATCACTTGAACCAGAGAGGAGGTTGCAGTGAGCTGAGATCACACCACTGTACTTCAGCCTGGGCGACACAGCGAGATTCTGCCTCAAAAAAAAAAAAAAAAAAAAAAAGTAGCAAGTAAAGCCAGGAAAAGGCCTGGTAGCAAAAGTATTTGAAATTAACGTATCTGATAGGAGATCAATGATTTGGAAGTTTCTATGACATGGAAGGATTTTGAAGTAGGAGTCTATCTTCTAACTATTAACAGCTATAAGATTCTTGAGGACAGAGAAAGTACCTTTTATGGCCATCCTAACAGATGCTTGCAAATAGCAGGAATGAAGTAATGCTTGCTTATTTGATTAGCTATAGCCCCAACAGCTCACCTGGCAGGTGACAGCTAGCGTATGACAGATCTGGGTCTTCCCAGTTCGGAATTCTCCAAACATTTCTGTGATAGATCCAGTCTCAATTCCACCTAAAAAAGCGATAAGAAATAACTCTTAGCATAATACAAACATGTAGAAACTGTAGTCATAGAAATGTTCTTGGAGCTCATCAGAAAGATGTTTATGTAAGTTAAAAATTCAATTTCCAACAAGCGATAATTTTTCACAAATGTATTTTGAGGCTAGCCGTGGTGGCTCATGCCTGTAATCCCAGCACTTTAGGAAGCTTAGGTGGGTGGATTGCTTGAGTTCAGGAGTTCGAGACCAGCCTGGGCAACATGGTGAAGCCCTGTCTCTACAAAAATTAGCCGGGCATGGTGGCGGATGCCTGTAGTACCAGCTACTCAGGAGCTAAGGTGAGAGGATCACTTGAGCCTGGGAGGCAGAAGTTGCAGTGAGCCAAAATCGTGCCAGTGCACTCTAGCCTGGGTGACACAGTGAGACCCTGTTTCAAAACAAACAAACAAACAAACAAATAAACCAAAAGTATTTTGAAATAATTAGATTTATAGATAGCTGCAAATAAGGCCAGGTGCGGTGGCTCACACCTGTAATCCCAGCACTTTAGGGGGCCGAGGCGGGCTGATCACCTGAGGTCAGGAGCTCGAGACCAGCCTGGCCAACATGGTGAAACCTCATGTCTACTAAAAATACAAAACTTAGCTGGAACTGGTGATGGGCACCTGTAATCCCAGCTACTAGCAGGCTGAAGCAGGAGAATCACTTGAACCTGGGAGGCGGAGGCTGCAGCAAGCCGAGATCACGCCACTGCACTCCAGCCTGGGTGACAAAGTGAGACTCCTCAAAAAAAAAAAAAAAAAAGCTGGGCACAATATGGTGAAACCCTGTCTCTACTAAAAATACAAAAATTAGCTGGGCATGGTGGTGCATGCCTGTAGTCCCAGCTACTCGGGAGGCGGAGGCAGAAGAATAGCTTGAACCTGGGGGCGGAAGTGGCAGTGAGCCAAGATCATGCCACTGCACTCCAGCCGGGGTGACATAGCAAGACCCCATCTCAAAAAAAAAAAAAAAAAAAAAAGCTGGGCACAGTGGCTCATGCCTGTAATCCCAGCACTTTGGGAGGCCGAGGTGGATGGATCAGGAGGTCAGGACTTTGAGACCAGCCTGGCCAAGACGGTGAAATCCCGTCTCTACTAAAAATACAAAAATTAGCCAGGCACGGTGGCGGGTGCCTGTCATTGCAGCTACTCAGGAGACTGAGGCAGGAGAACTGCTCAAACCTGGGAGTCAGTGGTTGCAATGAGCCGAGATTGTGCCACTGCATTCTAGCCTGGGCAACAGAGCAAGACTCTGTCTTTAAAAAACAAACAAACAAACCAACAACAACAAAAAAAAACATACGAAATTTCTATGCACCTAGCCTTCTGCAGTGTTAACCTCTTGCATAATGATAGTATAGCACTGATATTAGAAAACTGACATTGGGGGCCAGGCATGATGGCTCACGCCTGTAAGCCCAGCACTTTGGGAGGCTGAGGCGGGTAGATCATCTGAGGTCAGGAGTTCGAGACCAACCTAGCCAACGTGGTGAAACCTCATCTCTACTAAAAATACAAAAATTAGCTGGGCATGGTGGCACTTGCCTGTAGTCCCAGCTACTTGGGAGGCTGAGGCAGGAGAATCACTTGAACCCAGGAGGCGGAGGTTGCAGTGAGCTGAGATTATGCCACTGCACTCCAGCCTGGGTAACAGAGTGAGACTCTGTCTCAAAAAAAAGGGAAAGAAAACTGACATTGGGCCAGGCAAGGTGGCTCAAGCCTATAATCCCAGCACTTTGGGAGGCTGAGGCAGGAGGATGGCTTGAGCTCAGGATTTTGAGACCAGCCTGGGCAACATAATGAGTGATGCCCCGACTCAAAAAAAAAAAAAAAAAAAAAAAAAATTAGCCAGGTGGTAAATGATCATAGTCCTAGCTTGGGGAGACTGAGGCTAGAAGATCACTTGAGCCCAGGAAGCAGAGGTTGCAGTGAGCTGAGACCATGCCACTGCACTCCAGCCTGGGTGACAGAGTGAGACCCTGTCTCGAAAAATAAATAATAAGGTCAAAAGCTTTATAGTTTTCCCTGAAGTCCTGAAGATTAGTGTGTACACAATGAGTAGTATTCAAACATGGAATGTTTTAACCAGTCATCAGGTTTTCAACCCTGTGGTAGAGTAGGTTATAATTACAGTTACCTCCTTAAGCAAAAGGAGCTTACTCTCTTAACACAATATTAAATGGAGACTAAATTATTTAATTTGCAGATAAGTTTAGTATTTTATAAATAAGGTCCTACCTTGCAGCAGTCTTACCTCTTCAATGTGGATACTTCCTTTATCTCTCTTTGTTTTTGAGACAGAGTTTTGCTCGTCACCCAGGCTGGAGTGCAGTGGCACAATCTTGGCTCACAGCAACCTCCGTCTTCCGGGTTCAAGTGATTCTCCTGCCTCTGCCTCCCGAGTAGGCATGTGCACCTACAGGGATTACAGGCATGTGCCACCATGCCCAACTAATTTTGTATTTTTAATAGGTTTCTCCATGTTGGCTGGGCTGGTCTCGAACTCCCAGCCTCAGGTGATCTGCCCACCTCAGCCTCCCAAAGTGCTGAGATTACAGGCATAAGCCACTGCACCTGGCCTTCCTCTATCTCTTTATCATTATCTAACAAGGAAATGCTACACAAATATTTCAGTTTTGTTTTATAACCTGGAAGCTTTCCTAACTAGAGTTCACAACACAGGATAAAGGATTACTACACCTTGAAGTAGTTTGTCAAGCTCTTTGGAGCCAGTAGTAATCTGTATGATCTCTGACCGCCTTTGGTGGAATTCAGTTGCAGTGGTGAAACCCATTGGAACTAATTTAGCTGCCTCAGCCTGGGAAAAATAAGAAATATTAAATCAACAAAATAATATTCCTTACCACAGTGATCTTGATGGCAAAAAAATATATATAAAGAAAAAAGAAATATTAGTAAAACAAGGTGTGCAATGGGAAGAGAAAATATCAAATAAAATTACCAGGATGATTTCTCTTTAGAAAGTCATAAAAAAGGATAATCTAATTCAGAGATTCCATGAAGATCAATTTTTAAATTGCCAATTCAAGTTAATATATTAATATAGTTTTAAAAACTATTATAGATCCGGCCGGGTGCGATGGCTCACGCCTGTAATCCCAGCACTTTGGAAGGCCAAGGCAGGCGGATCACAACGTCAGGAGATCGAGACCATCCTGGCTAACATGGTGAAACCCCATCTCTACTAAAAAAATACAAAAAATTAGTCGGGCGTGGTGGCGGGTGCCTGAAGTCCCAGCTACTTGGTAGGCTGAGGCAGGAGAAAGGCGTGAACCCGGGAGGCGGAGCTTGCAGTGAGCCGAGATCGCGCCACTGTACTCCAGCCTGGGGGACAGAGCGAGACTCTGTCTCAAAAAACAAAACAAAACAAAACAAAAAACTATTAGAGATCCGTACATATGTGTTTTGCCCAATTTATGACAAAAATGACAATACAGTACACCTTCATTTCCTGCTCCATCAACCGCAGACTGTATCCCTTAACTTCCTACTTTGTAAAAATGAGGACATTTGCCCTTCAATCTTTTCTCTCTCCATGGCTACTTCCCCACCTCTATCAGCTGTACCTTTTCTTTCATATTGTCTGGCTGAGAACATTCACATTCTATTTTGTAATTACAGATAAGTGTTCTGTAATAGCACTATGGGTTGATTCTAAAATTGAAAAGTAAGTGCATTCACAAATATGCAAAAATAAAGCAACACACTCCTAAATAAGCAACAAGTCAAAGAAGAAATGACAAGGGAAATCAGAAAATGTTTTTGCAATGAATGAAAACGAAGATATACCAAAACGTATGGGCTCCAAGAAAAGCAGTGCTTAGAGAGAAATTCATAGCTATAAACAGCTATATTAGAAAAGAAGGCTGGGTGTGGTGAATCACACCTGTAATCCCAGCACTTTGGGAGGCTGAGGTGGGAGGACTGCTGGAAGCCAGGAGTTTGAGACCAGCCTGAGTAACAAAGCAGCACCCTGGCTCTAAAAATGTTTTAAAATTAGCAGGGTGGCTGGGTGTGGTGGCTCACCTCTGTAATCTCAGAACTTTGGGAGGCTGAGGTGGGCAGATCACAAGGTCAGGAGTTCAAGACCAGCCTGACCAACATGGTGAAACTTCCTCTCTACTAAAAATACAAAAATTAGCCGGGCGTGGTGGCACGCGCCTGTAGTCCCAGCTACTCGGGAGGCTGAGGTGGAAGAATCACTTGAATCTGGGAGGCGGAGGTTGCAGTGAGCTGAATTTGCACCACTGCACTCCAGCCTGAGAGACACAGCGAGATTCCATCTCAAAAAAAAAAAAAAAAATTAGTAGGGCATGGCTGGGCATGGTGGCTCATGCCTGAATCCCAGCACTTTGGTAGGGTGAGGTGGGCAGATCACGAAGTCAGGAGTTCAAGACCAGCCTGCCCAATATGGTGAAACCCCATTTCTACTAAAAATACAAAAAATAGCTGGGCGTGGTGGCGTGCGCCTGTAGTCCCAACTACTCAGGAGGCTGAAACAGGAGAACTGCTTGAACCCGGGCGGCGGAGGTTGCAGTGAGCCGAGATCACACCACCGCACTCCAGCCTGGGCAAGAGAGTGAGACTGCATCAGAAAAAAAAAAAAAAAAGGCCTGGCGCGGTGGCTCACGACTGTAATCCCAGCACTTTGGGAGGCTGAGGCAGGCAGATCATGAGGTCAGGAGATCAAGACCATCCTGGCTAACACGGTGAAACCCTGTCTCTACTAAAAATTAGCTGGGCATGGCGGCACGTGCCTGTAATCCCAGCCACTCAGGAGGCTGAGGCAGGAGAATCGCTTGAACCCAAGAGGCAGAGGTTGCAGTGAGCAGAGATCACGCCACTGCACTCCAGCCTGGGCACAGAGGGAGACTCCGTCTCAAAAATAAAATAAAATAAAATAAATAGCAGGGCATGGTGGGGCGTGCCTGTGGTCCTAGTTACCTGGGAGGCTGAGGCAGAAGGTTTGTTTGAGCCAGGAGTTGGAGGCTGCAGTGAGCTATGATCACACCACTGCACTCCAACGTAAGTGACAGAACAAGACTCTGCCTCTAAAAATAAAAAAGATAAATCATAACCTAACCTTCCAAAGAAAAGCAAACAAAACAAAGCAAGCAGAAAGATGGAAATAATACAGGTTAGGGTAGAAACTATTAAGTAGAGGGCAGAATAATAGAGAAAAATCAATGAAACCAAAAGCTGGTTCTTTGAAAATATCAACAAAATTGACAAACTTTTAGCTGCATTGCCCGAGAAAAAAAGAGAAAAGACTCAAATTACTAAAATCAAGAATGAAAGAGGGGACATTACTACTGACTTTATGTAAATAAAAAGTAGTATAAGGAAACCCTGTGAGCATCTCTATGTCAACAAGTTAGGTAACTTAGATGAAATAAGCAAATTCTTAGAAAGATAAACTACCAAAACTCACTCAAGAAGAAAATCTAAATAGACCCATAGAAAGTAAAAAGATTAAACTTTCATAATGTTTAAATTTCCCATGAAGAAAAAAAATCAACAAATAGCTGAAAAATCAATGAAAGTTTATTCTCTAAACTTTTCTATATACTTAATATTTCATTTAAAAATTCATTGCACGGCCAGGTGCAGTGGCTCACGCCTGTAATCCCAGCACTTTGGGATACTGAGATGGGCGGATTACCTGAGGCCAGGATTTTGAGACCAGCCTGGCCAATTCATATACTCACTGTCATTTCAGTGCAACAAACATGTACTAGACACTTACTTCGTATGAAACATAGTCCCAGGGACTCTGAAGGATATGGAGAAAAAGAAGAGCTGATTCCTGCCTCCACAGAGCTTATAACTTAATCAGAAAGATAAACTATACAAAATAACTATAGTACAAGTAGATGTGATGGGTAATATGAGAAGTACTAACAAGCCATGGGAGCTCAAGGAATATAGACTACTTCCTTTGGTGAAAAACAGGAGAATGTATTAGCAAAGACAAAACTGGTAGAAATGGTCAGGCTAGTGGCATGTGCCTATAGTCCCAGCTACTCAGCAGGCTGAGAATTCCTTGAGCCCAGGAGTTTGAAGCTGAAGCTGCAGTGAGCTTTGATCATGCCACTGCACTCCAGCCTGGGCAACAGAGTGAGACTTTTCTTTTTTTTCTTTAAAAAAAAAAAAAAAAGGTGGGCACAGTGGCTAGTGCCTGTAATTTCAGCACTTTGGGAGGCTGAGGTGGGCAGATTGCTTGAGGCCAGGAGTTTGAGACCAGCCTGGGCAACATGGTGAAACCCCGTCTCAACTGAAAATACAAAAATTAGCCACGTGTGGTGGTGGGAGCCTGTAATCCCAGCTACTTGGGAGGCTGAGGCACGACAATCACTTGAACCCGGAAGGCAGAGGTTGCAGTGAGCAGAGCCAAAATTGCACCATTGTGCTCCAGCCTGGGTGACACAGCGACACTCTGCCTCAAAAAAAAACAGAAAACAAACAATACAATCATAATCTTTACTGGCCAGAAACAAAGAACATAAAATATTGAAAAGTAAAGACACGTAAGTCTATACCATATTGCATCTCAAATCATGTATTCTAGGTTTGCATTGTTGTGTTCATAGAAACAGAGAAGTGACTTGATTTCTGAAACCAAGATCTCGCAAGGCAAAAAGAAAAGATCCTGTCAGCATTTGTTCATTCACAAAAACTGATACCCAAAAAGCGAAAACAGAAAGACTTTAGGGACCCCTACTGGCTTAGTCAATATGACAATCTTTTAACAAAAATACTGTTAGGGACTCAGAACCCTTATTTCCAATTAAGCAACCACTTCAGCAAATATTCATTTGAGTAATCCAATAAATTTATCTAACGCTAACAGTAATCGATACGTGAAAATACAATTTTATAAATAAATATTTGCGGTGGGGCGCGGTGGCTCACACCTGTAATCCCAGCACTTTAGGAGGCTGAGGTGGGCAGATCACAAGGTCAGGAGATCGAGACCATCCTGGCCAACGTGGTGAAACCCTGTCTCTAATAAAAATACAAAAATTAGCTGGGTGTGGTGGCACATACCTGTAGTCCCAACTACTCGGGAGGCTGAGGCAGGAGAATCACTTGAACCTGAGAGGCGGAGGGTGCAGTAGACCAAGATCACGCTATTGCACTCCAGCCTGGCAACAGAGCGAGACTCCGTCTCAAAAAAAAAAAAAAAAAAAAAAAAAATCTGCTTTATACTACATAAAACTTCAAGGGTAAAGGCAATAAAACTGTGTAACTATATAAACACTGAAGAAATAGGTTCATAAAACAAAATGTAACCATGGGGAAGTATGTATGTTAAAGAACTATATGAAGCTAGAAAAATAAATAGGCCAGGCACAGTAGCTCACACCTATAATCCAGCACTTTGGGAGGCTGAGGTAGGTGAATCGCCTGAGCTCAGGAGTTCGAGACTACCCCGGCATGGTGGCATGTGCCTGTAGTGTAGTCCCAGCTACTTGGGAGGCTGAGGTGAGAGGATCGCTTGAGCTTGGGAGGTGAAGGTTGCAGTGAGCTGAGATGGCACCACTGCACTCCACCCTGTGTGACAGAGCGAGAACCCGTCTCCAAAAAAAAAAAAAAAGAAAGAAAAAAAAAAGAAAAGAAAAGAAAAGAAGAAAAGAAACAGGTAACAGTCACCCCTGGAAAGGATAATGAGATGACCGAAGAATAAGAGATAGAAGGAAGAAGTCTTTCACTACATTCCCTTTTGTACTATTCCCACTAATGCCTCCCTAGGTTAAGTAAGCAGTACTTACCAGAATTTTATCAGCTTTGGCTTCACTAATTCCCTTAATATTTATTAGCTCCTTCTTTGGCGCATAGGCAACAGCCTCCACAGTATGGAATCCAGCTTCTTCCAATTTCTTCACATCGTTGGCATTTATGCCACACTGCTGCAAATGAAGAAAACCATGGATAAATTTAAGCTTTAGTTCTCTAATCTAACACAGATGTTATGTGTCCTACATACTTCACAGAGGTGCTTGAAGACTTGTAATACAACTGTCCCTTGAAATCCTTGGGGGGGCGGGGGGAGATGGGAAGTTGGTTCCAGGACCCCCAGCAGATAACAAAATCCAACAATGCTCAAGTCCCTTATATAAAATGGCGTATTACCTGCATATAACCTATGTACATCCTCCTGTATACTTTTTTTTGATATGTAGTTGATTGAATTTTTGATACGTAGTTTGTTGAATTTGCTGATACAGAATCCGGAGATACAGAGAGCCTACTGTTATTATATGCAAAAGCTGAAAAATGAGCCCTATATATGAGGTACTTAATAACAAATTAACAACCTTTTCATTATCAAAATCAATAATTTTAAACTAGCACTAAGCCATGTACATTAAAAAGAACTCCTATTAGCAATTGGAATTAAAAAGTAACTCCCAACCTTTTTTTGTGACCCTAAATGATCTCTGAGACCTTGGGCCCTACAAGACCACTTTAAGACAGTGTTGCTCAACACTTTCCACATCAAGCACACATAAAAAACTGTATTTTTACACTATGGTAGGGTAAATAGATAAGGCTGCTCAGAATATAAAGAGCACTATCTTGGCCTGTCAATACTTTTTGTTGAACAATGACCAGAAAGCTCTGCTCTAACAACTGACATTAACAGTGAGGAAAACTACTTTTTGTCAGGGACTTTTATACCTCTTCTCAAAACAAACCACCCAAAGACACCTCTTTCTTCCTATATTCAAGTCAGCTTTGGTTTCATTAGCCACCAAAACCATGACTTCTGGGAAAACATGAGTTAGTAGGTGAATGTGGGTGCATTCAGGGGTTGGGAGAATTTAGAAGAGGGGAGAGATTAGTTTGCCAACATAAGCCATGTCTGCTATTAATATTTAAGCAATATGCATGTTTGAGTATAAGGATGCTCATGGCACCAGAAGTTATGACTCTGAACTTTCAAATGTTTATCACAAATCCATTTAAGTAACTTCTAGAGTCTTTTTTTTTTATTAGCCTTTTGCACTCCTAACTTCTAGAGTCTTGAAGATTAGTCAGAGATGGGAAATATGAAAAAAAGAGACAGAAGAATCAAGTCTTTCTCTGCTTTCCTCCTACTTAGCCCAAATCAGCTGCACTCACAGGGCAGTCTCTATACAATGGGCAGAAATAGTGTAAGGCCTCAGCTCTGGTGCTTAATGTTCTTGTGCAGAATCCTGAATTGGAGCTTGTCTCTTATACCATAACACCACCACACCCTTCTCTCTGCCAATGACAGCTGACAGCACAAATCTAGGTTAATGGAGAGAAGGTGCTTCCCTGTCTTCCTTGCATAACTGGTCCAGGCCGCTATAATTCCCAGAACAGCACTTTCATACTTAGTGCAAATAGCACAGGATGCTTTGGCCAGGCATGGTGGCTCATGCCTGTAATCCTAGCAGTTTGGGACGCCAAGGCAGGTGGACTGCTTGAGGCCAGGAGTTCAAGATCAACATGGTCAACACAGTTAAGACCCATTTCTTAAAAAACAAACAAAAAAACAGCACAGGCTGGGCGCAGTGGCCCATGCCTGTAATCCCAGCACTTTGGGAGGCCAAAGAGGGTGGATCACCTGAGGTCAGGAGTTCGAGACTAGCCTGACCAACATGGAGAAACCCTGTCTCTACTAAAAATATAAAATTAGCTGGGTGTGGTGGCTCATGCCTGTAATTCCAGCTACTTGGGAGGCTGAGGCAGGAGAATCGCTTGAACCTGGGACGCAGAGGTTGCGGTGAGCCGAGATCACGCCATTGCACTCCAGCCTGGGCAACAAGAGCGAAACTCCATCAAAAACAAACAAACAAACAAACAAAAACAGCACAGAGATTCCACCATGGGATCCTAGGCCTTAGTTTCTGACAGTCCAACTCTCAGAAATAAAAATGATAAAGTAGGAAGAGAATTGTTGACAAAGGAAGAGGCCCTGCCAGACATATTTAGCAATGATCTGCAGCCTTTCCACAGGATTATTGACAACACTTCTGAAAAGTCTAATTTGGGTCTTGACCTTGGTAGTAAACCTATATTTTATGTAAAGGTTGTAATACCTTCCACTAGGTAGAAGAATCTAGTATATAATTCCAAAATTAGCAACTAACCACATACCTCTAACCGTGAAATGGGTTGTGGGCCAAAGCTTTCTTCTTCCACTGAAGTATCTGCATTTGCTTCAAGCTGCATCTGCATTGCCATTACTGAAAAATACAAATGCTTATCAGTATAAACACTAGAGAAATAAGGTGCATCTCTCTCCCCATCTTCTATCTAGCTAGTCGTATCAAAAAGACTTTAGGAAAAGCCAAGGCCATTCTCTTATTGTGCCTCTCTGTTCTCCTGCTTTATATTCCTTCAGTGTAGGGGCCAAGTTTTACTTATTTTTATATACCCCATTATACATTATAAATGTGTTTGCAGACAAATACTGCATGATCTCACTCATATGTAGAATCTAAAAAAGTTGATCTTGGCGGGGCGCGGTGGCTCATGCCTGTGATCCCAGCACTTTGGGAGGCCGAGGCGGGCAGATCACCAGGTCAGGAGATCAAGACCATCCCGGCCAACATGCGAAACCCCGTCCCTACTAAAAATACAAATATTAGCAGGGTGTGGTGGCACACGCCTGTAGTCCCAGCTACTCGGGAGGCTGAGGCAGGTAAATGGCTTCAACCCGGAAGACAGAGATCGCAGTGAGCCGAGATCGTGCCACTGTACTCCAGCCTCATGACAGAGTGAGACTGTGTCTCAAAAAAAAAAACAAAAAAAAAAAAGTTCATCTCATACAAGGAACAAATAGAACAGTGGTAACCAGAGACTGAGGAGAATGCAGCTGTTGCAGGGGGCGGCAGGAAGGAGAGAGGTTGGTCAACAGGCACAAAGTTTCAGTTAGATAGGAGGAATAAGTTCTAGGGTTCTATTTCACAGTAGGGTGACTACAGTAAACACTAATGTAATGTATACTTCAAAATAGCCAGAAGCGAGTATTTTGAATGTTCTCATCACAAAGAGAAATGACAAGTGTTTAAGTGAACTGATGGATATGCTGATTACCCTGATTTGATCATTCATTATACAATGTATATATGTATTGAAATATCATCTTGGGCCAGGTGGAGTGGCTCACGCCTGTAATCCCAGCACTTTGGGAGGCCAAGGCGGGTGGATCACCAGGTCAGGAGATCGAGACCATCCTGGCTAACATGGTGAAACCCTGTCTCTACTAAAAAATACAAAAAATTAGCTGGGCGTGGTGGCAGGCTGAGACAGGAGAATGGCGTGAACCCAGGAGGCGGAGCTTGCAGTGAGCCAAGATCGCGCCACTGCACTCCAGCCTGGGCGACAGAGTGAGACTCCGTCTCAAAAAAAAAAAAAAAAAAAAAGAAATATCATCTTGTATCTCATAAATATGTACAATCGTCTGTCAAAAACAAAGTAACACTTATTATTTTCACAACCTTGGGACAGAAAAAGATTTCTTGAAACTGGATGCATAACGCACTAGCCAAAAAGGAAAAGACTGAAAACTGAACTACATTTAAATTCAGCACTTCTACTGGGCACTGTGGCTCACGTCTGCAATCCCAGCACTTTGGGAGGCCAAGGCGGGCAGATCACCTAAGTTCAGGAGTTCAAGACCAGCCTGACCAACATGGAGAAATCCTGTCTCTATTAAAGAAAAATACAAAATTAGCTGGGCGTGGTGGCACATGCCTGTAATCCCAGCTACTCGGGAGGCTGAGGCAGGAGAATCGCTTGAACCCGGGAGGCGGAGGTTGCGGTGAGCCAAGATTGTGCCATTGCACTCCAGCCTGGGCAACAAGAGCCAAACTCTGTCTCAAAAGGAAAAATAAATAAATAAATAAATAATAAAAAAATAAATTCAGCACTTCTATTCATCAAAGGACACCACTAAGAGAGTGACAAGTCAAACCACAGTAGAGAAAACATTTAGCACAAACATAACTGAGGGCTGATAACCAGTATATAAAGAACTTCACATCAGTAAGAAAAAGATAATAGAAAAATAGGCAAGAGATTTGAACAAGCACATCACAGAAGATATCAAAATGGGCAAAAACATATGAACAGATGTCCAACATCATTATTAATCAGGAAAATTAAAATCACATTAAGACATTACTGTGTAACCAGCAGAATAGTTAAAATCAAAAAGGCTGAAAAATATCGTGTTGGCAAGCATGTGAAACAACGAAACACTCAACACTCCTGATGTATTTTTATATAAAATTCAAAAACAAGCAACATTAGTTCATCTCATTAGAAACCAGTATAGCAGTTACCACTGTAAAAAGGGGAAAATATTAAATACTACACAGGAAGGCTTCTGAGGACCATTCTATTAAGTGGTGATTACATAGGTGTATATTCATTTTGTCTTGCTCTATCGCCCAGGTTGGAGTGCAGTGGCCTGATCACAGCTCACTGCAGCTTATACCTCCCAGGCTAGATCCTCCCTTCTCAGCCTCCTGAATAGCTGGGCCTACAGGTGCACGCCACCATGCCTAGCTAATTTTTCCTATTTGTAGAGATGCGGGTCTCACTATCTTGACCAGGCTGTTCTCGAACTCTTGGGCTCAATCGTCCTCCCGCCTCCACTTCCCAAAGTGCTGGGACTACAGACGTGAGACACGACGCCCGGCCAGTATATTTTGTAATAATTCACGGAGTTGTATACAGTTGTGAATGTGAATTTTTCTACATGTATATTACATTGCGCTTTAGAAGTTAAAAACAAACAAACAAACAAAAAAACAGGGGCCAGGCGCTGTGGCTCACGGCTGTAATCCCAGCACTTTGGGAGGCAGAGGCGGGTGGATAACCTGAGGTCAGAAGTTCGAGACCAGCCTGACCAACATGGTGAAACCCCGTCTCTACTAAAAATACAAAAATCAGCCTGGCGGCGTGGTGGTGGGGGCCTGTAATCCCAGCTCCTCGGGAGGCTGAGGTAGGAGAATCGCTTGAATCCGGGAGGCGGAGGTTGCAGTGAGCCGAGATCGCGCCACTACACTCCAGCCTGGGCGGAAGAGCGAGACTCCATCTCAAAAAAAAAGTTTTAAGAAAACCAAACCTCACTTCAGATCATTCTCTAGGCATCATGTGAATGGTTTTCCGCATTAGATGATGAAAACACTGTTTTGGCAATCGGAGATTGGTACTTTCTAAGCACGGTGTAATGGAAAGACAGATCAGGAATCCGGAAGCCCTGGCTGTGATATTAAACAGCTGTGGCTACACCGCTCTGATCTCGGACTTCTCGCTCGAACCCATAAAATAGGTGTTGCCTATAAAGGCTCTAATGTTTCTCCCCTAGTTCTAAAGACTGAGGTCCACTTGTGTTTTCGCCCCAGCAGCTGAGGGTCGGTCGGGCGCGGACACGCCCTGCCACGTCCGGGTTTCACACTGCGCGCGGAGGCCCCAACTGCCGCTGAGCACTGGACCGGCCAGGACGCAGGTGGGCGAGGACGAGCCGCGGCTCTGGAGGGCCCAGCCTGCGCCTCACACACTCACCTCGGTCCGCAGCGCTCCTCTCTCCAGCAGGCCCCGCGCTCCGACTTCACCCCGCGGGCGTGGCACGCGCCCGACCCGCACGGCCCCCAACGCCCCTGGCTTACGCTCCACTTCTCTACTCGCTTGCCCCAGCCTTCTGCGCACAACCCAGATGAGTTGCAGTTCCCAGCTGCACGCCTCGGGAAGCGCCGCACTCTCCTTAGGGCTCGGTCTCTGGCCGCTGCGCGCGGTCCGCCAGCGGCTTTCAGAATTCCCGCCAAACCCTCTCGCCCAGGGTCACGCCCGCGTCGACGTAACGTATCCCCGCCTCCCGGATCCGCCTTCTCCCCGCTTCCGCCCTGCGCGCTAACCCAAGACGGGAGCTCGAGAGCTTGATCCTGCGCGAGTTTACAGACTGCCCTCTTCCCTTTTTGCGTAAGGACTAATTCAAACTTTATGCCGGGGGCGGTGGCTCACGCGTGTAGTCCCAGCTGCTCGGGAGGCCGAGGCGAGAGTATCGTCTGAGCCTAGGAGTTCGAGGCTAACCACGGCAACGCCCCTACTCCTACCCCAGTCCCTCGCGGGTGGGGCGAGGGATTTCAGGGGGCGGTGGGGGAAGACTTAACCGAGTTGCCGTCTTCTGTTTACCAGATCGAAGACCACGACTCCCAAGAGGTAATGCGTCGGCCCGGGACTACATCTCCCGGCATGCATCGCCGGCGGGTCCGCGAGTTCTCACCATCGCAGCTGGACTATTAGCGGGGGCCCTAGCGCTCTTGTGGTTTGTTTCGGCAGTATCTGAATGTCAGCTTTTGGCACTTCTGGTCGCTCTGAGCCTCCTACTCGCATTCCTGGAGCAAGGTGCTTTCCAGGCCTCATGGAGGTGGAGGAGCTGAGGAAGCTCGAGAAGATGGATAGAAGTGGGAAATGGAGCTAGCGTACGGGAGAGGGAAATGGCTGGAATATTCGTCAATCTGTGGTGCTTTACTGGAGATTTGCAGGAGTTCAGAGGAAGGGGGCATTGAATTTCATAACCTAAACCGTATCGTGGTTTACCAGAAAGTTTTGACCCGTGATTCCGGTTTTAAAGGCTGAGTAGGGCCGGGCGCGGTGGTTCACGCCAGTAATCCCAGCAGTTTAGGAGGCCAAGGCAGGCGGATCACCTGAGGTCAGGGGTTGGAGATAAACCTGGCCAACGTGGTGAAACCTCGTCTTTAGTAAAAAATACAAAAATTAGCCAGGTTTTGTGGCACATGCCTGTAATCCTAGCTACTCGAAAGGCTGAGGCATGAGAATCGCTTGAACTCAGGAGGAGGTTGCAGCCAACCGAGATCTCGCCGCTGTACTCCAGCCTGGGCGACAGAGCGAGACTGTGTCAAAACAACACCACAAGCTAGCTGAGTAGGGATTCTTGGGCGAAGTGGAAGACATTATAAGCAAATAGGGTAGTATGGGCATGGAAACGAACTACATGATTAAAGATTAGTATTATCTGGCGAGGGAGGAAAAGTGCCAGAGCAAGTGCCGAAACTGGAAGGTTACATTTAGTTCAGGATATGAAGATCATATAAGGCCTGCACGGTGGCTCACACCTGTAATCCCAGCACTTTGGGAAGCCAAGGTGGGGGAGGATCGCTTGAGCTCAGGAGTTGGAGACCAGCCTGGGCAACATAGTGGGACCCCATATCTCAAAAAAAAAAAAAAAAAAAATAAGCTGGGCGTGGTGGCTTGTGCCTGTGGTCTCAGCTATCCCGGAGGCTGAGGTGGGAGGACTGCTTGAGCTCAGGACGTCAAGGCTGCAGTGAGCTATGATGGGCCACTGCACTCCAGCCTGGGCTACAGAGTGAGACCTTGTCTCAAAAGACAAGCGACAACAACAAAACATGTAAGGAGAGGCCAGGCGCGGTGGCTCAAGCCTGTAATCCCAGAACTTTGGGAGGCCAAGGTGGGCGGATCACGAGGTCAGGAGTTCAAGACCAGCCTGGCCAAGATGGCAAAACCCCATCTCTACTAAAACTACAAAAATTAGCCGGGCGTGGTGGTGCATGCCTGTAATCCCAGCTCTTTGGGAGGCTGAGGCAGAGAAGTGCTTGAACCCGGGAGGTGGAGGTTGCAGTGAGCGAGATCACGCCACTGCACTCCAGCCTGGGCAACAGAGCAAGACTCCGTCTCAAAAAAAAAAAAAAAGGTAAGGAGCTTTGGTCTCTAGGTACTGAAGAAATCATTGAAGTTTTTAAGAAGACAAGTCATTTGGTTAGATCTATTTTCCCTCCACTTACCAATTTATTTTTATTTTTATTTATTTATTTATTTATTTATTTTAGATGGAGTCTTGCTCTGTTGCCCAGGCTGGAGTGCAGGGACGTGGTATCAGCTCACTGCAACCCCACCTCCCAGATTCAAGCGAGTCTTCCTGCCTCAGCCTCCCAAGTAACTGGGATTACAGGCGCCTGCCACCACGCCCAGCTAATTTTTTGTATTTTTAGTAGAGACAGGGTTTCACCATGTTGGCCAGGCTGGTCTCGAACTCCTGACCTCAGGTGATCCACCTACCGTGGCCTCCCAAAGTGCTGGGATTACAGGTGTGAACCACCGCACCCGGCCTTATTTTTTTATTTTTGAGACAGCATCTCGCTCTGTTCAAGTTGGCCTTGAACTCCTGGCCTCAAGTGATCCTCCCACCTTGGCCTCCCAAAGTGTTGGAATTACAGGTGTGAACCATTGCAATGGCCTTATTACTACTTTATATTTGTGGAGTGCTTTAAAGTTGACAAAGTTTTTAGTTAATCCTCACACTATTACCTTGTGGCGTTGAAGAACAGATTTCAGGAGCGTGAAAGTGAAGACACCAAAAAGGAAGTTCTTGCAATATTTCAACAAAGAGATGAAGATTTGGATTAGATTCCAGTTCTACCTTTTTGGCACCAGGGAGCTGTTCTGTGAAAGACAATTTTCCACAGGGCTCGGGGGGTGGGCATGAGGCAGAGGATGGTTTCGGAATGAAACTGTTGCACCTCAAGATCATCAATTAGATTTCCATAAGGAGTGTGCAATCTAGATTCCTCACAGGTGCAGTTCAAAATAGGTTTTGAGTTCCTGTGAGAATCTAATGCTCTCCTTGATCTGACAGGAGGCAGAGCTCAGGCAGTAATGCTTGCTTGCTAGCTGCTCACCTGCTGTGCAGCCCAGTTCCTAATAGGCGACAGGTCTGTGTTGGGGCGTTGGGGTCCTCTGAATTAGAGGAATGACAGAGAGAACAGACTCAGGCAGCTTTCTGGATGTAGAAACAACCTAACTTAGTGATTATAGATACTACCTGTGATAATAGTGAACTTTCTTCCATATCAAAGTTACACACCTTTGCCTCCGGTTCTTCCCACACCCTTAGAGCATCTGCAAACCTACAGCCCTCCTCCTAGCTGACTGTAGTCACATGACTTTTACCTTTCTGGCCACCAGTTGTACCAGCAGTGTTCATCTGGCCCCAAATTGGCCAATCATTTTCCTGCTCCTGGAAAATTAGACTTGGCTTTATATTCAAGTCTGACCTCAGGAATTTATGGGGCAAAGTACACAGATAGATGTGTGTGAATGTCCAATCAGAGAAAGCACATCTGCAGAAAGATTAAGAAATTGATGTCGGGTGTGGTGGCTCAAGCCTGTAATCCCAGCACTTTCGGAGGCTGAGGCAGGCGCATCACCTGAGGTCAGGAGTTCGAGACCAGCCTGACCAACATGGTGAAACCCCATCTCTACTAAAAATACAAACATTAGCCTCCAGCTACGCAGGAGGCCAAGGCAGGAGAATCGCATGAAACTGGGAGGCAGAGGTTGCAGTGAGCTGAGATCGTGCCACTGCACTCCAGCCTGGATGACAGAGCAAGACTCTGTCTCAAAAAAAAAAAAAAAAAGAAAAAGAAAAAGAAATTGAGATACTAAGGAGAGAGTCAAAGATAAATAAACCATTTGAATTCTGACTCCTTTCCAGATCGCCTTTCCAGTTTCTCAGAAGCCTAGCAGTACTTACTCCTCCTGCTCTTGGGTTCTTTTTTACTTTTTTTTTTTTTTTAAAAAAAAAACCTTGAACTCTTAAGGATTAATGCTCTTGAGTTATGAGATATCCCTACATTCCAATAACTCTACCTTCTATTTTTATTGATTAAACTAGTTTGAGTAGTTTCTGTTCCTTTCTTCCAAAACAACCCACTGAGAACTTGGAAATAAGGCAAACTAGATTTCCCTCTAATAGTTAAATTGGCATTCTCTGAGAATATTTATAAATGTGTTAATTGAAAAATTTTGGAGTGTGGTGGCTCACACTTGTAATCCTAGTGCATTGAGAGGCTGAGGTGAGAGGACCATTTGAGGCCAGGAGTTAGAGACTAGTCTGGGCAATGTAGTGAGACCCCCCAACTCTACAAAAAAAAATGTTGTTTTGTTTTTTTTGTGTTTTTGTTTTGAGATAGAGTCTCGGTCTGTCGCCAGGCTGGAGTGCAGTGGTGAGATCTGGGCTCACTGCAACCTCGGCCTCCCAGGTTCAAGCGATACTCCTGCCTCAGCCTCCCGAGTAGCTGGGACTACAGGCACATGCCACCACGCCCGGCTCATTTTTTGTATTTTTAGTAGAGATGGAGTTTCACCATGTTGGCCAGGATGGTCTCGAACTCCAGACCTCATGATCCGCCTCGGCCTCCCAAAGTGCTGGGATTACAGACGTGAGCCACCGCGCCTGGCCAAAAAAAACCTTTTTTTAAAAATTAGCCAGGTGCGGTGATGCACACTTGTAGTCCTAGCTGTCTGGGAAGCTGAGGAGGGGAGATTGCTTGAGCCCAGGAGTTCAAGGTTACAGTGAGCTATGATTGCACCTTGCACCACTGCACTCCAGTCTGGGCGAAAGAGTGAAACTTTGTCTCAAAAAAAAAAAAAAAAAGTATAAATACATATATATAAATGTATATATATAGAGATACATACACACACACATACATATATATGTATTCTTTATATATAAGGTAATGTGTATCAAGTGATCTAATCTGCTCCTAATTCACCTCCTCTAGTATGCTTACAAAATGAGAGTCCTGGAATAGCAGACATGCATTGTAAATAAATGAACATCTTTCTACAAGTATATTTCCCCAAGGTTCAACTGAATATAGTTTGCTATAATTTCTTAAAATTCAATCAATTTCACATCCATTAAACTTACAAGTACCGTAATCCAGTTTTCCTAGGAAAACTAAGCCCAGCCGAACCTTGGGAAAAATACCTCTGTGTTAAACATATATACATGATCGATTTTAAATGTTTTCACCACAAAAAATGGTAAGTACGTGAGGTGATGGATTTGTTAACTCAGAAGCAGGCACACCAAATCACAATGGGTCTGATTCGATCCTCCCTGATGGCAATGGAGACCCATCTAACTAATCCCACTTCTAATTACCTTTCTTTTTCTCCTTACAGACCTAAAAAATCTCACCATTTCTATTAGCCTGAAAATAACATCCCTCTGTTCTTCTCTTCCTCCTTCAGCACTGAATCTCGCTTACACTAGGTTTTACTTAATGATTCTCCTCCTTATACTTTCTGTCTCACCAGTTTCCTCTCACACTTATTTACCTGCTACACAAAATTATTCTTATTGGGCTTATGTGCCCTTTCCTCCACTTATTCGACCTCTCACCTGGATTGATGCTCCTGCGGAAATCTACATTAACGATAGTTTGTGGATGCCTGGAGCTACAGATGACCGTTGCCCTGCTCAACCAGGAGAAGAAGGCACTACATTTAATGTTATCATGGGTTATAAATAACACCCTCTGTGCCTCAGAAATGCACCTGGTTATATCCATCTAGAAACTCAAGTCTGGGCTGCTTATCTTCCCGAGAGATCAGCTACAGAGGAACCGGGACATTTGGTCTCTGGCCTCTCCCTTTCTCCTTTAAAACAAATGAAAGGGGGAGTAATGGGACATACCCCATACTTTCAATAAGTAGCCTCCAGGCATTCCCTTCCACCAGAGGAGCAATTGTTTTTTAAATAGCCCTTTGGCGCCCAGTCTATTACTAAACCATATGAGTCATTTTTTAATATTACTGCATGTGAGTTAACATAGTCTTCCCAAATTAAAGTTTTAGATGGGCCCTCAAAATTTTTAGGGCATGGTTTTCCTGCAGGTTTATATGGAAAGTATGGGGTCCCTGACTTCTCGCAACAGTGGCCTACACTGCCTTTCAGTTTACCTAGGCCTCCAAAGCACTTTAGCCTGTGGGGCTTGCCAGAACTCGGGTTCCAGCTCCTGGAATGGACAGTTCCCCTCTGGCTAGGGTTGATCTAATGTTCCCTCTGGGTTACTGGCTGAGTTCTGCCCTGTGTGGCTTTCTGCTGTGCCAGGGCTGCACTGAGTTCAAATGCAGAGTCTCACAATCATTGTATTCTTCCTCCCCCAGGAGCACCCATTCTCTCTTTACACCAATTGGCCACTGCCAGGGGATGAAGAGGGATGATGTTGACAATTCAAGACTATTTCTTACCCTCTTCAGTGCCTGTTTCCTTAATATGATAATAAACCAGGTACTGCGATCACTCACCTGATTATTGGTTCTTATGAAGGTGCTTTTTTAATGTAGTTGTTCAGTTTGATATTTCTGTCGGAGGGATGACTGCTGGAGGATTCTATTAAGCCATCTTGCTCTGCCTTCTTGCAACACATAAAATTCAACAGTTTTGTGCAACTGTAAGTTCAAGTGTTTGTAATTTTATTTATTTCATTTTTTTCTTTGAGATGAAGTCTCCCTCTTGTTACCCAGGCTGGAGTGCAGTGGCGCGATCTTGGCTCACTGCAACCTCTACCTCCTGGGTTCAAGCAATCCTCCTGCCTTATCCTCCCAAGTAGCTGGGATTACAGATGCCTGCCACCATGTCTTGCTAACTTTTGTACATTTAGTAGACATGAGGTTTTGCCATGTTGTCCGGGCTGGTCTTGAACTCCTGACTTCAAGTGATCCACCTGTCTTAGCCTCCCAAAGTACTGGGATTACAGGTGAGAGTCACTGCTCCCTGCTGCAAATTTCTTATTAAATCTGTTTGACAGATTTTAGAATTTCTATAAGTAATGTTTAAAATTACAACCATTTGGGCTGGGTGTGGTGGCTCATGCCTGTAATCCCAGCACTTATTTTATTTCTTATCAGGAGAACGAGAATCATCATACTACTTTGCATCGGAGGTTAAGCTCATTCTTTTCCTTAAAATGGGAAGATAAAGGCATTACCCCCTCTCCGAGGCCTCATATGATACTCCCCATTCTGACCCAGAACACCCAGAACTTTGGAAATTGGCTATTGCCATGTCTGGACTGCAAGTATGGGAAGCAGAAACTATTCTGTCTGTTGTCCCCACTACCATCTCCCTCTCTCAGTATCAACGTAGATCCAGACATTCTGCTTTACCTACCTCCAACCTGTTTCCATACAGAGTTCTGTTAAGCCTCCTTGCATGCTGTTAGTGAGATATATCAAAATTTGGATGAACAATCAAACTGTCCAATGCATTAATTGTCATTTATACACTTGTATTAACTCCCATTTTGATTCCAGGAAAAGTGTAATGTTGGTTCGAGCTCAAGAAGGAATCTGGATTCCGGTAACTTTGCCCAG
The DNA here is from genome assembly GCF_000001405.40 of Homo sapiens. Lineage (NCBI taxonomy): Eukaryota > Metazoa > Chordata > Mammalia > Primates > Hominidae > Homo > Homo sapiens. Next base: position 40,687,784 of record NC_000015.10, on the reverse strand, counting down.
ACCTTGGGAATCCTCCCCTTCAATACATTTAATTAATGAAGTGTTACAGTGAATTCTAAAAAGATCTAAGAGATTTATTTTCACTTTAATTGCTGTTATCATGGGCCTAATTACAGTCACTGCAGTGGCCACCACTGCCGGAATGGCATTACACCAGTCCATTCAAGCGGCTCATTTTGTTAATGGTTGGCAAGCCAATTCCATCCAAATGTGGAATTCTCAACAAGGCATCGATCGAAAATTGGCAAATCAAATTAGTGATTTAAGACAGTCTGTTATTTGGCTTGGAGATCAGGTAGTGAGTCTCGAGCATCACATGCAAATGCAGTACGATTGGAACACTTGAGATTTCTGCATCACCCCGTATTCCTATAACGAGACTGATCATTCATGGGAAATGGTCAAAAGACATCTTCTGGGTAGGGAAGATAATTTATCACTGGACATAACTAAATTAAAGAGACAAATTTTTGAAGCCTCTCAAGCTCACTTATCCATTGTGCCTGGAGCTGAGGCGTTAGATCAGGTGGCAGAAAATCTTTCTGGATTAAACCCCAGGACTTGGATTAAGTCTATTGGGGGCTCCACTGTAGTAAATTTTGGAATTATGTTTCTCTGTTTAATCGGCTTGTTTTTAGTTTGCCAGACTAGTCAAAGAATCCTGCGTCAAAATCAAGAGAACGAACAAGCCTTCATTGCCATGGCACATTTATTATAAAAAGAAAGGGAGAGATGTTGCGGGAAGTCAGGGACCCCGGAGGGACCAGCTGAAGCCATGGCAGAAGAACATAAATTGTGAAGATTTCATGGACATTTATTAGTTCCCCAATCAATACCCTTGTGATTTCCTATGCCTGTCTTTACTTTAATCTCTTAATCCCGTCATCTTCGTAAACTGAGGAGGATGTATGTCGCCTCAGGACCCTGTGATGATTGTGTTAACTGCACAAATTGTAGAGCATTTGTGTTTGAACAATATGAAATCTGGGCACCTTGAAAAAAGAACAGGATAACAGTGATGTTCACGGAACAAGAGAGATAACCTTAAACTCTGACTGCCGGTGAGCTGGACGGAACAGAGCCATATTTCTCTTCTTTCAAAAGCAAATGGGAGAAATATCACTGAATTCTTTTTCTCAGCAAGGAACATCCCTGAGAAAGAGAATGCATCCCTGAGGGTAGGCCTCTGAAATGGCTGCTTCAGGGCAGCTGTCTTTTATGGTCGCAGCTGTGGGGATGAAATAAGCCCCAGTTTCTCAGAGTGCTCCCAGGCTTATTAGGACGAGGAAATTCCTGCCTAATAAATTTTGGTCAGACCAGTTGTCTGCTCTCAAACCCTGTCTCCTGATAAGATGTTATCAATGACAATGCATGCCCGAAACTTCATTAGCAATTTTAATTTCACCCCAGTCCTGTGGTCCTGTGATCTCGCCCTGCCTCCATTTACCTTGTGATATCTTATTACCTTGTGAAGCATGGGATCTCTGTGACCCATACCCTATTTGTACACTCCCTCCCCTTTTGAAAATCACTAATAAAAAATTTGCTGGTTTTATGGCTCAGGGGGCATCACAGAACCTGCCAACATGTGATGTCTGCCCTGGACACCCAGCTTTAAAATTTCTCTCTTTTGTACTCTGTCCCTTTATTTCTCAAACCGGCCAACACTTAGGGAAAATAGAAAAGAACCTACATGAAATATTGGGGGTGAATTTCTCCTGATATCTGGCTGAATTTCCCCCGACAGGCCACAGGGACCGCAATTCCTGGGCAAGTCCTTGTGCCATGCTAGGCTCAGAGCCAGCGGACTTTGGGGTGCACACAACCTAGTGAGATACCAGCTGGGGTGGCCAAGGGAGTACTTGCATCACCCCTCCCAGAACCCCAGGCAGTGCAGCTCACAGCTCTAGGAGAGACTCCTTCCTCCTGATTGAGGAGAGGAGGGAAGAGTAAAGAGAACTTTGTCTTGCATCTTGGATACCAGCTCAACTACCATAGAATCGGGCACCAGGCAAAGTCCTGAGGCTTCATTCCAGGCCCTTGCTGCTGGATGACATTTCTAGACACATCCTGGGCTAGAAGGGAGCCTGCTGCCTTGAAGAGAAGGACCCAGTCCTGGCAGGATTCATCACTTGCTTACTAAAGAGCCATTGGGACCTGAATAGTCAGGCAGTACTCACGGCAGGCCTTGGGTAAGACTCAGAGCCACGCTGGCTTCAGATGTGACCCAGCACATTCCCAGCTGTGGTGGCTATGGGTAGGGACTCCTGCTTGAGGAAAGGAGAGGGAAGAATAAAGGGGACTTTGTCTTGCACCTTGGGTACCAGCTCAGTCACAGTGTAGTAGAGCAACAAGCAGGCTTCCAGGGTCCCCATTTCCAGGCCTTGCCTCCTGCAAAGCATTTCTGGAACTGCTCTGGGCCAGAAGGGAATCCATTGCCCTAAAGGGAGAGAACCAGGCATGGCAGCATTCACCATGACCTGACTGAAGAGCGCTTGGGCCTTGAGTGAACTTTGGTGGTAGCCAGGCTACTTGCCCTGGGACTGAGGCAGTAGTGGTCATGGGGAGAGACTCTTCTACTTGAGGAAAGAGGAGGGAAGAGTGGGAAGAACTTCATCTTACAACATAGGTGCCAGCTTAGCTGCAGTACAATACAGTACCAGGTAGAGTCCTAAGGTTCCTGACTTGAGGCCCTGGCTCCTTGATGGCATCTCTGGACCCACCCGAGGCCAAGGGGAACTCACTGCCTTGAAGGAAAGGACATAAGACTAGCTGGATTCACCACCTGCTGATTGTAGCACCCTTGGACCTTAAGTGAACATAGGCAGTAGCCAAGCAGTGGTCACCATGGGCATTGGGTGACCCAGTGCAGTCTCAGTAGTGGTGGTCATAGCAGTGATTGTGTCACCCCTTCCCCAGACCTCGGCAACTCAGCACGGAGAGACGTTTGGGGGAAAGTGAGGGAAGAGAACAAGAGTCTCTGCCTGGTAATCCAGGGAATTCTCCCAGATCTTACCCAAGACCACCAAGTTGGTATCTCTAATAGTCTGCAAGAGCCACAGCATTACTGAGCTTGGGGTGCCCCTTAATACAGATACAGCTACAGTGATCAAAGACTTAGATCATAACACACAAGTCCCTCAGAATACTTGAAAAGCCTTCCCAAGAAGGACAGGTACAAACAAGCCCAGACTGTGAAGACTACAATAAATATCTAACTCTTCAATGCCTAAACACTGACAAACATCCATAAACATCAGTTCCATCCAGGAAAACATGACCTCACCAAACAAACTAAATAAGGCACCAAGAACTAATCCTGGAGAAACAGAGATATATGACTTTTTAGACAGAGAATTCAAAATAGCTCTTTTGAGAAAGCTCAGTAAAATTCAAGATAACACTGAGAAGGAATTCAGAATCCTATCAGATACATTTAACAAAGAAATTGAAATAATTTAAGAGTCAACCAGAAATACTGGAGCTGAAAAATGTAGTTGATGTACTTAAGAATGCATCAGAGTATTTTTTTTTTTTTTTTTTAATCATTCTTGGGTGTTTCTCGCAGAGGGGGATTTGGCAGGGTCACAGGACAATAGTGGAGGGAAGGTCAGCAGATAAACAAGTGAACAAAGGTCTCTGGTTTTCCTAGGCAGAGGACCCTGCGGCCTTCCGCAGTGTTTGTGTCCCTGGGTACTTGAGATTAGGGAGTGGTGATGACTCTTAACGAGCATGCTGCCTTCAAGCATCTGTTTAACAAAGCACATCTTGCACCGCCCTTAATCCATTCAACCCTGAGTGGACACAGCACATGTTTCAGAGAGCACAGGGTTGGGGGCAAGGTCACAGATCAACAGGATCCCAAGGCAGAAGAATTTTTCTTAGTACAGAACAAAATGAAAAGTCTCCCATGTCTACCTCTTCCTACACAGACACAGCAACCATCCGATTTCTCAATCTTTTCTCCACCTTTCCCCATTTTCTATTCCACAAAACTGCCATTGTCATCATGGCCCGTTCTCAATGAGCTGTTGAGTACACCTCCCAGACGGGGTGGTGGCCGGGCAGAGGGGCTCCTCACTTCCCAGTAGGGGCGGCCGGGCAGAGGCGCCCCTCACCTCCCGGACGGGGCGGCTGGCCGGGCGGGGGGCCGACCCCCCCACCTCCCTCCCGGACGGGGCGGCTGGCCGGGCAGAGGGGCTCCTCACTTCCCAGTAGGGGCGGCCGGGCAGAGGCGCCCCTGACCTCCCGGACGGGGCGGCTGGCCGGGCGGGGGGCCGACCCCCCCACCTCCCTCCCGGACGGGGCGGCTGGCCGGGCAGAGGGGCTCCTCACTTCCCAGTAGGGGCGGCCGGGCAGAGGCGCCCCTCACCTCCCGGACGGGGCGGCTGGCCGGGCGGGGGGCTGACCCCCCCACCTCCCTCCCGGACGGGGCGGCTGGCCGGGCGGGGGGCTGACCACCCCACCTCCCTCCCGGACGGGGCGGCTGGCCGGGCGGGGGGCTGACCCCCCCACCTCCCTCCCGGACGGGGCGGCTGGCCGGGCGGGGGGCTGACCCCCCCACCTCCCTCCCGGACGGGGCGGCTGGCCGGGCAGAGGGGCTCCTCTCTTCCCAGTAGGGGCGGCCGGGCAGAGGCGCCCCTCACCTCCCGGACGGGGCGGCTGGCCGGGCGGGGGGCTGACCCCCCCACCTCCTTCCCGGACGGGGCGGCTGGCCGGGCAGAGGGGCTCCTCACTTCCCAGTAGGGGCGGCCGGGCAGAGGCGCCCCTCACCCCCCGGACGGGGCGGCTGGCCGGGCGGGGGGCTGACCCCCCCACCTCCCTCCCGGACGGGGCGGCTGGCCGGGTGGGGGGCTGACCCCCACCTCCCTCCCGGACGGGGTGGCTGCCGGGCGGAGACGCTCCTCACTTCCCAGACGGGGTGGCTGCCGGGCAAAGGGGCTCCTCACTTCTCAGACGGTGTGGCTGCCGGGCTGAGGGGCTCCTCACTTCTCAGACGGGGCGGTTGCCAGGCAGAGGGTCTCCTCACTTCTCAGACGGGGTGGCCGGGCAGAGACGCTCCTCACATCCCAGACGGGGCGGCAGGGCAGAGGCGCTCCCCACATCTCAGATGATGGGCGGCCTGGCAGAGATGCTCCTCACTTCCTAGATGGGATGGCGGCCGGGCAGAGATGCTCCTCACTTTCCAGACTGGGCAGCCAGGCAGAGAGGCTCCTCACATCCCAGACGATGGGTGGCCCGGCAGAGACGCTCCTCACTTCCCAGACGGGGTGGCGGCCGGGCAGAGGCTGCAATCTCGGCACTTTGGGGGGCCAAGGCAGGCAGCTGGGAGGTGGAGGTTGTAGCGAGCCGAGATCACGCCACTGCACTCCAGCCTGGGCACCATTGAGCACTGAGTGAACGCAACTCCGTCTGCCATCCCGGCACCTCGGGAGGCCGAGGCTGGCGGATCACTCGCGGTTAGGAGCTGGAGACCAGCCCAGCCAACACAGCGAAACCCCTTCTCCACCAAAAAAATACGAAAACCAGTCAGGCGTGGCGGCGCCTGCAATCCCAGGTACTCGGCAGGCTGAGGCAGGAGAATCAGGCAGGGAGGTTGCAGTGAGCCGAGATGGCAGCAGTACAGTCCAGCTTTGGCTCAGCATCAGAGGGAGACCGTGGAAAGAGAGGGAGAGGGAAACCGTGGGGAGAGGGAGAGGGAGAGCGAGAGCGCATCAGAGTATTTTAACAGCAGAATTGATCAAACAGAAGAAAGAATTAGTGAGTTTGAAGACAGGCTATTTGAAAATACACAGTCAGGCCGGGCCCAGTGGTTCATGCCTATAATCCCAGCATTTTGGGAGGCTGAGGTGGGCGGATCACCTGAGGTCAGGAGTTCAAGACCAGCCTGGCCAACATGGCAAAACCCCGTTTCTAGTACAAGTACAAAAATTAGCCAGGAAATGGTGGCATGTACCTGTAGTCCCAACTACTCAGGAGGCTGAGGCACAAGAATGACTTGAACCCAGGAGGCAGAGGTTGCAATGAGCCGAGTTTGTTCCATTGCACTCCAGCCTGGGTGACAGAGTGAGGCTCTTTAAAAAAAAAAAAAAAAGTCCAGGCGCAGTGGCTCATGCCTGTAATCCCAGCACTTTGGGAGGCGGAGGCGGGCAAATCACCTGAGATCGGGAGTTCAAGACCAGCGTGACCAACATGGAGAAATCCTGTCTCTACTAAAAATATAAAATTAGCCGGGCGTGGTGGCAAATGCCTGTAATCTCAGCTACTCAGGAGGCTGAGGCAGGAGAATTGCTTGAACCCAGGAGGCAGAGGTTGTGGTGAGCCAAGATGGTGCCATTGCACTCCAGCCTGGGCAACAAGAGTGAAACTCTTGTCTCAAAAAAAAAAAAAAAAAAAAGATGAAAGAAAGAAAGAGAAAGACAGAGAGACAAAAAAAGAAGAGAAAGAAAAAGAAAGAGGAAGAAAGAAAGAGAGAAAAGAATAAAAAAAAAGAGGAAGAAAGAAAGGAAAGAAAAAAAGAAAAGAGAAAGGAGGGAGGGAAGGAAGGAAGAAAGGAAGGAACGAACAAACACAGTCACAGGAGACAAAAGAGAAAAGAGTAAAAACCAATGAAGCACACTACAGAATCTAGAAAATAGCCTCAAAAGGGGAAGTCTAAGAGTTACTGGCCTTAAAAGGGAGGTAGAGAGATAAATAGGGGTGGAAAGTTTATTTAGAGGGATTATATCAGAGCATTTCTCAAACTTAGAGACAGTTATCAATGTTCAAGTACAAGAAGGTTATAGAACATCAAGCAAATTTAACCCAAATAAGACTACCTCAAGTCATTTAATAATGAAATTCCTAAAGGTCGGAGATAAAGAAAGAGTCCTAAAAGCAGCAAGAGAAAAGTAACAAATAACATACAAAGGAGCTCTAATACTTCTGGCAGCAGACTTATCAGTGGAAACCTTACAAGCAAGGAAAGAATGGTATGACATATTCAAAGTGCTGAAGAAAGAAACTTTTATCCCAGGATAGTATATCCAAACATGAAGGAGAAATAAAGACTTTCCTAGACAAGCAAAAGCTGAGGGATTTTATCAACACCAGACCTATCTTATGAGAAATCCTAAAGAATATTTATTCTGAAAGAAAAGAATGTTGATGAGCAAGAAATCATCTGAACGTACAAAACTCATTAGTGAAGAGGCAGAGCAAGATGGCAGAACAGAAGGCTACACTCTGTCCCTGCTTTTGGAACACCACATTTTAATAATTATCGACACACAGAAAAGCACCATAACAAGAACCAAAAAATCAGTTGAGCAATCATAGTACATGGTTTTAACTTCATATCACTAAAAAGGCATTGAGGAGGGCAGTCTTGAATCACCAATGCCACCCCTCCCCCATCCCCTGGCAGCACCCATGTGGTGTAGGGAGAATCTGTGCACTTTGCACAGTGACTGGGGTACTTTACATTGAACTCAGTGCTGCCCTGTCAGAGAAGAGAATAAAGCCATGAGCTGAGCACCCATGCATGCAAAAAACATTTGGACCAGCCCTAGCCAGAGGGAAATTGCCCATCTCAGTGGTTGCAACTTGAGTTTCTCTGGGGTCCTAGATAAACTTGAGAGGCAGTCTAGGACACAAGGACTGCAATTCCTAGGCAATTCCTAGTGTGAGGCTGGGCTTAGAGGTGGGCTAGCTTAGCTGTGTAGAATAGAACATCAGGGCAACTGCTAAAATTTTTTACTGTAATCCCTGGCTCCCAGACAACATCTCTGGACACACTTGGGACCTGGTGGAACTCGCTGCCCTGAAGGGAAAGGTCTTGGGCAAGACCCAGTGCTGACCGGGCATGGTGGTTCACGCCTGTAATCCCAACACTTTGGGAGGCCAAGGCGGGCCGATCACTTGAGGTCAGGAGTTCGAGACCAGCCTGGCCAATATGGTGAAACCTCATCTCTAATAAAAATACAAACAAATTAGCTAAGCATGGTGGCGGTTGCCTGTAATCCCAGCTACTCAGGAAGCTGAGGCAGAGAATTGCTTGAACCCGGGAAACGGAGGTTGCAATGAGCCAAGATCATGCCACTGCACTCCACCCTGGGCGACTGAGCGAGACTCCATCTCAAAAAAAAATAAATAAATAAAAATAAATTAAAAAAAAAAATCAGGCGGGGCGCGATGGCTCATGCCTGTAATCCTAGCACTTTGGGAGGCCAAGGTGGGCGGATCACTAGGTCAGGAAATCAAGACCATCCTGGCTAACACGGTGAAACCCTGTCTCTACTAAAAATACAAAAAATTGTCCAGGCGAGGTGGCGGGCGCCTGTAGTCCCAGCTACTTGGGAGGTTGAGGCAGCAGAATGGCATGAACCCAGGAGGCGGAGCTTGCAGTGAGCCGAGATTGCGCCACTGCACTCCAGCCTGGGCGACAGAGCGAGACTCTGTCTCAAAAAAAAAAAAAAAACTCGGCGCTGTGCTGGCTTCAAGTCTAACCCAGTGCAGTCCCAGTGGTGAGGCCACAGATGCTTGCAGCACCACACTGCCACCTACAGGTGGCTCAGGACAGAGAGAGAAAGAGACTTCATTTGTTTGGGAGAAGTAAGGGAAGAACAAGATTCTCTGCCTGGTAATCTAGAGTATTTTTCCAGATCTTAGCCAAGACTACTAAGGCAGTACTTCTGAGTCTGCAAAAACCACAGCCTCATTGGGCTTCGGGCCCAAGTCCCAAAGCCAGACTGTGAAGACTACAATAAATACCTAACTCTTCAATGCCCAGACACTGACAAATATCTACAAGCATCATTTCCATTCAGAAAAATATGACCTCACCAAACAAACTAAACAAGGCACCAAGGGCCAATCCTGGAGGAACAGAGATATCTCTGACCTTTTAGACAGAAAATTCAAAATAGCTGTTTTGAGAAAACTCAAATTCAAGACAAAAGACAAAAGAAGAATAAAAAATGAAGCACACAGGATCTACAAAATAACCTCAAAAGGGGAAAATCTAAGAGTTATTGGCCTGAAAGAGGAGGTAGAGAAAGAGATAAAGATAGAAAATTTTTCAGAATAAGCCATCTAAAAAATGTAAAAGAAAACAAAAATATGGCCGGGTGCGGTGGCTCACGCCTGTAATCCCAGCACTTTGGGAAGCCGAGGCGGGCAGATCACGAGGTCAGGAGATTGAGACCATCCTGACTAACACGGTGAAACCCCGTCTCTACTAAACATACAAAAAATTACCCGGGCGTGGTGGCGGGCGCCGGTAGTCCCAGCTACTCGGGAGGCTGAGGTAGGAGAATGGCGGGAACCCGGGAGGCGGAGCTTGCAGTGAGCCGAGATTGGGCCACTGCACTCCAGCCTGGGCAACAGAGACTCCGTCTCAAAAAAAAAAAAAAAGAAGAAAAAGAAAACTTACTCAAAGGAAGAGAGAATATCAGAGAACGTTCCAAACCTAGAAAAAAAAATCAATATTCAACTACAAGAAGGTTATAGAACACCGAGCAGATTTAACCCAAATAAGACTACTACTAATAATCAAACTCCCAAAGGTCAAGGTTAAAGAGAGGGCCCTAAAAGCGGCAACAGAAAAAAAAAAAAAAAATACCACACAAGGGAGCTCCAATACGTCTGGCGGCAGACTTTTCAGTGGAAACCTTACAGGCAAGGAGAGAATGGCATGACATATTTAAAGTGTTCCTTGTCATCCCATTCTTTCCTTGCTTGTAAGGTTTCCATTGAAAAGAAAGAAAGACCTTCCCAGGCAAACAAAAGCTGGGGGATTTCATCAACACCAGACCTGTCCTACAAGAAATACTAAAGGGCGCTCCTCAATCTGAAAGAAAAGAATGTTGATGAGAAAAAAGAAATCATGTGGGCCAGGTGCAGTGGCTCATGCTTGTAATCCCAGCACTTTGGGAGGCCAAGGTGGGCAGATTACCTGAGGTCAGGAGTTTGAGACCAGCCTGGTCTACATGGTGAAACCCCGTCTCTACTAAAAATACAAAAAGTAGCTGGGTGTGGTGGCGGGTGCCTGTAATCCCAGATACTCAGGAGGTTAAGGTAGGAGAATCACTTGAACCCAGGAGTTGAAGGTTGCAGTGAGCCGAGATCGCACCACTGCACTCCAGACTGGGCGACAGAGACTGTCTCAAAAAAAAAAAAAAAAAAAGGAAAAAGAAATCATCTGAAGGTACAGAACTCACTGGTAATAGTAAGCACACACACAAAAAGCAGAGACACATTTAACAAAGAGACACATTTAACTTATAAAGATGCACATAGACTTAACATAAAGGTGAGAGGTGACAGCGTGCTGGCAGTCCTCACAGCTCTTGCTCGCTCTCGGCGCCTCCTCTGCCTGGGCTCCCACTTTGGCGGCACTTGAGGAGCGCTTCAGCCTGCCGCTGCACTGTGGGAGCCCCTTTCTGGGCTGGCCAAGGCCGGAGCCGGCTCCCTCAGCTTGCAGGGAGGTGTGGAGGGAGAGGCGCGAGCGGGAACCGGGGCTGCGTGCGGCGCTTGCGGGCCAGCTGGAGTTCCGGGTGGGCGAGGGTTTGGCGGGCCCCGCACTCGAAGCAGCCAGCCGGCCCTGCCGACCCCAGGTAATGAGGGGCTTAGCACTCGGGCCAGCGGCTGCGGAGGGTGTACTGGGTCCCCCAGCAGTGCCAGCCCACCGGCGCTGCGCTCGATTTCTCGCCGGGCCTTAGCTGCCTTCCCGCGGGGCAGGGTTCGGGACCTGCAGCTCGCCATGCCTGAGCCTCCCACCCGCTCCGTGGGCTCCTGTGCCGCCCGAGCCTCCCTGATGAGCACCGCCCCCTGCTCCATGGCGCCCAGTCCCATCGACCACCCAAGAGCTGAGGAGTGCGGGCGCAGGGCGCAGGACTGGCAGGCAGCTCCACCTGCAGCCCCTGGGCCGGATCCACTGAGTGAAGCCAGCTGGGCTCCTGAGTCTGGTGGGGAGGTGCAGAACCTTTATGTCTAGCTCAGGGATTGTAAATACACCAATCAGCACCCTGTGTCTAGCTCAGGGTTTGTGAGTGCACCAATCCACACTCTGTATCTAGCTACTCTGGTGGGGCCTTGGAGAACCTTTATGTCTAGCTCAGGGATTGTAAATACACCAGTCGGCACTCTGTATCTAGTCAAGGTTTGTAAACACACCAATCAGCACCCTGTGTCTAGCTCAGGGTTTGTGAATGCACCAATCGACACTCTGTATCTAGCTAATCTGGTGGGGATGTGGAGAACCTTTGTGTCTAGCTCAGGGATTGTAAACGCACCAATCAGCACCCTGTCAAAACAGACCACTTGGCTCTACCAATCAGCAGGGTGTGGGTGGGGCCAGATAAGAGAATAAAAGCAGGCTGCCTGAGCCAGCAGTGGCAACCTGCTCGGGTCCCTTTCCACATGGTGGATGTTTGTTCTTTTTGCTCTTTGCGATAAATTTTGCTACTGCTCAGTGTTTGGGTCCACACTGCTTTTATGAGCTGTAACACTCACCGTGAAGGTCTGCAGCTTCACTCCTGAGCCAGTGAGACCACGAACCCACCAAAAGGAAGAAACTCCGAACACATCCGAACATCAGAGGGAACAAACTCCAGACGCGCCACATTAAGAGCTGTAACACTCACTGCGAGGATCTGTGGCTTCATTCTTGAAGTCAGTGAGACCAAGAACCCACCAATTCCGGACACAAAGGGATGGAAAAAGATATTCCATGCTAATGGAAACCAAAAGAGAACAGGAGTTGCTATACTTATATCAGACAAAATAGATTTCAAGATTGTAATGGTGGTATGTAGACTACTCTTGTCTTAAGTAGAAAGACTAATGACCCAGGCTAGGTGGTTCATGGCTGTAATACCAGCACTTTGGGAGGCGGAGGCGGGTGGATAACCTGAGGTCAGGAGTGCAAGGCCACGCAGGTCAACATGGGAAAACCTGTCTCTACTAAAAATACAAAAAAGTAGCCAGGCGTGGTGGTGGGCTCCTGTAATCCCAGCTACCCAGGAAGCTCAGGCAGGAGAATTGCTTGGACCCAGGAGGAAGAGGTTGCAGTGAGCTGATTTTGTGCCATTGTACTCCAGCCTGGTAATAAGAGTGAAACAGACTAAATAACCAATCAAAAATAACTTTTCTTTTTTTTTCTTGTCTTTCTTTCTTTTTTTTTTTTTTTGACATGGAGTCTCACTCTGTCACCCAGGCAGGAATGCAGTGGCGCGAACTCAGCTCACTGCAACCTCTGCCTCCCAGGTTCAAGCTATTCTCTGCCTCAGCCTCCCAAGTAGCTGAGATTACAGGCACCCACCACCACACGTGGCTAATTTTTGTATTTTTAGTAGAGATGAGATTTCACCATCTTGGCCAGGCTGGTCTTGAACTCCTGACCTCGTGATCCACCCACCTTGGCTTCCCAAAATGCTGGGATTACAGGTGTGAACCACCATGCCTGGCCTTAACTACAACTTTTCAAGACATGGATAGTACAATGAGACAAAGAGAAACAAAAAGTTAAAAAGCAGGGAAATTACTTTCTTTTTGTGTGTTTGTATATGCAATCAATGTTGTCATCAACTTAAAATAATGAGTTGTAAGACAGTATTTGCAAGCCACATAGTAACCTCAGATAGAAAAACATACAATTGATACATGAGACATAAAAAGCAAGAAATTAAAGCATACCACCAGAGAAAATTACCTTCGCTAAAAGGAAGACAGGAAGTTAGGAAAAAAGGAAGAGAAGATCACAAAACAACCAGAAAACAAAGGTAAGAGTAAGTCCCTACTTACCAATAACATTGAATGTAAATGGACTAAACACTCCAATCAAAAGACACAGAGTGGCTGAATGGATAAAAAAACAAGACTCAATGATCTCTTGTGTACAAGAGACACATTTAACTTATAAAGATGCACATAGACTTAACACAAAGGGATGGAAAAAGATATTCCATGCTAATGGAAACCAAAAGAGAACAAGTCACTATACTTACATCAGACAAAATAGATTTCAAGACAAAAACTGTAAGAATAGATAAAGAAGGTCATTATATAATGATAAAGGTGCCAATTCAGCAAGAGGAGATAATGATTATTAGTATGTATGCACCCAACACTAAAGCACTCAGATTTAAAAAAAGGAAATATTATTAGAGCAAAAGAGAGAGATAGACCTGAATACAATAATAGCTGGACACCTTAACACCCAACTTTCAGCATTGGACAGATCTCCTAGACTCTTTTTCTCCCAGACAGAACATCAACAAAGAAACATTGGACTTAATGTGCACTATAGAAAAAATGGACCTAATAGATATTTATAGAACATTTCATCCAATGGCTGCAGAATACACATTCTTCTCCTCAGCACATGGATCATTCTGAAGGATAGACCGTATGTTAAAACACAAAACAAGTCTTAAAACATTCAAAAAATTGAAATAATATCAAGCAGCTTCTCTGACCACATTGGAATAAAACTAGAACTCAATAACAACAGGAATTTTGGAAAATATACACACACATTGAAATTAAACAATATGCTCCTGACAGTGGGTCAATGCAAAAATTAAGAAGGAAATTGAAAAATTTATTGAAAAGAATGATAATGGAAACATAACATACCAAAACCTATGGGATACAGTAAAAGCAGTACTAAGAGGGAAATGTATAGCTATAAGTGCCTACATCAAAAAATAACAAAAACTTCAAGTAAATAACCTGATGATACATCTTAAAGAACTGGAAAAGTAATGTCCAGGCACGGTGGCCTGTAATCACAGCACTTTGGGAGGTCAAGGCAGGTGGATCACCTGAGGTCAAGGGTCAAGACCAGCCTGGCTAACATCGTGAAACCCCATGTCTACTAAAAATACAAAAATTAGCTGGGCATGATAGCATATGCCTGTAATCCCAGCTACTCGGGAGGCTGAGGCAGGAGAATCCCTTGAACCCGGGAGGCAGAGGTTGCAGTGAGCCGAGATTGTGCCGCTGCACTCCAGCCTGGGCAAAAGAGCAAGACTCTGTCTCAAAAAAAAAAAAAAAAAAAAAGACACTGGAAAAGTAAGAGCAAACTGAACCCACAATTAGGAAAAGAAAATAAATAATAAGTATCAGAGCAGATATAAATGAATTTGAAATGAAAACAATACAAAAATCAACAAAACAAAAAGTTGTTTTTTTTTTTTGAAAAGATAAAACTGACAAACCTTTAGCCAGACTAAGAAAAAAAGAGAGAAGGCCGGGCACAGTGGCTCATGTCTGTAATCCTAGCACTTTGGGAAGCCAAGGTGGGCGGATCACGAGGTCAGGAGATTGAGACCATCCTGGCTAACACGGTGAAACCCCGTTTCTACTAAAAATACAAAAAAAATTAGCCAGGCGTGGTGGGGGGCACCTGTAGTCCCAGCTACACAGGAGGCTGAGGCAGGAGAATGGCGTGAACCCGGGAGACACAGTTTGCAGTGAGCCGAAATCGCACCACTGCACTCCAGCCTGGGCGATAGAGTGAGACCCCATCTAAAAAAAAAAAAAAAAAGAAAAAGAAAAAAAAAGAGAGAAGAACCAGGTAAGTAAAATCAGAGATGAAAAAGGAGACATTACAACTGATACAGAAGAAATTCAAAGGATTGTTAGTGGCTTCTATGAACAACTATATGCCAATACATTGGAAAATCTGGAAGAAACAAATACATTCCTAGACACATACCACTTATCAAGATTGAACCATGAAGAAACTCAAAACCTGAACAAACCAATCACAAGTAATGAGATCAAAGCCATAATAAAAATTCTCCCAGCAAAGAAATGCCTGGGGCCCAATGGCTTCACTGCTGAGTTTTACCAAACATTTAAATAAGAATTAATACTAATCTTACTCAAACTATTCCAAAAAATAAAGCACGAGGGAATACTTCCAAACTCATCCTACTGCCGGGCACAGTGGTTCACACTTGTAATCCCAGCACTTTGGGAGGCTGAGGCAGGTGGATCACCTGAGGTCAAGAGTTCAAGACCAGCCTGGCCAACATGGGGAAACCCCATCTCTACTAAAAATACAAAAATTAGCCAGGTGTGGTGACACATGCCTGTAATCTCAGCTACTCAAGTCATCTACCCGCCTCAGCTCCCCAAAGTGCTGGGATTACAAGTGTGAACCACTGTGCCCGGCCTAACACCTGGTGTTTTGATAACACCTTTTCTCTAAGATCTAGAACAAGGCAAGCATGCCCACTTTCAGCACTGTTATTCAACATAGCACTGGAAGTCCTAGCTATAGCAATCAGAAAAAAGAAAGAAATAAAGGGAACCCAAAATTGAAAAGGAAGAAGTCAAATTATTCTGTTTGCAGATGATAGGCTTTTATATTTAGAAAAACCTAAAGACTCCACCAAAAAACTCAAATTCAGTAAAGATAAACAAATTCAGTAAAGTTGCAGGATACAAAATCAACATACGAAAAGCATCAGCATTTCTTTCTCTTTTTTTGAGATGGAATCTCGCTCTGTCACCCAGGCTGGAGGGCAGTGGCGCGATCTCGGCTCACTGCAACCACTGCCTCCTGGGTTCAAGTGATTCTCCAGCCTCAGCCTCCCAAATAGCTGGGATAACAGGCATGTGCCACTACACCCAAATAATTTTTGTATTTATTTATTTATTTTTGAGATGGAGTCTTGCTCTGTCGCCCGGGCTGGAGTGCAGTGGTGCAATCTCAGCTCACTGCAACCTCTGCCTCCTGGGTTCAAGTGATTCTGCTGCCTCAGCCTCCCGAGTAGCTGGGACTACAGGCGTGTGCCACCATGCCTGGCTAATTCTTTTGTGTTTTTAATAGAGACAGGGTTTCACCATGTTGGTCAGGCTAGTCTCAAACTCCTGACCTCATGATCCGCCCACCTTGGCCTCCCAAAGTTCTGGGATTACAGGCATGAGCCATTGTGCCCGGCCAAGCAGCAACATTTCTATATGCCAACAATGAGCATCTGAAAAATAAATCAAGAAAGTAATCCCATTTACAATAGCTACAAATAAAATAAAATACCTAGGAATAAACTTAACCAAAGAAGTGAAAAATCTCTGCAATGAAAACTATAAAACACTGACACGGCCGGGCGTGGTGGCTCACGCCTGTAATCCCAGCACTTTGGGAGGCCGAGGCAGGTGGATCATGAGGTCAGGAGATCGAGACCATCCTGGCCAACATGGTGAAACCCCGTCTCTACTAAAAATACAAAAATCAGCTGGATGTGGTGGTGTGCACCTGTAGTCCCAGCTACTCAGGAGGCTGAGGCAGAAGAATGGCGTGAACCCGGGAGGCGGAGTTTGCAGTGAATGGAGATCATGCCACTGCACTCCAGCCTGGGCGATGGAGTGAGATTCCGTCTCAAAAAAAAAAAAAAAAAACTGATACAAGAAATTTAAAAGGACACATAAAAAGGAAAGCTATTCCATGTTCATGGATTGGAAGAATAAATATTGTTAAGATGTCCATACCATCCAAAGCAATCTACAGATTCAATGCAATCACTATCAAAATGCCAATGACATTCTTCACAGAAATAGAAAAAACAAACTTAAAATGTATATGGAACCAGAAAAGATCCAGAATAACCAAAGCTATCCTGAGTAAAAAGAATAAAACTGGAGGAATCACATTTTCTGACTTCAAATTATATTACAGAGCTATAATATTGAAAACAGCATGGTAGTGGCATAAAAATAGACACATAGACCAATGGAACAGAATAGAGAACTCAGAAATAAATCCATACATTTACAATGAACTCATTTTGACAAAGCTGCCAAGAACATATACTGGAAAACGGACACTCTCTTCAATAAAAGGGGTGGGGAAAACTGTATATCCATATGTATGAGAATGAAACTAGACCCCTATCTCTCACCATATACAAAAATCAAATCAAAATGGATTAAAGATTTAAATCTAAGACCTCAAACTTTGAAACTATTAAAACAGGTACCTAAGCAAAAATGGACAAATGGGATCACATCAAATTAAAAAACTTCTGCACAGCAAAGGAAACAATCAACAAAGTGTCAAGAGACAACCCACGGAATGGGTGAAAATATTTGCAAACTATCCATCTGACAAGGGATTAATAACCAGAATATAGGCTGGGTGTGGTGGCTCATGCCTGTAATGCCAGCGCATGGGGAGGCTGAGGCAGGTGGATCACTTGAGGTCAGGAGTTTAAGACCAGCCTGGCCAACATGATGGAACCCCATTTCTACAAAAAAAAAAAAAAAAAAAAATTAGCTGAGTGTGGTGGTGTGCACCTGTAATCCCAGCTACTTGGGAAGCTGAGGCAGGGAAATTGCTTGAGGCTGGGAGGTGGAGGTTGCAGTGAGCCAAGATCATGCCACTGCACTCCAGTCTGGCCAACAGAGCGAGACTCTGTCTCAAATAATAATAATAATAATAATAATAATAATAATAATAATAACCAGGCTGGGCACAGTGGCTCATGCCTGTAATCCCAGCACTTTGGGAGGCTGAGGCAGGTGGATCACAAGGTCAGGAGATCAAGAATATCCTGGCTGACACGGTGAAACCCTCTCTACTAAAAATACAAAAAAATAGCTAGGCCTGGTGGCATGCACCTGTAGTCCCAGCTACTTGGGAGGATGAGGCAGGAGAATCACTTGAACTCAGGAGGTGGAGGTTGCAGTGAGCCGAGATTGCACCACTGCACTCCAGCCTGGGCAACAGAGCAAGACTCCATCTCAATAATAATAATAATAACCAGAATATATTAGGAGCTGAAACAACTCAATAGACAAGACATCTAATAATCCAATTAAAAATGGGCAAAAAATCTGAATAGGCATTTCTCAAAAGACATACAAATGGCAAACAGGCATATGAAAAAGTACTCAACATCATTGACCATCAGAGAAATGCAAATCAAAACTGCAATAAGAATCATATCACCTCAGTTAAAATGGCTTTTATCTAAAAGACAGGCATGAATGCTGGCAAGGATCTGGAGAAAAGGGAACCCTTGTACACTGTTGGTGGGAATGAAAGTTAGTATAACTACTATGTACAACACTTCGGAGGTTCCTTAAAAAACTAAAAATAGGCCGGGTGCAGTGGCTCACGCCTGTAATCCCAGCACTTTGGGAGGTCGAGTCAGGCGGATCATGAGGTCAAGAGATCGAGAACATCCTGGCCAACATGGTGAAACCGCATCTGTACTAAAAATACAAAAATTAGCTGGGCGTGGTGGTGCGCACCCGTAGTCTCAGCTACTTGGGAGGCTGAAGCAGAAGAATCGCTTGAACATGGGAGGTAGAGGTTGCAGTGAGCCGAGATCACGTTACTGCATTCCAGCCTGGTGACAGAGTGAGACTCCATCTCAAAAAAAAAAAAACACCAAAAAACTAAAAATAGAGCTATCATATGATCAAGCAATCCTACAGCTAGGGGTATACCCAATAGAAAGAAAATCAGTGTATCAAAGAGGTATCGGCACTTCCATGTTTATTGCAGCACTGTTCACAATAGACAATATTTGGAAGGAACCTAAGTGCCCATCAACAGACGAACGGATAAAGAAAATGTGGTACATACACACAATGGAGTACTATTCGGCCAAAAGGAAGAATGAGATCCTGTCATTTGCAACAACATAGATGGAACTGGAGGTCATTACAGTAAATGAAATATGCCAGACACAGAAGGGCAAACTTTACATGTTCTCACTTATTTGTGGGAGCTAAAAATTTAAATAATTGAGGCCCGGAGCGGTAGCTCATGCCTGTAATCCCAGCACTTTAGGAGACCGAGGCAGGTGGATCACGAGGTCAAGAAATCGAGACCATCCTGGCCAACATGGTGAAACCCCGTCTCTACTAAAAGTACAAAAAATTAGCTGGGTGTGGTGGCTGGTGCCTACAGTCCTAGCTACTTGGGAGGCTGAGACAGGAGAATTGCTTGCACCTGGGAGGTGGAGGTTGCAGTGAGCCAAGATCATGCCACTGCACTCCAGCCTGGCAACAGAGTGAGACTCTGTCTCAAAAAATAAAAAATTAATTAATTAAATAAAATTTAAATAATTGAACTCATGGAAAAAGACAATAGAATGGTGGTTACCAGTGACTGGGAGGGTAATGGGGATGGAGGCGAGTGTGGATAGTGAAGAAGCACAAAAATACAGTTAGATAGAATGAATAAAATCTAGTATATGATAACATAAGGTGATTAAAAATTTTTAAAAATAATTATATGTGATACTAAGTTTAGCATAAAAACAGATTTTAGACAGAATCAGTTTATATATCATGAAATCTTTGTACTTAGCCATGGACAACAATATTTTCCATCTTAGTCCATTTTCTGTTGCTTGTAACAGAATACCTAAAACTCAAGTCATTTATAAAGAAACAAAAATGTATTTCTTACAGTTCTGGAGGCTGAGAAGTCCAAGGTTGATGAGACACATCTGATGAGGGCCTTCTTGCTGATAGGGACTCTGATGGGGTGCCTGTTGGCAGAGGGCACCACAGGTCGAGGGAGCTGAGAGTGTTAGCTCAAGTCTCTTTTCCTCTTTTTTTTTTTCTTTTTTTGTGGGGGACAGGGTCTCACTCTCATCTAAGCTGGAGTGCAGCGGCATCATCTTGGCTCACTGCACCCTCTGCCTCCTGGGCTCAAGTGATATCCCCACTTTAGCCTCCCAAGAAGCTGGGACCACAGGTATGCACCACCATGCCCTGCTAATTTTTGTATTTTTTGTGCAGATGGGATTTTGCCATGTTGCCCAGGCTAGTTTCAAACTCCTGAGCTCAAGAGATCCCCCAACCCGTTCCTCGGCCTCCCACAATGGTGGGATTACAGGTGTGAACCACCGTACCTGGCTCTCTCATCCTTTTTTTTTCTTGAAATGGAGTCTTGCTCTTGTCGTTCAGGCTGGAGTGCAGTGGTGTGATCTCAGCTCACTGCAACCTCCACCTCCGGGGTTCAAGCAATTCTTTTCCCTCAGCCTCCTGAGTAGCTGGTACTGCAGGCAGGTGCCACCACATCCAGCTAATTTTTGTATTTTTATTAGAGATGGGGTTTCACCATGTTGGTCAGGCTGGTCTCAAACTCCTGACTTCATGTGACCTGCCCACCTCAGCCTCCCAAAGTGCTGGGATTACAGGTGTGAGGCACTGCACCTGGCCAGCCTCTCTTCCTCTTCTGAAACAGCCACCAGTCCCACTCCCATAGTAACACATTAATCCATTTCATGAGGGTACAGCCCTCATGACTGAATCAGCTCTTAAAGGCCCCACATTTCAATATTGGCGGACTGGGGATTAAGTCTCAAGAGTTTTGGAGGGGACAAAACATTCAAATCATAGCAATTGCTTTCTCATAACATTGATTCCTGCAATAATGCTCTTATGGTAATGTGAATGTCAGTTGTGTTTACAATAAAGTATATGGATAAATGTGTTAAGGTTTCATTAATAACAATTAATAAAATGCTGTGATGGTGTTTATGTTACACTAGATAAGAATTGCTATGTAGAAGTCTCTTGTGTTTGGTTAGTGCCAGTCTGAACACCTTACAGAGCTCCAGTAAAGTTTGACCCAGGAAAATATTTTAGACAGAATCTGCTTATGCATTGTGAAATCTGTGTATTTACCCATAGACAACTGTGGTGGCAAACCTCAGCGATCTCAGTTCACTGCAACCTCTGCCTCCCGAGTTCAATCGATTCTCCTGCCTCAGCCTCCTGAGCAACTGGGACGTAGGCGCGCACCACCACGCCCGGCTAATTTTTGTATTTTTAGTAGAGACGGGGTTTCACCATGTTGGTCAGGCTGGTCTCAAACGCCTGAACTCGTGATCCGCCCGCCTTGGCCTCCCAAAGTGCTGGGATTACAGGCGTGAGCCACTGCGCCCAGCCATTTCCTGGGGATTAAAATATCTTACATCATGATTTTTTCCCTAAATATTTCTGGTGAAATATTTTTAAAGGAGTGAAATGTATATTTTTGCCACTTGGGATTTATTCTGTCATTCAGTCTAAAAACCTTCTTCAGCTGTGAGTGTAATTAATCTCAGCTATAGGTCCTACCAGGCTCAGTCTGATTTGTTATTTACGTTCCTTTTTCTTTTTTTTTGGAGATGGAGTCTCACTCTGTCACCCAGGCTGGAGTGCAGTGGCGCCATCTCAGCTCACTGCAACCTCCGCCTCCCAGGTTCAAGCAATTCTCCTGCCTCAGCCTCCCAAGTAGCTGGGATTACAGGCATGTGCCAACACGTCCAGCTAATTTTTGTATTTTTAGTAGAGATGGGGTTTCACCATGTTGGCCAGGCTGGTCTTGAACTCCCGACCTCAAGTGATGAAGCACAAAAATACAGTTAGATAGAATGAATAAAATCTAGTATAGGATAACATAAGGTGATTAAAAATTTTTAAAAATAATTATATGTGATACTAAGTTTAGCATAAAAACAGATTTTAGACAGAATCAGTTTATATATCATGAAATCTTTGTACCTCGGCCTCCCAAAGTGCTGGGATTACAGGCATGAGCCACCGTGCCCAGCCTTACTGTTGCTTTTCACAAACTTTAGAACTGAAGAAAATTTTAGGCCAGCTGTGGTGGCTCACACCTGTAATCCCAGCACTTTAGGAGGCCAGTGTGGGTGGATTACTTGAGCCAGGAGTTTGAGACCATCTTGGGCAACATGTTGAAATCACATCTCCACAAAAATTAGCTGGGGGTGGTAGTGTGCATCTGTAGTCCCAGCCATTCGAGAGGCTGATATGGTAGGATCGCTTGAGCCCAGAGAGGTCAAGGCTGCAGTAAGCCATGATCGTGATACTGCACTCCAGCCTGAGTGACAGAGAGAGACCCTGTCTAAAAAAAAGAAAGAAAAAATTTTAGAAGCAAACATATTAATGCTGGAATCAATCTCTTGCCCCACAAGTATTTTTTATTTGTGGAGCAATCACCTTCAAACTCTTGTTCTTCAAGTCTGATCTGGATCTTTGGGGCTGAGCTCTGTTATGAAGTCATGTTCTAAGAAACAGTAATAATCTCACTTTCTTATTGACCAAAAAAGACATATATATTTGAGACTGGGCACAATGACTCAGGCCTGTAATTCCAGCCCTTTGGGAGGCTGAGGCGAGAAGATCATTTGAGCTCAGGAGTTTGAGACCAGCCTGGGCAACATAGTGAGACTTGGCCTCTCAAACAAACAAACAAAAAAAGACATAAATATTAAAAAAAAAAAAAAAAACAAAAAAAAAAAAACAGATTAGGAGAAGAATGAGTGATAAACAACATTACTTAGAAACAAATATATGGGGCCAGGCATGGTGGCTCACGCCTGTAATCCCTGCACTTTGGGATACAGAGGCAGATGGATTACCTCAAAAAAAAAAAGAAAGAAAGAAAAGAAAAGAAATATATCATAAGTACTTGTTAAAAGAATGAAAATAGGCTGGGCACAGTGGCTCATGCCTGTAATCCCAGCACTCTGGGAGGCCGAGGTGGATGAATCACCTGAGGTCAGGAGTTTGAAACCAGCCTGGCCAACATGGTGAAACCCTGTCTCTACCAAAAATACACAAATTAGCTGGGTGTGGAGGTGCACGCCTGTAATCCTAGCTACTCAGGAGGCTGAGGCAAGATAATCGCTTCAACCTGGGAGGCGAAGGTTTTGGTGAGCCGAGATAGGCCACTGCACTCCAGCCTGGGTGACACAGCAAGACTTCCGTCTCAAAAAAAAAAGAATGAAAATAAATGAGCTAGGTACCTACCATCACAAGAAGTTAGAAAAAGAATAGCAAACTGGGTGCAGTGACCGACACCTATAATCCCAGCAATTTGGGAAGCTGAGATGGGAGGATCTCTTGAGCCCAGGAGTCCGAGACCAGCCTGGGCAACATAGTGAGACCACATCTCAAAAACAAGAAAAATTTTTATTTTTTAATTTTTAGATGGGGGTTTCACTCTTGTTGCCCAGGCTGGAGTGCAATGGTGCGATCTCGGCTCCCTGCAACCTCTGTCTCCCGGGTTGAAGCAATTCTCCTGCATCAGCCTCCCAAGTAGCTGGGATTACAGGCATGTGCCACCATGACTGGCTAATTTTGTATTTTTAGTAGAGACACGGTTTCTCCATGTTGGTCAGGTTGGTCTCAAACTTTCGACCTCAGGTGATCTGCCCACTTCAGCCTCCCGAAGGGTTGGCATTACAGGCATGAGCCACCATGCCCAGCCAAGAAAAAAAAATTTTTTAGAGATAGGGTCTTGCTATGTTGTGTAGGCTGGATTTGAATTCTTGGCCTGAAGCACCCTGCTTGAACTCGGCCTAATCTCAGTTTTGAATAGGTAGGTGTCTCCAGAGGAAGGTTTCTTTGGTATATCTTCAAAGGTCTATTGGATAAATGCTAAAATATTCTTTATAAAGAAACACTACTCACAAAAGATTTAAAGTAATAAACTTATTTTAATAGTGCAAAATGTAATCTGCTTTCCAACCAATGAAAGAAAAACTTTCAAAAAATTTATGAAACTAGTCAATACCTTGAACAAAGAAAAACACAAATAACTAAGTAAATATTACAATTGTGTACTCCAAACCCAAAAAAGCAGAGACCGTCATTACAAGCCAAATCTTTTTTAGAGTTGGTTGTTGCAGGTTACTAAAATGCGTAAAACAAAATCTCTACTTTTCAGACTTACAGAAAAGAAATAACTCCAATAAGAAAGCTAACTTAAGTTTCATGGGAAACAGATCATATTGATGACTTTAAAATGTTTTTCAAGGAGTTTACGGAACAGAACATCTATATCTTGATTTTTATGGCAAATGAGGTTTGTCTTGACTTTTGAAGCTTATGTGTCTTTTGACGTATAGCTCAGAAGTAAAAACCAATCAAGAGGGACAATAACATTCAGGGGATCCACAGGACTTTAACCTGATCCAAAAATATAAAGCAAAATTTTGAGACAAATTAGCTTAAAAATGCAAATGTATTTTGGTTTATAATTAAATATAAAACAAAAATTATCACAATTAGGATTTGAATGAAGTTTGAGTAAATTTTTTTGTCTACTTCATACATAATATTGGTCATTTAATAATATGTATGACAAGGGTATGGCATCAGAAAACAATACTTACAGCAAGTCTATTATTACTGCTAGAAATTGATGAAACTAGTGTTTTGGATGTGACATTGTTTGACGTGTCACTATTTAATAAAAGAAAATAGAAAATTTTGCTGTAAAACATTCTTCAGAAAATTGGGAACTGCCTAGACAGATGAGTATCTATATACCTCAATGAATTTCTATGTACATCTCCTTACTACATCACAAACACAAAAACAACATTAATATATTTACATATATGTACTAGACAAAAATGAATTAACTTTCCCTAGAAAAACTATACTTATTAAGAAAACATTGCTGGGTGTGGTGGCTCACACCTGTAATCCCAGCACTTTGAAGCCGAGGCAGGCGGATCACGAGGTCAGGAGATCGAGACCATCCTGGCTAACATCGTGAAACCCCATTTCTACTAAAAAGACAAAAAATTAGCCCGGCATGGTGGTGGGCACCTGTAGTCCCAGCTACTCGGGAGGCTGAGGCAGGAGAATGGCGTGAACCCAGGAGGCGGAGCTTGCAGTGAGCTGAGATCATGCCACTGCACTCCAGCCTGGGCGACAGAGCAAGACTCCGTCTCAAAAAAAAAGAAAAAGAAAACATAATAGACACCATAGAATAAAAAGCAAGGCCTTCAAAAAAAGATGGCAACCATTTCAATAGCTGAGTGCTATTGCTTTCTCTCTTTTTGTTTTTTTGAGACAGGGTCTTGCTCTGTTGCCTAGGCTGGAGTGCAGTGGAATGGTCTCGGCTTACTGCAACCTCTGCCTCCTGGGCTCAAGTGATCCTCCTGCCTTAAGCTCCTAAGTAGCTGGGACCACAGGCGCAAGCCACCATGACTGGCTAACTTTCGTATTTTTTGTAGAGGTGGGGTTTTGCCATGTTGCCCAGGCTGGTCTTGAATTCCTGGACTCAGGCTATTCACCCATTTTGGCCTCCCAAACTGCTGGTATTACAGGTGTGAGCCACCGCACCCAGCCCTACTTTCTCTTAATAGCATTTTAGTAACGGAGAAAAAGGATAATAGTTTGTAGACAGATACATTTCTACTCCAGAAATATCTGCTAGGCAGAAGCCAGGCAACCTAAAAAATCATAGCTCTATCTAGTTATGGGAAAATGGCTAATGTTCTTGTCAGTGATAACACTTCTTATACTTAAGTTAATCCTTAGGGCTTGTACTAAAGCAGAAAGCACTAGTTTAGTTAGGAGACATTTTTCCTAAGTGTCCTATTACTTAAACCTTTGGTACAAAGATGAGTAAGTTGATAGTAGGCTATGAGGCCTACCATCCAGACTTCATCACCATCATTCTGCAGAGATATAAAAAACATACAGATTAACTATAACATCATCAGAAGGAATTTTACTCAGCTTGTAATGACGTAAAAACAAAGGCTGAACAGCAATGGGACCCTGAAATAATATCAAGTACATTCTGCTTGGTTGTTCCAATGGTGGTCCAAGGGTCTAGTGGTAGAAATGGCAGTCCTGAAACAGATCTTGGTAAATTTGCTTGACTACATTCTTCAGGTAGTTGTTCTCCAGTGGCACTTTAGATAGAATGGTAGCAATATCATCTTGGCTGGAAAGAACAAAGGTTAATCAATTTTCTTTTTTGCGACGGAGTCTCGCTCTGTCGCCCAGGCTGGAGTGCAGTGGCGCAATCCGCTCACTGCAAGCTCCACCTCCCGGGTTCATGCCATTCTCCTGCCTCAGCCTCCCGAGTAGCTGGGACTACAGGCGCCTGCCACCACGCCCGGCTAATTTTTGTATTTTTAGTAGAGATGGGGTTTCACTGTGTTACTCAGGATGGTCTCGATCTCCTGGCCTTGTGATCCACCCACCTCGGCCTCCCAAAGTGCTGGGATTACAGGCGTGAGCCACCGCGCCCAGCCAGGTTAATCAATTTTTTAAAAAATCTTACACTTGTCTCTAATTCAGTGGAATTTATGTTCTTGGTCTCTCAGTTTCCTAGGAAGCACAAATGAGCATTTCTGGAAATAACCAGATATCCAGTTTGAAATGGGATTCCAAAACAGGGCCTAAGAACCAATTCTATATGTAATTGTGAAGTATCTTAACCTAGCTACTTTTGTTGGTCATAAAAAATCTTAGTCTTGGTGTTTGCTGACAAATATAAGGTGAGCAAATTTTTCCCCACCCCCAGAGTCTTGCTCTGTTGCCCAGGTTGGAGTGCAGTTAGTGGCACAATCTAGGCTCACGGCAACCTCTTTCTCCTGGGTGCAAGCAATTCTCCTACCTCGGCCTCCCGAGTAGCTGGGATTACAGGCACCTGCCACCACGCCTGGCTATTTTTTTGTATTTTTAGTAGAGATGGGGTTTCATCATGTTGGCCAGGATGGTCTTGAACTCCTGACCTCATGATCCACCCACCTCGGCCTCCAAAAGTGCTGGGATTACAGGCATGAGCCACCACGCCCAGTCAAAAACAAAGAGTTTTGTCATGTTGGCCAGGCTGGTGTCAAACTCATGGCCTCAAGTGATCTGCCCACCTTGGCCTCCCAAAGTGCTGGGATTACAGGCATGAGCCACCATGCCCGGCCTAGGTGAGCACATTTTTAACTCTGTTATCTTCCAATCTGTCAGCAGTGCATCTAAAAAGTCACAAAATACGTCACAGTCTAGGAGGAATGAAACATTTTTAGGGCTGGTTCCACAGACTCTGTTTTGTTTTGAGAGAGCCTGGTTCTGTCACCCAGGCTGGAGGCCAGTGGCATGATCCTGGCTCACCACAATCTCCACCTCCCAGGCTCAAGCAATCCTCCCACCTCAGCCTCAAGATTAGCTGGGACTACTCACCACCACACCCAGCTAATTTATGTATGTTTAGTAGAGGTGGGGATTCGCCATGTTGGCCAGGCTATTCTCATACTCCCAAGCTCAAGTGATCCGCCCACCTCAGCCTCCCAAAGTGCTGGGCTTAAAGGCGTGAGCCATCGTATCCTGCACTTTTTTTTTTTTTTTTTTTTTGAGACGGAGTTTCGCTTTGTCTCCCAGTCTGGAGTGCAGTGGTGCAATCTCGGCTCACTGCAACCTCCACCTCCTGGGTTCAAGCAATTCTCTGCCTCAGCCTCCCCAGTAGCTGGGATTACAGGCGCCCACCGCCACGCCTGGCTAATTTTTTGTATTTTTAGTAGAGGCGGGGTTTCACCAACTTGGCCAGGCTGGTCTTGAACTCCTGACCTCGTGATCCACCTACCTCGGCCTCCCAGAGTGCTGGGATTACAGGTGTGAGCAACTGTGCCCGGCTGACTCTGTTTTTAAGGCCATAAAAGTTGTTTACATATCATCTGTACTAAGCTAATGGTGAGTTTTTTCCTTCTTGATTCATGTTTTAGGTTGGAGTATTCAAAAAGTGAAGCAGGTACAAAAGAATAGACCAGTGGTCTCCAGCATCCACTGGAGATAGCAATGAAGGTCAATAACTTTAAGAAAAAATTCTTCGCCTGTAATCCCCAGCACTTTGGAAGGCTGAGGTGGGCAGATCACGAGGTCAAGAGATCAAGACCACCTAGGCCAACATGGTGAAACCCCATCTCTACTAAAAATGCAAAAATTAGCTAGGTGTGGTGGCGCTTGCCTTTAAGTCCCAGTTACTCAGGAGGCTGACGCTGGAGAATCACTTGAACCCAGGAGGCAGAGGTTGCAGTGAGCCGAGATCGTGCCACTGCACTCCAGCCTGGTGACAGAGTGAGACTCCATCTCAAACACACACACACACACACACACACACACACACATAAATTCTTCAAAATGAACTCAAGAGAACTGAAGTTTAGCTCTCACTATGGTCCACTAATTTGCTGACCACTTTGAGGAATCTTTCAAATAAAATGAACATTAAAAAGTAGTCCTTGCTGGGCGCGGTGGCTCAAGCCTGTAATTCCAGCACTTTGGGAGGCCGAGGTGGGCGGACCACGAGGTCAGGAGATCGAGACCATGGTGAAACCCCGTCTCTACTAAAAATACAAAAAATTAGCCGGGTGCGGTGGCAGGCGCCTGTAGTCCCAGCTACTCAGGAGGCTGAGGCAGGAGAATGGCGTGAACCCGGGAGGCAGAGGTTGCAGTGAGCCGAGATTGCGCCACTACACTCCAGCCTGGGCAACAGAGCCAGACTCCATCTCAAAAAAAAAGAAGTAGCCCAGAGTCTTACCCTGTTGGCCCTTTACTCACCTAGTGTTCCCAACGTGATTCTGAATGGTGGAAGGTAATGGTACAGATGGATAATAGGCTGAGAGAAACAAAGTTATTTCAAACTTTGCAAATGCTGCGGAGCTAGAGAATAAAAGTCTCAATCTGTAAAAGACAAGATCCACAATTAAAAATGCAACAAATAATAGCATGAAACACAATTTCTTTTTTTTTTTTTTTGAGACGGAGTCTTGCTCTATCGCCCAGGCTGGAGTGCAGTGCACAATTTCGGCTCACTGCAACCTCCACCTCCCAAGTTCTATCGATTCTCCCAAGTAGCTGGGATTACAGGTGCCTGCCACCACATCCAGCTAAATTTTGTATTTTTAGTAGAGACAGGGTTTCGCCAATGTGGCCTCAAACTCCTGACCTCAGGTGATCCGCCTGCCTCACCACCCAAAGTGTTGGGATTACAGGAGTGAGCCACTGTCCCAGCACAATTTCATTTTATTTTTACGCTGGCATGTCCAAGTTAGGCATACATTATTTCTTTTCTTTTTCTTTTTTTTTTTTTGAGATGGAGTCTCGCTCTGTCACCCAGGCTGGAGTGCAGTGGAGTAATCTCGGCTCACTGCAACCTCCACCTTCCAGGTTCAAGCGATTCTCCTGCCTCAGCCTCCTGATTAGCTGGGACTACAGGTGTGTGCCACCAGGCCCAGCTAATTTTTGTATTTTCAGTAGAGATGGGGTTTCACCTTGTTGGCCACATTGATCTTGAACTCCTGACCTCAAGTGATCCACCTGCCTCACTTCCCAAAGTGTTGGGATTACAGGCTCATGTGAGCCACCGTCCCAGCCCAATTTCATTTTCTTTTCACACTGGCATGTCCAACTTAGGTATATATTATTTCTTTTCTTTCTTTCTTTTTTTTTTTTTTTTTTGAGACAGATTCTCTCTTTTTTTTTTTTTTTTTTTGAGATGGAGTCTCACTCTGTCACCCAGGCTGAGTGCAGTGGCGTGATCTCGGCTCACTGCAACCTCCATCCTCCAAGTTCAAGCGGTTCTCCTGCCTCAGCCTCCCAAGCAGCTGGGATTACAGGCACCTGCCACCGTGCCCGGCTAATTTTTTGTATTTTTAGTAGAGACAGGGTTTCACCATCTTGCCTAGGCTGGTCTTGAACTCCTGACCTCGTGATCCACCTGCCTCAGCCTCCCAAAGTGCTGGGATTACAGGTGTGAGGATATGGAGTCTCTTTGTGCCCAGGCTGGAGGGCAGTGGCAAAATCTCAGCTCACTGCAACCTCCGCCTCCTGGGTTCAAGTGATTCTCCTACCTCAGCCTCCTGAGTAGCTGGGACTACAGGCGCCCACCACCATGCCTGTCTAATTTTTGTATTTTTAGTAGAGACGGGGTTTCACCATATTGGCCAGGCTGGTCTTGAAGTCCTGACCTTGTGATTCGCCCACCTCGGCCTCCCAAAGTGCTGGGATTACAGGAGTGAGCCACTGCACCCAAGTTGTTGACCAACTTGACCAAGAACTTACTATATATATATATTCATTTAATAAACTGCTGACCAAGTACTTACTGTTGGGTTGACCTGTATTTCCCAAAATTCATATGTTGAATTCCAAACCCCCAATACCTCAGAAAGTGACCTTATTTGGAAATCTGGTCACTACACAAGTAATATGTTAAGATGAAGTCCTACTAGAGTAAGGTGGGCCCCTAATCCACTATGACTAGTGTCCTTATAAAAAGGGGAAATGTGGATGCAGACATGCACAATGAAAGACACCATGTCAACATGAAGGGAGAGATCAAGGTTATGCATTTACAAGCCAAGGAATGCCAAAGATTGCCAGCAAACCACCAGACACTGGGAGAAGGCATGGACAGATTCTAACAGCCCTCAGAAAGAATAACACCCGCTTACACCTTAATCTCAGACCTCCAGCCTCCAGAACCTGTTAAGGTACCCAATTTGTAGTACTCTGTCATGGCAGTCCTTGGGAACTAATACACTTACTCATTATTATTAATATCTATGTTCATTAGGTTATAATTTGGTCCCCATCTCTTTAAATACTCAATCTCCTCTCCAAGGAGTCTGCAATGGTGCACTACCAGTGAGAATTCTTCAAGCATCTAGAAAAAGTGGGAAAAAAAATCCAGTGAAATTATGAAAACATTTCAATGCTTAGTGGCTCACTTACAAAGAACTCAAAAAAGTTAAACAATTGAATACATTTATCATTTCAGGATCCACTATTATTTATGTAAAGTTTCAGTTCTGCTTTTTTTGGAAAGATATCACAAATTTTCCTTTAAATACTTCAATCGGGCTTTACCTTGGGTAACTGATGCTGGGTTGTACATG
Source organism: Homo sapiens (assembly GCF_000001405.40). Taxonomy (NCBI): domain Eukaryota; kingdom Metazoa; phylum Chordata; class Mammalia; order Primates; family Hominidae; genus Homo; species Homo sapiens. The sequence continues at coordinate 40,657,122 of NC_000015.10, read as the reverse complement.
TCTTCTTCCAGGATTCCTTTTCTTCAACGTACTGGAAAATAAGCTTATGAACTAAAAGGGAGGAAGGAGGAGCTTGATCCTCTGGGGAAGGAAAAAAAAAAGCAAAAGCAGGTTATTACTTATGATTCATATATTTTATATAAGTGAAAAATACTATATTATATAAGCTAGAAATATTCTCAAACTACCAGGTACATAAGTATTCTCTCCATTTTTTCTTTTTCTTTTTTTTTCTGGAGTCTCCTGTCTCCCTCTGTCACCCAGGCTGGAGTACCATGGCGTGATCTTGGCTCACTGCAACCTCTGCCTTCCCAGTTCAAGCAATTCTCCTGCCTCAGCCTCCTGAGTAGCTGGGATTACAGGCGTCTGCCACCATACCCGGCTACTTTTTGTATTTTTAGTAGAGAGGGGGCTTCACCATTTTGGACAGACTGCTCTTGAACTCCTGATGTCAGGTAATCCACCCGCCTTGGCCTCCCAAAGTGCTGGGATTACAGGCATGAGCCACCATGCCCAGATGTATTCTCTCCATTTTTATTTTCAAACATGATTATAACATGTATGGTGAAGATAGGACATTTCTACAAAAACTCAAGACTTTATCACATATAGAAACAGTACTTGAGTAAGAGTGTGGGTTTACATGTAACACAGACCTGAGTTTAAATCCTGGATTTCATTTCTTTTTTTGAGACGGAGTGTCACTCTATTGCCCAGGCTGGAGTGCAGTGGCATGATCTCAGCTCACTGCAACCTCCGCCTCCCGGATTCAGGCAATTCTCCTGCCTCAGCCTCCCGAGTAGCTGGGACTACAGGCACACACCACAATGCCCAGCTAATTTCTTCGTATTTTTAGTAGAGACAGGGTTTCACTATGTTGGCCAGGCTGGTCTTGAACTCCTGACCTCCAGTGATCCGCCCGCCTTGGTCTCCCAAAGTGCTGGGATTACAGGTGTGAGCCACGGCACCCAGCAATCCTGGCTTTCTTTAATACCTAAGTGATCCTAGACACAATACTTAAGTTTTTTGATCTGTAGTTTCCTAATTTGTAAAATGGGGAACAAATCGCATGGACTTCATAGTGTTAATTTAAGTAATACACATGCCTGATACAGACTAAGTGCTCATAACAGTAATTTTTAAATTATGAAAATAGCTACTATTAATCATTGCTCAAGACCCAGTAATAATTTTTTTTTTTTTTTTTGAGACGGAGTCTCATTTTGTCGCCCAGGCTGGAATGCAGTGGCGCGATCTCGGCTCACTGCAAGCTCCGCCTCCCGGGTTCACGCCATTCTCCTGCCTCAGCCTCCCAAGTAGCTGGGACTACAGGCGCCAGCCACCACGCCCGGCTAATTTTTTTGTATTTTTTAGTAGAGACGGGGTTTCACCGTGTTAGCCAGGATAGTCTCGATCTCCTGACCTTGTAATCCGTCCGCCTAGGCCTCCCAGAGTGCTGGGATTACAGGCGTGAGCCACCATGCCCGGCATGTAATAATTTTTTTTAAATCTTTTTTTTTTTTTTTTTTTTTGAGATGGAGCCTTGCTCTGTCACCCAGCTTGAAGTGCAGTGGCGCAATCTCGGCTCACTGCAACCTCCGTCTCCCAGGTTCAAGCGATTCTCCTGCCTCAGACTCCTGAGTAGCTGGGATTACAGGCACCCATCACCGCGCCCAACTAATTTCTGTATTTTTAGTAGAGATGGGTTTCATCATGTTGGCCAGGCTGGTCTCGAGCCTCTGACCTTGTGATCTGCCTTCCTCGGCCTCCCAAAGTGCTGGGATTACAAGCATGAGCCACCGTGCCCAGCCTTATTTTTTATTTTTGAGACAAGGTCTCACTCTGTTGCCAGGCTGGACTGCAGTGGCATAATCTTGGCTCACCACAACCTCCACCTCCCAGGTTCAAGTGATTCTCCTGTCTCAGCCTCCTGAGTAGCTAGGGCTACAGGAGGGCACCATCACACCCGGCTAGTTTTTGTATTTTTAGCAGAGACGGGGTTTCACCATGTTAGTCAGGCTGGTCTCAAACTCCTGACCCCTGGTGATCCACCCGCCTCAGCCTCCCAAAGTGCTGGGATTAAAGGCATGAGCCATAGTGCCCAGCCCCAACAAATTTTTAGAGGCTTAAATGTTTTCTACTTACCATCTAACAGAGATTGAAAATTGACATCAACAATCTTCCTATAACGCTTGTCCAGGAAAGGGAAACCAACTAGAAAGAACCAGAATAATGATTTTTAAAAATTTTTTTAGACAGAGAGTCTCACTTTGTCTCCCAGGCTGGAGTGCAATGGCGCAGTCTTGGCCCACTGCAAGCTCAGCCTCCCAGGTTCAAGCGATTCTCCTGCCTCAGCCTCCTGAGTAGCTGGGACTACAGGCGCCCGCCACCACACCTGGCTAATTTTTTGTACTTTTAGTAGACACGGGGTTTCACCATGTTAGCCAGGATGGTCTCGATCTCCTGACCTCGTGATCCGCCTACCTCAGCTTCCCAAAGTGCTGGGATTACAGGCATGAGCCACCGTGCCTGGCCTTTTTTTTTTTTTTAAACTACCTGATTTGAAGTCACATAAAACTCAGTACTTTAGAATCCTACTCCTTCTGTGTAGCAGAGTTTTTTCCACAGGAAGTTGAAGGGTTATCCTTGAATCATTATTCTCTGTATCTAGTAAAGGCTCCCCTGAGACTGTTCAACTACATTGATTGGTATGTCTTTGAAGGACATTTAAAAGGTAGTACACAGCTATATTTGTTAAGGCCTCCTCTTTTAACCCCTAACTTCTGTGCAAAGATAATTTTATTTTCAGCAATCATATAAGGAAAATGGCTATCATCTCTCTACAACTCCTATCATTGTATAAATACAGTAAAAATGAGTTATGCTTTTAGCATTGCTATAATACATTTTAGGTAGCTGAGATAGCTGCTCGCTCCCCCAGACTCTAGAGTTAACTGTCTCCTGAATTGATTATTTTCTCTTTATTGAATGCTTTGTTACATATTTTCTATGTGTTAGGCACTGTGGATACCATGAGAAAAACAGCATACTCAACCTGTGCCCTCAAGCTTACAACTCAGGGAGACACACAACTGCACTAATAAACACAGCAAGAACTACAAACTATGATAAGCACTATTAAGGAAAACCACAGAAAGCAAGAACATACAACAGAAGGGTGAGAAACTGATCACTGAGAGCTGAGCTCTTACAATTATTAGTAGGAGTTCATTAGTGAAGTGGGGGAAAACAGCGTTCGGGCATAAGAAACATCAGCATGAAGGTGTTGAGATAGGATGAATATGGCTGAGCAGGAAACACCATGATCATTTAAGGAAATAAAAGAAGTCCACTGTGGCCAACGTGCAGAGGTAGGAAGGTAGTATGAGATAGGAAAAGGAGAAAAATTCAATTCAGGCAACGCTTCATAGGCTAGATCAAATACTTTGATCATTAGCCTAAGAGTAATAGGTGCATAGTCAGATTTTCAGTAATCACTATAGCTTCAGGGAGGAGGAGGAGAAGATCCATAAAGTCCAGTTGGAATGTTACTGTAGTCATCTAGGTTAGAGATGATTATTGACAGAACAGATGAAAAACAGTGGATGAATATTAAGAAATTAAAACCAGTAGGTTGGGCGCTGTGGTTCATGCCTGTAATCCAGCACTTTGGGAGGCCAAGGTGGGCAAATCGCTTGAGGCCAGGAGTTGAGACCAGCCTGGACAACACATATGGTGAAACCCCATCCCCACAAAATATAAAAAAATTAGCCGGGTGTGGTGGCGCATGCCTGTAATCCCAGCTACTTGGAAGGCTGAGGCAGGAGAATCACTTGAACCCAGGAGGCAGAGGTTGCAGTGAGCAGAGATTGCACTACTGCACTTCAGCCTGGGTGGAAGAGTGAGACTGTCTCAAAAAAATAAATAAATAAAAATAAATAAATAAAAACAAAAAGCATGTCTTACTGATGATTTGAATATGTACAGCGAGGGAGAAAGAGGTATAGAGTGATTCCTAAGTTTTAATTTTGGACCTGGACAGAAGGTAACGCTATTCATTGAGAAAAGAAACTTTCAAGGAGAATCAGGTTTAGAGGCCCAGAGATTGTGAAGATCCTACGTTCCAATACGGCCATGTTTGCCCATGGTTGGCCATGTTGACGCTGACTGGTTAAAGAGAAAATACCTAAAAGACACTGACAACTAGTAAACTCCAACAAAACAGCTGGGCCTCTGTCCAGTTACCATATAGTGATTTCCACCCTATATAGTGATTTTATCCTTTTAGATGATAAACCCACCTATACACACAGAACTTCCAATTAACTTGTTAGGGCCTCATTCTTTTTTTTTTTTTTTTTTGAGACAGTTTTGCTCTGTTGCCCAGGCTGGAGTGCAGTGGCACGATCTTGGCTCACTGCAACCTCCACCTCCTGGGTTCGAATGATTCTCCTGTCTCAGCCTCCCGAGTAACTAGGATTACAGGTGCATGCCCAGCTCATTTTTTGTAGTTTTAGTAGAGATGGGGTCTCACCATGTGGGCCAGGCCGGTTTCGAACTCCTGACCTCAGATGATCCGCCCACCTCAGCCTCCCAAAGTGTTGGGAGTACAGGCGTGAGCTGCAGGGCCTCACTCTTAAGTAAAAAAAGAAAAAAAAAAAAAAAAAGAATCTCCAGCCATTAGGGTAAATTCTCTATTCTCTATCACGAAAGATGGAGATGAAAAGAAAGAAACTCATAGTAAATAGACATGAGTAGCATGTTTATCCATTATTTGCAGAGCAAAATTTTTATTTAATGTAATTCAACAAAGGGCAACGTTCACTAATTCCATTTTTATTTTATTCTTTACAAAATAAAATAAAATTCTGCTATCAATAAAGTGACTGTTCTAAGACTTTCAGCAGTGCTCTCATCATGCCAATAGTTATCAGTATAGTAAAATAAAGATTTGAATCTTTAGTGAGTGTAGCCATTCATTTTTCTGTAAAAGAATTATCTCACTTTGGCTCCTTACCAACTGACTCTTCAAAGGTGATGGTGAGTTGTATCGTGTCATAAACAAAGGTGAATACAGCTTGATCATCACTCCACTCAACGACATCCCACTCAGACAAGCTGTAGAGAGATAAACAAGATTTTTAAAAAGCGTTTTTAAAATTAACATAAAAGAGAACTTCTGATACCACCCAAACAGTACCAACAGCAGCTGCTAATGTTTTTCCACTGGACTGGGAGAAAATATTTCAATTCATATATTGTGGATGTACAAACTTAAGCTTTTGAAATAACTAAGAACCCAATCTTGAGTTGTATATCAGAGAAACACCAAGTCTACGCAATGAAAAGTATAAAATATGGAAAAATTATAATTCCATAGTTCTTCTACTCTATTTCCAGCTTACTGTTGAGTACACTGACTCTTTTTGAAACAGCACTGTATAGGTTAAAAACAGCAACACATTAAAAATACATCAATTGCTCCAATCGGTTTAAACAACCACAAGGTACAGAATAAAACACAAACAAATGATGCCTGCATTTCCTTACCTCAACTGATCCAGTAGCTCTTCAGTTCTATTTCTTTGTTTTTGCATAAAGTCTATTTGAGCAAGGGTCTGCTCTTTTTGTACCTCCAGTTCTAAGAGATTTCTGCAAATAAAAGCAGGTATTCAGAGAGATAAGGTTTTTGTTAGAGAATTCACTCTATCAATATAAAAGGTTTATGATAAGAAGTCACATGCTACATGACTCCCCATTGAGGTAATAATGTTAGGTGTATGGCATCCATTTCTGCATTCTTAGTTTAGTTTTTTTTTTTTTTTTTATATAAGCATTAATCTAGAAGTGGGTCTACCTGGGAAAGGCATAAATCATTGTTTTTCAAATTAGGATCCATGAAGATATCCTTGGGATTCACATGTTAAGATAACTTTTAAATACTACATTTTTATTTTTGATAAAAAGCAAAAATATAAAAATATAAGCATAATGTAGATCATAAGATATACTTTAAAACTGAGACATGTCACAGTTTTTTTTTTTTTGCCTGTATTTGGTTTCGTTTAGTTGTTAGAGCTAAACAGAACATATCTTTGTTAATCATTTTGCTAGCATCAATTTAATTTCAGCCAAACACTATCACCTGTCAAATTAATGTTGTCAACTAGAATTTTAGTGGCTTTGTCATTATTTCTATTTACTTTCTTTTACACTTACAGTTGAATAAGATTCATAGGCCTAAGAAATATATACTTCATTTTATACTTGTTTATATTTACATTTATTAAACAAAAAGGATACTGGTAGTATTCAAGCTTGAGAAACACTGTTGTGGATAAATGCCCTGTAAACAATAAGTGCTTCAAAACTACTGTTGACTAAGATGGACTCTAGGTTTCCATTCAAAGTGGAGAAGCCCTGAGTCAGCCTCAATCAAGACTCATGTCCCCAAATCCTGTCAGTCTCTGGAGGCAGGAAGTCATCTAGCCTTCTGTGATTTAGCATTATATTTTCTAACACTTGGATTGAAGGCTGACCTTTGAAGCTCCTCTTCTTCAGTTTTCAGCTGTTCCAATTCTTTGGAAACAGAAAAAAAAAAAAAACAGAACAAACATATTAGAATGTTGCCACAAAAATCTGTTTTATTGAAAATTCTGACTTAATCTCACCAAAGTATATAAACAAACTCAGAACAGAAGGGCTTCCCCCACACCCATTTATCTCCTTAACTAATTCAATTACCTTTTTCTGCAGCTCTCATTTCAGAATCCCATTCTTCCACAGGATTGTTTTTCTCTTCATCCTCCAAATTCTTAGTTTCTAAAGTAGACAGTATTTGTTAGAATAATTCAGTGAAAAATAGTAAAAAAAGAAAACAAAGTAAGGAAAAAAAGAATAATTCAATCAAAAACAATTTATTAAACGACAGATTGTTTCTTTGGTAGTAGGAAGTTCAGAAGTTCTAGTCTGATGGTTTCTATTTTTTTTTTTTTTTCTGTGAAAGAGAAAGTAAGGTAGTCAACAAAGGGGTGAACTTTAGACTATGGAATTCATGTACTCATGGTCAATTCAGTGCAAAAAACATGTACTAGGCACTTACTCTGTATGAAATATAGTCCTAGGGACTCTGAAGGAGATGGAGAAAAAGAAGAGCTGATTCCTGCCTCCACAGAGCTTATAATTTAATCAGGAAGATAAACTATACAAAATAACTATAATACAAGTAGATGTGATGGGTAATATAAGAAGTACTAACAAAAGAGCCATGAGAGCTCAAGGAAAAGAGACTACTTTCTTTGGTGAAAAACAGAAAGAGAACGTAGTATGTAGTAGCAAAGACCAAAGTAGAAATGATCAGGCTAGTGGCATGTGCCTATAGTCCCAACTACTCAGGAGGCTGAGGAAGGAGGATTCCTTGAGCCCAGGAGTTTGAAGCTGCAGTGAGCTATGATCATGCCACTGCACCCCAGCCTGGGCAACAGAGTGAGACTCTGCCTCTCTTTTTTTTTTTTTAAATAAAAGAAAAAGGCAGGCGTAGTGGCTGATGCCTGTAATCCTAGCACTTTGGGAGGCTGAGATGGGCAGATCACTTGAGGCCAGGAGTTGAGACCAGCCTGGCCAAGATGGTGAAACACCATCTCTACTAAAAATACAAAAATTAGCTGGGGGTGGTGGTGCATGCCTGTAATCCCAGCTACTTGGGAGGCTGAGGCACAAGAATTGCTTGAATCCAGGAGGCAGAGGTTGCAGTGAGCAGAGATCATGCCACTGCACTCCAGCCTGGGTGACAGAGAGAGATTCTGTCTCAAAAAAGTGGCAGAACTGCATAAAAATAGCAATGTTTGGTTAGAATTTAAGAGGTGTATGGGAGTAGTAACAAATCATGTAAATCTGAAAACAACTGTAGAAGATATGAAATGTCAAGCTCAGAAGTTTGGACTTTTTTTTTTTCTTTAAGCCAACCACAGAGAAAGTTAAGTTTGGGCCAGGCGCAGTGGCTCACACCCGTAATCCCAGCACTTTGGGAGGCCGAGGCGGGCGGATCACCTGAGGTCGGGAGTTCGAGATCAGCCTGACCAACATGGAGAAACCCCGTCTCTACTAAAAATACAAAAAAAAAAAAATTAGCAGGGCCTGGTGGTGCATGCCTGTAATCCCAGCTACTCGGGAAGCTCAGGCAGGAAAATCGCTTGAATCTGGGAGGCGGAGGTTGCAGTGAGCAGAGATTGTGCCATTGACTCCAGCCTGGGTAACGACAGTGAAATACCATCTCAAAAAAAAAAAAAAAAAAGAAAGTTAAGTTTGGACTTTATAATAAATGGAAAGACAGAAGTTTTTCAGAGGAGTAACATTAATGAAAACTGTCTTTCATAATTATTAATCTGGCAGCAATGTGCAGGTTGGAATGGAAGAAGGTGGAATAATGGTAAGAATGTATAAAGATTAGTTAGAAGACTGAAATAGCACAGTTCAGAATTAAGGTGAGCCTTAATAGGAAAGGAAAATAAACACATGAGATGCTGAAGCTGCCGATGACAGGACTTGTTAAGAGAGCCTCAAAGACAATGAAAGTATTGAGCTTTTACAATGTATAAGAATTGTGACTGCTATACATAAAGATGAGAAACATCATAAGAGAGAACAAGTTTTTGAATTTTATTTTTGAGCTCGGAGAATATATTTAAATTTATTTATTTAGTTTGCTCTGTTGCACAGGCTGGAGTGCAGTGGTGTGATCTTGCCTCACTGTAGTCTTGACCTCCTGGGCTCAAGAGATCTTCCTGCCTCAGCCTCCCAAGTAGCTAGGACTACAGGTATGTGCCATCACGCTGAGCTAATCTCTTGTTTTTTGTAGAGATAGTGCCTCACTCTGTTGCCCAGGCTGTATTCACAGTTTAAGGTGTTTAAGGATATTTTTTGCATACAGGTTCAGAAGGAAGCTAGAAATTGAGTCTAGAATTCAAGAAAGAGAGGCTAAAGATGCCCTCACCTGAAATGATTATAAGCTACCTTTAGGGCAAAATCTGTGTCTTAAATATTTTTATTTATTTTCTGATACTAAGCACAGTATCTGGCATGCAGTATATGCTCAAAAAATGCTTGAGGAATTTAAATTTGGGAATCAGTCACATAATTATTAAGGCACACGAAAGCACTAGGGGAGAGAATATAGAAAAGAACAGATGATAAAATCTAAATCCCCACAAGGGATCAGTTAGAGAAAGAGAGGCCAACAGAGAAGCTGGATTGAGCAGCCAGGAGAAAACAACTGGGTCAAGATAGTGCATTATCACAGAGATTAAGGGAGATGAACATTTCAGGAAGAAAAGAACAGTCATCAGTGTCAAATGCTGAAAGAGGTCAAAATGGCTAAGGACTGAGAAGAACAAAATTTGATGACTATGCAGAATTATGTGATCTTTGAGAAAGGAGTTTCAGGAGAGTAACTCTAAAAAGTTGGGATTATGAAAGACCAAACTGAAAGGATAGACGGTTTTCAAACTGAGATAAATTCATCTATTAAAAAACACAAAATTACAGTCTGGGTTATCTTGAGCAGCTCTTGATTGTATTATGGATGACTATAGTAAAGGAACTTTAATTTGCTCTAATTTATTTATTTATTTATTTTATTATTATTTTTTTTGAGATGGAGTCTCGCTCTGCCACCCAGGCTGGAGTGCAGTGGCGCAATCTTGGCTCACTGCAACCTGCACATCCTGGGTTCAAACTATTCTCCTGCCTCAGCCTCCCGAGTAGCTGGAGTACAGGCGCCCGTCACCACGCCCAGCTAATTTTAAAATTTTTAGTAGAGATGGGGTTTCACCATGTTGGCCAGGCTGGTCTCAAACTCCTGACCTCAGGTGATCCGCCCGGCTTGGCCTCCCAAAGTGCTGGGATTACAGGCGTGAGCCAATTTACTCTAATTTAATATCTCAAGTTGCTAATACAAGTCTTCAATATCGTGGTACCAACATTCTCTACTGTAGGAGAGCATTTAGATAAAATTAAATTTTCTTTTGGAAAAGTATTTAAAATACTTTACCTGTTTCCATCTCAGTGAGGCAGTTATCGATCTTCTTAAGTATTTTATCCATCTCATCTATCTTTATTTGAAGTTTCTCCCTCTCATTCTAAATACAAAAGATTATAGACTGTCAAGTTAAACCTCTAAAGAAAATATTATAAATGGTTCAAACTGCTCACATAATCGCTCTATCATGATCACAAACAGGCAAATCTTTTTTTTTTTTTTTTTTTTTTGAGGCGGAGTCTCATTCTGTTACCCAGGCTGGAGTGCAGTGGCGCCATCTGGGCTCATTGCAAGCTCCGCCTCCCGGGTTCATGCCATTCTCCTGCCTCAGCCTCCTGATTAGCTGGGACTACAGGTGCCTGCCACCATGCCTGGCTAATTTTTTGTATTTTTAGTAGAGATGGGGTTTCACCGTGTTAGCCAGGATGGTCTCGATCTCCCGACCTCGTGATCCGCCCGCCTTGGCCTCCCAAAGTGCTGGGATTACAGGCGTGAGCCACCGCACCCAGCCTACAAACAGGCAAATCTTAAAATGAAGGTCAAAGCTTTAGGTTGGAACTTAAAAAATAAAAGTAAATTTTATTAAAATAAGTTTTAGCCAAAAGAACTCTGGAAAATAAAATGTTTATTTTATAAATTTAATAAAATATTTTATTAAAAGAAAATGAAATAATTTAAAAAGCATATTGACATAAAACTAATTCTGGTACTTTATTTTAGCATTTCTATAGGTGTTCCATGGAATACAATATATTAATATTTATTACTTAAAAACATTTCTATGATAAACTAAACATAGGAAACAGTGGTCAAAAAGAATTACAGCATTTATGCTTAGACTTTAAAAAATTATGTTTCTCTGAAAGGGCATATTGCTTGCAACATTTCCCATACTTACTTGCCAATGGAAAGTTTTTTTATGCAGAGCCTTTTAAAAAAGCTAATCATTTTGGGAAATGCTACTTTAAACACATGTGCATACATATACAGCTTAGTATGGACTATGAAGAAGATAATACTATGGTATAGTCCTTAGCAATGGGAGACCAGAATCCTATGTATTTTATTTCAGTATGTATGATGGATAATAGTATTTGAGATGAGACATAGGCCCACATTAGTAATTATATTCCAGTATTACTCAAGATGTCAGGATTTGCCACTTTTGACAAATTGAACCTTACCTCTTAATTGTTAAGTTTTTGCCCAAGTCTTATTCACATGTCTTCTAAGGAAGATTCTTCATATTCTATAACCATTAGAAAGTAATTTTAATATCTCTCTCTTTCTATGATATTAACTGTCTCAAATTACCTGAGCTGACTGCACCAGCTTGCCATACAGAGCCACTTTTCCTTGGTGAGTGAAGACTTTAGTCATCTTGGTAAAACATGACTTTATTTTGTTAAGATAAATTCCAAAGGCCTTCAGCTGGAAGGGAAAGTTATAGAGAACACTGTACTAAAACAAACGAGTCAGAAGAGGTAAATGGTCTAGGAAGGCTAGGCTTTGCCTATCCTAAGGCAGGATATTTGTCATTTGCAAATTTAATTCCATGTAATTGTCTAAGACCAGAAAAAAGATTTCAGTTTTGATTCCTGCCTTTAATTCACTTATTCATATTATAAATTAGAAAATGACAGGCTCTTAGTTAATGAAACTTTTTAATATATTAGGGCACATATAAAATGGGTTGCTTGCTATTTAATCAATTAAAGTAAATCTTTTCTTCGTCTAAATCTAAGTGAAAGGCAAATAGCAAGGAGGGAACTCTAAATAAACTTCAACTATATTTCATATATTAAATTGATCATCTCAGGTTTGAAAAGATTATATATTAACAATTGTGTGTAATTAAATAAGACCTTGGTACCACATTACACTTAAAAAATAAGTTAAATAACTCATCACTATGACCAAGTAACAGTTACTCATTTCACAATAAACATCGTTCAGAATGTCTTCACTGATTCTCATTCAGAAAATGAGACAAAAGTACCTCTTTGTCAGAGCAGTGTCTCATTTTTTCCCACAGGTTCTTATTTATATCAACCAACAGCTTATCTTGGTTCGATGCAGAAAGCTTTAATCTAAAATACGGAAAAGTTAATTAGCACTGTAGGGAAAAGAAAGAGATCAGACTGTTACTGTGTCTATGTAGAAAGGAAAGACGTAAGAGACTCCATTTGGAAAAAGACCTGTACTTTGAACAACTGTTTTGCTGAGATGTTGTTAATTTGTAGCTTTGCCCCAACCACTTTGCCCCAGCCACTTTGACCCAACCTGAAGCTCACAAAAACATGTGTTGTATGAAATCAAAGTTTAAGGGATCTAGGGCTGTGCAGGACGTGCCTTGTTGACAAAATGTTTACAAGCAGTATACTTGGTAAAAGTCATCGCTATTCTCTAGTCTCAATAAACCAGGGGCACAATGCACTGCGGAAAGCCGCAGGGACCTCTGCCCTTGAAAGCGGGGTATTGTCCAAGGTTTCTCCCCATGTGATAGTCTGAAATATGGCCTCGTGGGATGAGAAAGACCTGACTGTCCCCCAGCCCGACACCCGTAAATGGTCTGTGCTGAGGTGGATTAGTAAAAGACGAAAGCCTCTTGCAGTTGAGATAGAGGAAGGCCACTGTCTCCTGCCTGCCCATGGGAACTGAATGTCTTTGTATAAAACTCGATTGTACATTTGTTCGATTCTGAGATAGGAGAAAAACCGCCCTATGGTGGGAGGCGAGACATGTTTGCAGCAATGCTGCCTTGTTATTCTTTACTCCACTGAGATGTTTGAGTGGAGAGAAACATAAATCTGGCTTAGGTGTACATCCAGTCACCATACCTTCTCTTAAACTTAACTATGACGTAGATTCTATTGCTTACATGTTTTTGTCCTTATTATCACCCTGCTCTCCTACTACATTCCTTCTTGCTGAAATAATGAAGATAATAATCAATAAAAACTGAGGGAACTCAGAGACCGGTGCCAGTGCAGGTCCTTGGTATGCTGAGAGCCGGTCCCCTGGGCCCACTGTTGTTTCTCTATACTTTGTCTCTGTGTCTTATTTCTTTTCTCAGTCTCTCGTCCCATCCGACTAGAAATACCCACAAGTGTGGAGGGGCAGGCCACCTCTTCAAGCGTAGGGTTCAGAAGCCAGCTTGAATGAACCAGCTCAGGTCTACAATCATGTTTAATTTAACTCTTCCTAGTTTTTTTCTACATAATAAGAGGGGAATTCATTCAAGAAAAGCCTGATTATTCACTTGAAGAATAGTAGTTCAAGAATGTCATACATCAAAAAAACTTCTATCACTAACAGAATTCTCATCTCAACGTACCAACTTGTTCCAATGTGAAACATTTCGCTTATAAAGAATCCTAAGGTCTGTCAATGATCGCTGCTATAAAGTTGTAGCTATTATTATTTTATTTTTTTGAGACGGAGTCTCACCCTGTTGCCAGGCTGCCAGGCTGGAGTGCAGTGGCGCAATCTTGGCTCACTGCAATCTCCACCTTCTGGGTTCAAGCAATTCTCTTGCCTTAGCCTCCCGAGTAGCTAGGACTACAGGCGCGTGCCACCACGCCCAGCTAATTTTTTTATGTATTATTTTAATAAAAGTTCCCGGCCAGGCGCGGTGGTTCACGCCTGTAATCCCAGGACTTTGGGAGGCTAAGGCAGGTGGATCACGGGGGTCAGGAGATCGAGACCATCCTGGCTAATACGGTGAAACCTCGTCTCTATTAAAAATAGAAAAAATTAGCCAGGCATGGTGGCGGGTGCCTGTAGTAGTAGAGGTTGAGGCAGGAGAATGGCGTCAACCCAGGAGGCAGAGTTCTCAGTAAGCCGAGATCGCGCCTGGGTGACAGAGTGAGGCTCTGTCTCAAAAATAAAAATAAAAAATAAAATAAAAGTTTCCAATTCAGTTCAAAGGCATATTTCACATTTTTAGAATAGCATCTATAAAAGCAGCAAAGTTATGATAGTCTCAATATATATTAGTCTTTTGTTAATAAATGGAGAAAATAAATTTCTAACAGAGATAGAATATCTCTTGTAGAGGATATATGCAGGCATACAGATGCAAAATCAAACAGTAAAGCACAACTAAACCTACCGCTCATTGAGTGTAAGATCCCGTTTCATTCAAAATAAACATTCTCAGCTGGTGTGGTGGTTCACGCCTGTAATCCCAGCACTTTGGGAGGCCGAGGTGGGTAGATCACTTGAGGTCAGGAGTTCAGGACCAGCCTGGCCAACATGGTGAAACCCCATCTCTACTAAAAATACAAAAATTAGCCTGGCATGTTGGTGGGCACCTGTAATCCCAGCTACCCAGGAGGCTGAGGCAAGAGAATCGCTTGAACCCAGGATGCAGCGCTTGCAGTGAGCCGAGATGGCGCTACTGCACTCCAGCCTGGGCAACAGAGCGAGACTCTGTCTCATTAAAATAAACAAAGAAACAAACAAACAAACATTCTCAGGGAAATCCTGACACAGCCAACTCTTTCCAACAACATGAAGATACAAAATTTGCCAGTTTTGTTCAGCGATGAACCCCAGTGCATAGTATAGTACCTGGCAGATGTAGGTGCTCAATAAATATTTGTTAAATGAACAGAATCAGGAAAATCTGAAATATCTTAAATTTCTGATTTTAAAACTACGTAATTCTTTTTTTTTTTTTTGAGACAGAGTCTCGCTCTTTGGCCCAAGCTGCTGGAGTGCAGTGGTGCGATCTCAGCTCACTGCAAGCTCCACCTCCTGGGTTCGCGCCATTCTCCCGCCTCAGCCTCCCGAGTAGCTGGGACTACAAGTGCCTGCTACCGCGCCCGGCTAATTTTTCGTATTTTTAGTAGCGACGGGGTTTCACTGTGTTAGCCAGGATGGTCTCGATCTCCTGACCTCGTGATCCACCTGCCTCAGCCTCCCAAAGTGCTGGGATTACAGGCGTGAGCCACTGCGCCCAGCCAAAACTACATAATTCTTTTGAAAAATTTTTAATATTCTTTTCCTTCTACTTCTAAAACCCAGATAATTCTTAAAGACTATTTTATTTCTTTTCTGTTAGATTGGTTCAAATTTAGTTGGATAGTCCCAGATAAGTATGACATAAACATTACTTTGAGTTTTAAAGTCTGATTTACCTAAGGGAATCTAGATGTATCTAATTTGTAAATCAGTCTGCAGTATTTACGTATACCATAGCAATGAGCTATCTTCTACGTAAAACCATGTTCTTTTATATATGTAAACAAGCGTAAATGTGGTAAAATTATAAACTCAAAGGCAATCTGATTTCAGGCACTATATATAGATTGAGTATCCCTTATCTGAAATGCTTGGGACCAGAAGTGTTTTGGATTTTGGACTATTTGGATATAAGAGATACCTTGCGGGTGAAACCCAAGCCTAAACGTGAAATTCATTTATGTTTCATATATACCTTGTACACATAGTTTGAGGGTAATTTTATACAATATTTTAAACAATTTTGTGCATGAAACAAAGTTTGTGTAAAGTACTTACGTATTTATGTGTGGAATTTTCCACTTGCATCATGTTGGTGGCTAAAACATTTTGGATTTTGGAGCATTTCAGATTTCCGATTTCCAGATTAAGGTTACTCAACTTGCGTAAATCTCTAAAGGATATTTTCTTTTGAAGGTGTTCTCTAGCAATCAACTTATGATATCATAATCTAAAAATTACTGTTTATTCTTATTAAGGACCTACCTTTTCCTAAGAATGGTATGAAAACAATTTATATACGCCATTTCTATTGTTCATATCTATTGGCTGAGTAGGTTTTATTATCCTCACTTTAAGGATTTGGAAATGAAGGTTAAATGACTTACCCAAGGTTACACAGCTAGTGTTGAAGCCAAGACTGAGCTTCAATCTGACTACGAGGCCAAAGCTCTTTCTCCCACATCACACTGCCAATTAATGCCATCAATTTTACCCCATGCCAGCATTATTCTAATCAAAACCTTACCACACAAACTATTAACTGATCCCTCCCCTCAAAAAAACACACATAAAAATTAAAGCTTTCATACTCTTCAATCTTTTGGCGACGAGCCTCACAATCTTCTCTATAAATCTGTATCTTGGGTCGGTAAACATATTGACTTAACATCAGGTCTTCTGGAGTAGGTGGTGTGTTTACAGTAAACTGGAAAAAAAAATTCAGTCCCTGAGAACTGGTATCTTGCAGACAAAACCATATATAAGAATTAACTCAAATTTCAGAGTGCCTATTTTAAAATGTTCTACAAAGAAAAATTTGAATACTCAAGTTCATAATGCCAGTAAACAAAAAATTGGAATCTGAATTCAAGTCTCTGACTTCTAAGTCCCTTTCCCCATAGATTTTACTGGAACTGTGGTTGTTCTTACTCACATGGGAATGACAGTAGTTTGAAAATGGCTATGCGTTAAGAAAATAAATATTACCTAAAAATTCAACTTACCAGGAACCCCTTTTTAATTTTTTTTTTTAAGCCAGTTTCCTAGTAACTATTCCCATTTTCTAGCCATAATCCTTACTCTATCCCAGGCTGAACTCAAACTTTTCTGGCACATCCTCCAATTATAAAATAAGGCAGTGAAAATTTGGTTATTTAAAAATGTTTTATAGAACTAATCCAATGGCTTTGATGTCCTTGATGCAGTATTGAAAAAATCAAGTCAGGGCCGGGCACAGTGGATCACACCTGTAATCCCAGCACTTTGGGAGGTGGCAGGCAGATCACTTGAGGTCAGGAGTTTGAGACCAGCCTGGCCAATAGGTGAAACCCTGTCTCTATTAAAAATTCAAAAATTAGCTGGGCATGGTGGCGCACACCTGTAGTCCCAGCTACTCCAGAAGCTGAAGCAGGAGAATTACTTGAGCCCAGGAGGTGTAGGCTGCAGTGAGCCGAGATTGCGCCACTGCACTCCAGCCTGGGCAACAGAGCAGGACTCCGTCTCAAAAAAAAAAAAAAAAGAAAAGAAAAAAAGAAAAAAAAGAAAAGAAAAGAAAAAAATCAAGTCAGCTCCTTATTTACAAAAATCAAACAAAACCCTACAACTGAATCTCCAACTCCTAGGCTCAAGCGATCTTCCTGCCTCATCCTCTCCAGTAGCTAGTACTACAGATGTGTCACCACGCCTGGCTAATTTTAAAATTTTTTGTAGAGATGGGGTCTTGCTATGTTGCCCCGGATAGTTTCGAATTCCTGGCCTCAAGTGATTCTCCTGCCTCAACCTCCCAAAGCACTGGGATTATAGATGTGAGCCACTGTCTCCAGCTATGACTAGCCTTTTTTTTTTTGAGATGGGGTCTAGCTGTCACCTAGGCTGCAATGTAATGGTGTGATCACGGCTCACTGCAGCCTCAGCCTCCCAGGATCAAGCAGTCCCCCAACCTCAGCCTGCCAATTAGCTGGGACTACAGGTGCATGTGAGCCACCATGCTTGGCTAATTAAAAAAAATTTTTTTTTTCCTTTTTTTTTTTTTGAGATGAAGTTTTGCTCTTGTTGCCCAGGCTGGAGTGAAGTGGCGTGATCTCAGCTCATTGCAACCTCCACCTCGTGGCTTCAAGCGATTCTCCTGCCTCAGCCTCCACAGTAGCTGGGATTACAGGTGTGTGCCACCACGCCCGGCTACTTTTGTATCTTTAGTAGATATGGGGTTTCACCATGTTGGCCAGGCTGGTCTCGAACTCCTGGCCTCAGGTGATCTGCCCACCTCGGCTTCCCAAAGTGCTGGGATTACAGACATGAGCCATCGTGCCCGGCCAAAATTTTTTTTTTTAGTTATGGGGTTTTGCTACGTTGCCCAGGCTGGTCTCAAACTCCCAGATCAAGTGATCCTCTTCCTCTGGTCTCCCAAAGTGCTGGGATTATGAGCATGAGCCACTGCACCCAGCCAAAAAAAAAAAAAGGATTTTTAAGGCTAGAATTATACATAAAAATCAAAACTATATGTACTGGTTAAAAAAGAAATGGCAGGCTGGGTGCAGAGGCTCATGCCTGTAATCCCAGCACTTTGGGAGGCCAGGGCAGGCGGATCACCTGAGTTTGGGAGTTGGTGACCAGCCTGACCAACAATACAAAATACAAAATTAGCCGGGTGTGGTGGCGCATGCCTGTAATCCCAGCTACTCAGGAGGCTGAGGCAGGAGAATCACTTGAAATCGGGAGGCGGAGGTTGCAGTGAGCAGAGACAGTGCCATTGCACTCCAGCCTGTGCAACAAGAGCGAAACTGCGTCTCAAAAAAAAAAAAGAAAGAAAGAAAAAAAAGAAATGGCAGCCAGCGCGGTGGCTCACGCCTGTAATCCCAACACTTTGGGAGGCCAAGGCAGGCGGATCACCTGAGATCAGGAGCTGAAGACAAGCCTGGCCCACCTGGAGAAACCCCATCTCTACTAAAAAATACAAAAATTAGCCGGGCGTGGTGGTGGGCACCCGTAATCCCAGCTACTTGGGGGGCTGAGGCGAGAAAATCACTTGAACCCGGGAGGCGGAGGTTGCAGTGAGCCGAGATCGCACCATTGCACTCCAGACTAGGTGACAGAGCAAGACTCCATCTCAAAAAAAAAAGAAAGAAAAGAAAAAGAAATGGCAGACCTGGGCACAGTGGCTCATGCTGTAATCCCAGGAGGTTGAGGCAGGAGGATCACTTGAGACCAGCCTGAGAAACAAAGCAAGAGCTTGTCTTTAAAACAGTTTTTAAACTTTAGCTGGGCATGGTGAGGAAGTGAGACCCCATCTCTAAATAATGACAACACTAGAACCCAGCTTATGTTATCCTATCCTTCCCTTCCCTTCCTTCCCCCTCCCCCTCCCCCCTCCCTTCCCCTCCCCTCCCTTCCCTTCCTTTCCTCCCTCCCTCTCTCTCTCTTTCTTTCTTTTGAGATAGAGTCTCACTCTGTCATCCAGGCTGGAGTGCAGTGGCGTGATCTTGGCTCACTGTAACCTCTGCCTCCTGGGTTCAAGGTTCAAGCAATTCTCCTGCCTCAGTCTCCCGAGTAGCTGGGACTACAGGCATATGCTGCCAGGCCCGGCTGATTTTTTTTGTATTTTTAGTAGAGAGAGGGTTTCACCGTGTTGCCCAGGCTGGTCTTGAACTCCTGAGCTCAGGCAATCTGCCTGCCTTGGCTTCCCAAAGTGCTGGGATTACAGGTGTGAGCCACCATGCCCAGCTAAGTATTTTGGATTTTTTTTTTCAGATTTTTGGAATATTTGCATATACATAATGACATATCTTGGGGATGGAACCTGTTTATACATGAAATAAATTTATGTTTCATATATATCTTATACTCATAGCCTGACAGTAATTTCATATAATATTTTAAATAATCTGCATGAAACAAAGCTTATATATATTGAACCATCATAAAGCAAAGGTATCACTACCTTGGCCACCCATGTGGACTATCTGTGGCTGTTCAGCATCACCACCATTCCTGACTCACAGTACATTTTAACAGCAACCCATTACATGAGGTCAGGTGTGAAATTTTCCATTTGTGGTGTCACGTCAGCACTCAAACATTTTGGGTTTTAAGGCATTTCAGATTTGTGGTTTTTTGGATTAGGGATGCTCAACCTGGAGTATATCACTTCTTTACAACCTCTAATGAATTAATGGCTGCATACACGTCATCACCAGACATTATCTATTTCCTAATGGAATTACAACGGTAAAGTAAACTTAAAAAAAAAAAACGCTGTTAATCTAATCAAGCCTATATTAATTTACAAAAAAAAAAAGGGCAGAGAAATATTTGGGCATGCACAATTAGCAACATCTGGACTGTGGTAAACTCTACAGAAAAACCTGGTTTCTTCATTAAAAGGAAGGAAGGAAAGAAAAAAAGTGAAGATTAAAAAAATTTTTTAAATACCAAAAAAAAAAAAAGAAAGAAAAAAGAAAAAGAGAGATGGAAAAGGACCTTATAGATTATAAGACTAGAGAGAGATTTCAACTAATCGGCAATGTTTGAATCTCATTTGGATCCCAAGAAAACAAACTGGGGAAAAAAAAAAGGCATAAGACGATCAGGGAAATGTAAACACTGACTGAATAATTAACCATTTTATGGTATGATTATATTGGATATGTTTTTAAAATAAGAGTCTTCACCTTTTTAGGGAATACATATTGAAATACTTATAGATTGATGATGCTTGGAATTTGCTTCACAATAATGCGGGGGAGGGGAAATGGAGGGTTAGGTAGAGAAAAAACAAGAGTTGATAATTTTGAGACAAGCTCTCACTCTGTTGCTCAGGCTGGAGTGCAGTGGCGCGATGTCAGCTCATGCAGCCTCCATCTCCCGGGTTCAAGTGATTCTCCCACTTCAGCCTCGCGAGTAGCTGGGACTACAGGCATGCACCACCACTCTCAGCTAATTTTAGTATTTTTTTGGTAGAGGGGGGGTTTCACCATGTTGGCCAGGCTGGTCTTGAACTCCTGACCTCAAGTGATCCTCCTGCCTAGGCCTCCCAAAGTACTGGGATTACAGGTATGAGCCATAGCACCAAGACTAGAGTTGATAATTTTTGAAGTTGGGTGACAGACACACAGGGGGTTAATAAAACTATTCTCTATTTTCTGATATGTTTGAAATTTTCTATAATACTAAAATTGTTTTAAAAAGGTTTCATCATAAACTTTCATAACACATAAAGTGAAGCACAAGACCACATTCCCAGAGATCTGCCAGGAAGAAAAGTGCCAGTGAATATTAGGCTCATGCACAGCAAGCACATATTGAATGCAGTTGCCTATGCTGTATGCAGTGGGTAGATTAATTGCTGCACCTTGAATTCAGCACCATGTGTAAAGCCACCCTCCTCTCCTGGACTTACTATGATTAAGTAGTGTCCAACTTATACATAATCAGCACCTGAGAACTTCAAGCCTAGCAGGAGCACTTGCAATAATTTCTCAACCAGCTGGGTGCGGTGGCTCACGCCTGTAATCCCAGCACTTTGGGAGGCCGAGGCAGGCAGATCACCAGAGGTCAGGAGTTCGAGACCAGCCTGGTCAACATGGCGAAATCCCATGTCTACTAAAAATACAAAAATTAGCCAGGCATGGTGGTAGGTGCCTGCAATCCCCAGCTACTGGGGAGGCTGAAGCAGGGAGAATCACTTGAACCCGGGAAGTGCACTCCAGCCTGGGTGACAGAGCGAGACTCCGTCTCAAAAAAATACAAAAAACAAAAACAGATCCTCACCCTTACTAGGAGATGTGAGTTCTAGTGCTTTGGCCTGAGTCACTACATGAGCATGCAGGGGGTCATGGGCCTCTACAATAGCACCTTCTGCTAGTGCCGCCAACTGAGTTCCTGCAACTGTACGTATATATGGGAGGTGTGTACATGTCTATGAGGGCTGGCACACATCTCTCCCCCTGCCTCAAGAATACATTCCCCAGGTGGGTGTGGTGGCTTACACCTATAATCCCAGCACTTTGGGAAGCTGAGGCGGGCGGATCATCTGAGGTCAGGAGTTTGAGACCAGCCTGACCAACACGGGGAAACCCTGCCTCTACTAAAAATACAAAATTAGCCAGGCGTGGTGGTGTATGCCTGTAATCCTAGCTACTTGGGAGGCTGAGGCAGGAGAATCGCTTGAACCTGGGAGGCGGAGGTTGCGGTAAGCTGAGATCATGCCACCGCACTCCAGCCTGGGCAAGAAGAGTGAAATTCCATCTCAAAAAACAAATCCTGAAACAGGCCGGGCATGGTGGCTCAAGCCTGTAATCCCAGCACTTTGGGAGGCTGAGGTGGGCAGATCACGAGGTCAGGAGATCGAGACCATCCTGGCTAACACAGTGAAACCCTGTCTCTACTAAAAAAAAATACAAAAAATTAGTCGGGCATGGTGGCAGGTGCCTGTAGTCCCAGCTACTCGGGAGGCTGAGGCAGGAGAATGGCATGAACCCAGGAGGTGGAGGTTGCAGTGAGCCGAGATCGTGCCACTGCACTCCAGCCTGGATGACAAAGCGAAACTCCATCTCAAAAAAAAAAAAAAAATCCTGAAACAGATGCCCACAGCCACGAACCTCATTTTCCATGGTCCACATATAATCCATCTCTTTGGCCTTTTCCTATTTTGGGATTTTCAACTTCTTTCCCGAAGTACCCTGAACTCTTTCCATTTTGATAGGTTTGTTCCCAGATATATTTTCCTATCACTACCCCTCCTGACTTCAGCAAGACCTGGGAGGAAAGGGGAAGATTCATAACATCAATTTGTCAAGGATCAATTCCTAAAGCATCCTCTCCCTCCTTCACCCTGCCAATATCCTCCCTGTTCCTATCCTTCCCCTCTGCTCTCCTCTGTTTGGTCTTGGTCTCCTAATACTCTTTCTACTTTCCCTTTATAAGAAAAGTAGAAAGAGTATCAGCCCCTGGATGCACACCTAAGCTCCTTTCTCCTCCCTATCTATAGCTGAGGCAAGAGGATTCTACTGGCAGCTATCATGGTAATGAGGCTGAGGCCCAAAAGAGTTGTGTGCCCATCTTCCCAATTTCTATCCTTGATTTACCTTTCACATTCAAATATATAATTCTCCAGTAATTGATTTGTTTCTAAACAGCTTTATGGAGATATAATCCACACACAATGCAATCCATCCATTTAAGTATACAATTAAACGAATTTTAAAGTATATTCACGCACCAGGCGTGGTGGCTCATGCCTGTAATCCCAGCACTTTGGGAGGCTGAGGTGGGCGGGTCACGAGGTCAAGAGTTCGAGACCAGCCTGGCCAAAAGGGTGAAACCCTGTCTTTACTAAGAATACAAAAATTGGCCAGGTGTGGTGGCATGTGCCTGTAATCCCAGGTATTTGGGAGGCTGAGGCAGAAGAATCGCTTGAACCTGGGAGTCGGAGGTTGCAGTGAGCCAAGATCATGCCACTGCACTCCAGCCTGGGCAGTAAGAGAGAAACTCCATCTCAAAACAAACAAACAAACAAACAACAACAACAACAACAAAAACCTAAAATACAAACACACACATTAGCCTAGGCCTACACAGGGTCAAGATCATTAATATCACTGTCTTCCACCTCCACTTCTTGTCCTACTGGAAGGTCTTGAGAAATAATAACACCCATGGAGCTATCATCTCCTATGATAACAATGCCTTCTTTTGGAATAACTCCTGAAGGACTTGCCTGAGGCTGTTTTACAGTTAACTTGTTTTATTTATAAGTTGGAATATACTCTAAAATAACGATAAGGGCTGGGCATGGTGGCTTGCACCTGCAATCCCAGCACTTTGAGAGGCAAAATAGGATTGCTTGAGGCCAGGAATTTGAGACCAAGCCTGGTCAACATACCGAGACCCCATCTCTAAGAAATATTTAAAAATTAGCCAGGTGTGGTGGCTTGTGCATATAATCCTAGCTACTTGGGAGGCTGAGGCAAGAGAATCCCTTGAGCACAGGAGGTTGAAGCTGCAGTGAGCCAAGGTCACTGCACTCTGGCCTGGGTGACAAAGTGAGATTCTGGTTCAAAAAAATAAAATAACAATAAAGAGTATAGTATAGTAAATACATAAGACAGCAACCTAATGGTCTGTTATCATTATCAAGTATTATGTTACTGTACATAATTATATGTACTACCCTTTAACAGGAATGGCAGCGCAGGTTTGTTTACATTAGCATCACCACAAACATGTGAGTAATGTGTTGTGCTACATTACAATGTCACTAGGCAATAGGAATTTTCCAGCTCCATTACAATTTTTTTTTTTTTTTTTTTTGAGACAGAGTTTCGCTCTGTCGCCCAGGCTGGAGCGCAGTGGCGTGACCTCAGCTCACTGCAGCCTCCGCCTCCTGGGTTCAAGCGATTCAGTAGCTGGGACTCCAGGCACGCGCCATCATGCCTGGCTAACTTTTGTAATTTTTGTAGAGATGCGGTTTCACCATGTTGGCCAGGCTGGTCTCAAACTCCTGGCCTCAAATGACCCACCTGCCTTGGCCTCCCAAAGCACTGGAATTATAGGTGTGAGCCACGATGCCTGGCCTCCATAAAAATCCTATGGGACCCCCTGTGTATATGTGGTCCGTTGTTAACCAAAACGTCCTTACGCAGTACATGACTGTTCTTTGGAAAAATATCTTTTCAGATCCTTTGATCATTTTTAAATTGGGTCGTATTTTATTTATTTATTTAAATAGAGACAGAGTCTCACTATGTTTTATTTATTTATTTAAATAGAGATGGGGTCTCACTATGTTGCCCAGGCTGGTCTCAAACTCCTGAGCTCAAGCAATCCTCTAGTCTAGGCCCCTCAAAGTGCTAAGATTACAGGCATGAGCTACCAAGCCAGGCCTAAATTGGATTGTATTTTTATTATTGAGTTGTAAGAGTTCTTTATATATTTTGGATAAAGCTTCTTATCAGATGTATGATTTCAACTGTTTTCTCACATTCTGTGGGTTGCCTTTTCACTTTCTTCGTTTTTTTTTGAGACAGGGTCCGGCTCTATCTCCAAGGCTGGAGTGCAGTGGTACAATCTTGGCTCCTTGCAAGTTCTGCCTGTTGGGCTCAAGTCATACTCCCACTTCAGCCTCCCGAGTAGCTGGGACTACAGGCACATGCTACCAGGCCTGGCTAATTATTTCATTTTGTACAGGATTTCACCTGTTGCCTGGTCTGGTCTCAAATTCCTAGGGTCAAGCAATCCTCCTGCCTCTGCCTCCCAAAGTGTTGGGATTACAGATGTGAGCCATGGCACCCAACAAAAAATTATTTTAGTCTCTTTTAATCTATGAGTACGTTTTCTTTCTTAATCTTCTATATTTTAGCTTTCTCTTTTTTCATTCACTTATTTAATTAAAAGATGTGGGTGGGGGGGGGTCTCGCTATGTTGCCCAGGCTGGTCTTGAACTCTTGGTTTCAAGTGATCTTCCCTCCTCAGCCTCCCACATAGCTAGAATTACAGACACCAGCCACTGTGCGCAGCTGCTTATTTCTTCTTAATTAGACTCTTCAGGAGTTTTCTTATTTTATTGTCTTTTCAAAGTATAGCTTTTGGATTTATTCTTTTTTTTTTTTTTTTGAGATAGGGTCTTGTTCTGTTGACCAGGCTGGAGGGCAGTGGTACAATCATAGCTCACTGCAGCCTTGAACCCCTGGGCTCAAGAGATCCTCCCATGACAGCCTCCTGAGTAGTTGGGACCACAGGCACAGGCCACTACACTTGGCTAATTTTAAAATTTTCTGTAGAAACAGGGTCTCCCTATTTTCCCGAGGCTGGTCTCAAACTCCTGAGCTCAAGCATTCCTCTCGCCTTGGTCTCTCAAAGTGCTGAAATTACAGGTGTGAGCCACCATGCCTGGCCTGGATTTATCCTCTCCAACAATTTTTGTTTTCTATTTCATTAGCTCTACTTTTTACCTATATTAATTCTATCTTCCTATCTTTTTTGTGGATATTATGAGTATTAATATCTTGGCTGGGCACGGTGGCTCATGCCTGTAATCCTAGCACTTTAGGAGGCCAAGGTGGGTGGACTGCTTAAGCCCAGGAGCTCAAGACCAGTCTGGGCAACATAGCAAGATCTCGTCTCTAAAAATAAAAAATAAATAAATAAAAATTTCTTTAATTTTAGACTCCACGACAACAAAGATATCTAAGGCTTTTAATTCCTGCTAAGTATAGCTTTTGCTGTATGTCCCACAGACTAGCCATTAAATATTCTCCTTTACTAAGAAATATTTTCGACTTCTTTGATCTAGGAGTTATCTAGAAGTGTTTCCTGTTTTTTTTTTACCCAACTATGTTGTCTACAACAGCAGTCCCCAACCTTTTTGGCACCAGGGACCAGTTTCATGGAAGACAATTCCTCCAAGGACCAGGAAGAGGGGATAGTCTCAGGATGATTCAAGCACATTTATTGTGAACTTCCTTGTTTTTATTTTATTTTTATTTATTTTTATTTTTATTTTTTGAGACAGGGTCCGGCTCTGTTGCCTAGGCTGGAGTGCAGTGGTGCAATCTTGGCTTAATGCAACCTTCACTTCCTGGGCTCAAGCCATCCTCCCACCTCAGCCTCCTGAGTAGCGGGGACTACAGGTGTGTGCCACCATGCCCAGCTAATTTTTGTATTGTTTTAGAGACGGGTTCAGCCATGTTGGCCAGACTGGTCTTGAACTCCTAAGCTCAGGCGATCTGTCTGCCTGGGCCTCCCAAAGTGCTGGGATTACAAGTGTGAGCCACCATGCCCAGTCTGAACTTTATTTCTATTATTACTACATTGTAATATATAATGAAATAATTATACAACTCATCATAATATAGAATCTGTGGGAGCCCTAAGATGATTTTCTTGCAACTAGAGGGTCCCATCTCGGGGTGGGGAGGCACTGACAGATCATCATGCATTAGATTCTCATAAGGGGTACACAATCTAGATCCTTCATGTGTGCAGTTCACAATAGGGTTCGTGCTTCTGTGAGAACGTAATGCCACTGCTGATCTGAAAGGAGGCAGAGCTCAGTTGGTAATGCAAGCAATGGGAAGTGGCTGTAAATACAGATGAAGCTTTGCTCACTCCACCACCATTCACCTCCTGCTGTTTGGCCCAGTTCCTAACCCCAGGGGTTGGGGATGCTTCATCTACAAGATATTGTGTTTCTTAATTTCTAAGAATCTCAGAATGTTTTGGTTCTTTTATAAGTTCTAATTGTATTGGATCAAGATTAGATGATGTAGTCTCTATAAAACCTCCATTTTAAAAAATTTATTAATGTTTTCTTTGTGGCCAAGAGTATAACTAACTTTTGGAAATGTCTGACAGCCTTAAGACAAAAAACATTCCTATGTAAGGAATATAAGTTTTTCTATTAATCTTTTCAATTGAAAGCGTTGATTGTATTATTCAAATATTCTATGATCTTAAATTTTTTGAGACAGGATACTGATATGTTGCCCAGGCTGGCCTCAAACTCCTGTGTTGAAGTGATTCTTCCACCTCAGCCTCTTGAGTAGCTGTGATTACAGGCACCTGCCACTGTATCCAGTTTACATATTTTTGATTTTGAAAACTGTTCATTAAAAACCTCTGCTACCCTTAGATTTTTATAATGGAGGAAAAAGCCCATGTTAGTTCTGTAATCAGGAAAATGTATCAAAAAAATAGATGGCAAGGAATGAAGGGAAAATTCAAATTTTATCTTATCGAAATCCATGATTAAAAAAATCCATGTGAAAATTTTTGGTTTTTGTTTATGCTAACCACAAATCTCTCTACTATAAGAAAACTCTCGGCCGGGCGCAGTGGCTCACGCTTGTAAACCCAGCACTTTGGGAGGCTGAGGCAAGTGGGTCACGAGGTCAGGAGTTCAAGACCAGCCTGGCCAATATGGTGAAACCCTGTCTCTACAAAAATACAAAAATTAGCCGGGTGTGGTGGCACGCGCCTGTAGTCCCAGCTACTCAGGAGGCTGAGACAAGAGAATCACTTGAACCCAGGAGGCAGAGGTTGCAGTGAGCTGAGATGGCGCCACTGCATTCCAGTTTGGGCAACAGAGCGAGACTCCATCTCAAAAAAAAAAAAAAAAAAAAAAAAAAGAAAAGGCAAAAAAAAAAAAAAAAGAAAACTCTCTATAGGAAAATTTGCTCTCTTCCATTCTTTTTGTGCTTTTAAATAAATGTTTGCTTTGATGCAAACATTTTGCCAAGAAACTGCACTTACATTGCCTGGGAGATTGCTCTGTCGGGGTTTCTGTATCAAGATGTGGACCTGGAGAAGTATAAAGAACTCCCTTATTGTTATTCTCCCATCTTGGAGTTTCTGAGAAAAGAAAAAAAAGTTTGCATGACCATTCAATGTGATTTCACTTTGATATAACCACTTCATTTGTTTCTAAAAGCTTAAGGTATCTTGTATACATTTATGGAAATATTATCCAGATATCTGCAGGCTATACATGAGCAGATTTTATCTAAGATCATTTCTTAAGGTTATTGAATAACAAATAGAGTTTTAAAAATCCCAAAACCCAAAAGATACATCATTTTTTTCTCTTTTTTTGAGACAAGACCTTGCTCTGTCACCCAGCCTGGGGTACAGTTGTGTGATCATGGCTCACTGCAGCCTTGAACTCCTGGGCTCAAGTGATTCTCTTCCCTCAGGCACCATGTTGCTGAGATAACAGGCATGAACCACCATGCCCGGCCAAAACAAATACCTTTTAATCATGACTTCTACTCCATTTAATTAATTGTTATGTTGGATCTTTAACAAAGAAAAGTAGTCTTCTGTATATTTGAAATATTTCGTAATTAAAAAAAATTTTTTAAACCAAGAATATTACGTGTATTAGAAATGAGACGTTTAAACCTCTTTTCTTTATAAATAAAAAAAAGAAAAAGAATTTTAACATACCTCCCTCAAGCTCTCTTCACAAATAGTATCTCTGAGAAACTGTGATTCCATTTGACTACTGCGGTAAGCTAGAAGTAAAGCAAATTCTGGTGACGAACAAGTCAAAACTAAACTGTGAACTTAATTGTGGTTATCATTCAGATTGTTTCTGATCCTGAAGCTACCCATTGGGATCTTTCTGGGAAGACAGTCATGTAGCAGGGCAAAGTATATTATAGTTTTAAGGCTCCAGTGTTTCTCCACTAATTATAAGCCCATGAAGGAAATCACTCTATTTCTCTGTAGTATGTCACTTCTCAGTGCATTACAAACTAAGAATTAAAAATAAACTAAATATTATTTTACTGATCAACTTTTTATAACCCCAAAAAGGCATATACAACATTCAAATATTTCCTGAACTGAAAACTACTTATTATTAGTTAAGTAAGCAGATGGCTGCTATTATTTAGCCTTCATGAAGCTCTTACTGCTGAAGTCCAGAGAGGTCCCATCAGCCTTGATTGAATCCAGAGAGCTGCTGCAACTAGATGGGGTCCTGCTCAGGTTTTTTATCAATACACTGTTAGCACTTTTATCTATATCCTCTTCAGTATGGTGATCAAAAATCTGAAATTGTCAATTAAGGAATATCATCAGAATAAAATATACACTGTATACTTACGACAAACACTAACAGAAATACTACTTCTAACATACAATTAATCTATAATTCATATGAAATATCTTAGTGAAGAATTAGAATAAGTAACAAACATCTTAAGCCTTTAATTAGAGTTAAAAGTAATTTTATTGAAAATTACTCTATGGATTATACTGTGTATGCAAATTATTTCTCATTATATATCTAAGTTATAATCAGATCCTGTAAGCTATCAAATGTTCACCTATCCAATTATTCAACTACTAGCCACCAACAGCAGGGCAACCACACTGCAGAAAACCAGACTAGAATATTGGCTGTATGTGGTGGCCCTGGCTAGAGTCCAGACAATAAACTTATTTCCAGGCTTTACTACTTTCCTCCCCAGCTGACCAAGACTTCTTTAGCTGAATAAGTTATGTGGTCCTGCTTTTACTATTTTAACCATTTGACTTCACAGCTTTAAATGCCATCTTCATCTATCTTCTTACATGCTTTTGGTAAGTTTTTTTTTTTTTTTTTGAGGCGGAGTCTCACTCCGTTGCCCAGGCTGGAGTGCACTGGCGTGATCTCGGCTCACTGCAAGCTCCACCTCCCGGGTTCACGCCATTCTCCTGCCTCAGTCTCCTGAGTAGCTGGAACTACAGGTGCTCGCCACCATGCCTGGCTAATTTTTTGTATTTTTAGTAGAGACAGGGTTTCACCGTGTTAGCCAGGATGGTCTTGATCTCCTGATCTCGTGATCAACCTGCCCTGGCCTCCCAAAGTGCTGGGATTATAGGCATGAGCTACCGCGCCTGGCTGAAAACAATATATTCTTTTATGTAAATGCTATTAAGGGGGCTGGGCGCTGTGGCTCACGCCTGTAACCCCAACATTGTGGGAGGCTAAGGAAGGTGGATCACTTGAGATCAGGAGTTTAAGACCAGCCTGGCCAACATTGTGAAACCCTGACTCTACTGAAAATACAAAGATTAGCCGGGTGTGGTGGCACATGCCTGTAATCCCAGCTACTCAGGAGGCCAAGGCAGGAGAATCGCTTGAACCTGGGAGGCGGAGGTTGCAGTGAGCTGAGATCACGCCACTGTGCTCCAGCCTGGGCAACAGAGCAAGACTTAATCTCAAAACAAAACAAAAATAAATAAATAAACGCCATTATGGGCCGTGGTGGCTTATGCCTGTAATCCCAGCACTCTGGGAGGTCGAGGTGGGTGGGTCACTTGAGGCCAGGAGTTTGAGACCAGCCTGGCCAACGTGGTGAAACCTCGTCTCTACTAAAAATACAAAAATTAGCTGGGCATTGTGGTGTGCACCCGTACTCCCATCTACTTGGGAGGCTGAGACACGACAATCACTTGAACCAGGGAGATGGAGGTTGCAGTGAGCCGAGATCGCGCCACTGCACTCCAGCCTGGGCAACAGAGCGAGGGTCTGTCTCAAAAATAAATAAATGAATAAATATTATGTAAACTCCATGACAGCAGATTTTTCTCTGCATTCCCAGCACATAAAACAGTGCCTAAGACATAGCAGATAATCTATATATTTATCGAAAATAGAATGCAGGCTGGACGTGGTGGCTCACTCCTGTAATATCAGGACTTTGGCAGGCCAAGGTGGGTGGATCACCTGAGATCAGGAGTTCGAGACCAGCCTGGCCAACATGGGGAAACCCAATCTCTACTAAAAATACAAAAAAAAAAAAAAAGAAAGAAATTAGCCGGGTGTGGTGCCAGGCACCTGCAATCCTAGCTACTCGGAAGGCTGAGGCAGGAGAATCACTTGAACCCAGAAGGCAGAGGTTGCAGTGAGCTGAGATCACACAACTGCACTCCAGCCTGGGCAACAGAACAAGACTCTGTCTCAAAAATAAAATAAAATAAAAATAAAATTAAATAATAAAGAAAATGGACTCTCAACTTCTACATATCCTTGTCAGCCAAGGAAATTCAGTCAAGCTTTACTTCATGCAGTTGGCAAAATAAAAAGCTTTTTACTCCCCAAATATAACAACACTGAAGATGACTTTTCAAGCTATATATAACCTCCCTAGAGATTCTTATATAAAGCCAAATTGACAAATCACTAGAGGTGACAGTATACATACCTTTTGAAATTTTTGAAATTATACAATTTTAACTTTGGCTACTTTTTGTACAATTTTCCATTTAATTTTTTTGTGACTATTTGTCACTTTAAATTGCTTTGAAGTCTAGCTGTTAGTCAATTAATTTCTGAAGGTTCTACATAAGAATATTTCTCCAGCCCTCTAAGTGGAAATAATTATTTTCTGCCTACCCGAGACTAAGATTAAAATTTGAGAATACCCACAATTTAAGAAAACAAAACAAAACCCAAAATTCAAGAACATTCTTTGGTTCAAGACAGAGCTCACCTCCCGATCTTGTGTCGTATCACTAAACTTAATCTCATTTTTTCTGATTTTTTTCTCCTTATGAATATCTTCTTCTTCTTGTACCCACGTTCTTTTTTGGCTATTGCAAGTTTTTCCCATTTTATTTTCATATGGTGAAATCTCTTTTTGGTATGTCTCAATCAAGGCCTTTTCCTCAGTTTCTATGTTAATAGAGTCTGAAGAATTGATCTCATCAGGATATACAGGAAGATTTTCCTCATTTATATATTGAGAAGGACTTAGGTTCAGTTTACCTGCAACAGATCCAATGCCTGAATCTTTGCTAGAGACCGGCTGAGTTTCTAAGTGATTTATATCAGTTGTGTCTGCTGGAATCTGTTCCAGGTCATCAATACCAGTGACACTACAATTTCTCTTGTTGGGCAATCTAGGCAAAAAGATTCCCAAAGAACATCTCCTTACTTTATCTTTAAAAACTGTCTTTGGCGGTAGAGAGGTGGTTTCAGCTCCATTATGAGACTTTTTATTTTCCTCATCTCTACTATCTTTAGCATTGCTGGAGATTATGTTAATATTATGTATTTCTGTAGCTTGCACTATATGCATATCATTGTGTGCCTTATTTCCTAATTCAAGTAATTGCTCTGGAAGGGGTGGTAGATGAACAGTTTGAAAGGCTAAAAACTCTCCAGTTTTTCCATTCAAATTATTCAGATTTGGTTTGATACTATGAAAACATGGAACATTAGATGTAATTACAGGATCTGGTGCTTCTCCAGCATTGACATGAGTTTGAATGACTTGCTTAGTTACGTCTGAGTTACTGTGGAAATCTAGAGCTGTATTATAGTTAGTTGTTTGAATATTTTCCTTCAGTTCTTTTTTACAGGCTGCAGCAAACCATTCCTCACTATTGAGTATTTTGGGCTTGTTTTCACATATGGGTGCAGAGGAATTTTCTATAATATTTAAACTCTTATTTCCAGCTTTAGACAGTATTACTTCTTCTTTATTGATACTACTCTGTCCTTTTTTAGGTAATGGAGGTTGGTCGGTTGAGAAATGAGGCTGAGGAATAACATAAATGTCATCAACATAGACTTTCATTTGATCCTTTGGAAGCTTAAAAGATACTCGCTTTGAATTAAGTTTAGTCATCTCCCCCAGATCTTGACTATATACTAAAGTTTGATTAGCCAATAGATTTCGTGGATCCTTAATCAGATCTTGATCTTTGTGCAGTGTTATAACACAGTCTAACTGTCCTTTGGTACTGGTTTGAATAACTTCTTCCTTCTCTAACAAAGGACAAGGAGCAGAGAGAGGCTGTCCCTCAGATTCCAAGTAATATTCACTGGCAAAATCATTTGCATAAGCAAGATCATTTTGCACTGGGCAATAATTGGCTTTTTCCTCATCTTTATCACATAAGAGCATGGCACTACCCTCCAAATTATCAGTACAGGAAATAACATTTGGTAAACAGGAATAATTATCACTGGATCCACAAACAGCAGTTGCATGACTACTTGTAAAGTCCACATTTCTTCTATCTCTATTATTTAACTGACAGCTTTCAACTTGCGCTTTTTCCAATGTACAGGCCTGGTCTACAACTTTCCCTATGACCTTTTCATCCATAGCAGCACTATGAAATTTGATGATTTCATTAGTAGTTCTATTAGTAGCAGCAAAGAGTTGTTGCTTTTGCTCGGTGTGAAGAACTATTTTGTTTCCTACAGCCAGTGCTTGTTTTTCAGCGATTTCTTGAACACAGCTATTATCCTTAGGAAAGGAAACACCCAAGTTTTTTCCTTTTCCTATTCCAAATTTAGGGTTTTCTTCAAGTATTTTCTCTGTGGCTTGACAGTCAATGAAAACAGTATGGGAATCGGTGACTTCCAGATCACTGTAATTATCTGTGAACAATACGGTTTTGTCCATGGGCCTAATAGCTATTTCATTTGGCAGGAGAGTTTTACATTCTAAGGCAGTTGTGTGACTCCTAGTGATCTCCATGTCATCCTGCCCACATGAATACAAAATAGTTTTAGAAGCCCCTGCCAAATGGAAGTCCTCTTTATCCTCCAGGGCACTTTCGTTATCTATTTCCACCATACAACTCTGGGTAATATCCATATCATTTTTATGATTCTCTGAAAATACAATGGTCTTGTCATTTTTTAGCTTAAGGCTTTTTCTTCTCTGACTTTTGCTTGATAGAGGTTCATTCAGAAATCCAGGACTTTGTACATCTTTGATGTTTTTGCAAGTGGCTGATTTAGACAATTCCATGTTATCAGCTACCTCTACAGGGCCCCTATTATTAGACCATTCCTCCAGAGGGGTTAGCTGGCTGTCATTTGCTACTAGACGGTCACTTTCACCATTTCCTGGAAAGAAAACACTCTCCTCAGTAGGAGTACATATCACTGTTGGTGTTCCTAGGCTTTTCCTTTGGGATAGTTCAAAGTTAGGTCTGTCTGTTCTTTCCTTTTCTTGGTAGTCAATGAAAACAGTATGGGACTCTGTCATTTCTAGTTCAACATGATTATCTACAAACACTACAGTTTTGTCCATAGGCCTAGTAGTTATTTCATCTGGTGAGACAGTTTTACATTCTAAGGCAGTTGTGTGACTTCTAGTGATCTCCATGTCATCCTGCCTACATGTATATAAAATAGTTTCAGAAGTTCCTGCCAATGGCACCAAATGACAATCACGTTTCTCTAATAAAGGTCTATGGTTTATTTCTATTGTATAACTCTTAGTGATATCCATATCATTCTTATCGTCTTCTGAAAATACAATAGTCTTATCAATTTTTGGTCCACCAACACTTTTCCTTCCCCAAATTTTGACATTTTGCTTTTCCTTTGGAAATTTAGGTTTCTGTACACTTTCGTCCTCTAACACATCCATAATACAGTTAGATTTAAGCACTCCACTTTTTTCTATGGGACTTTTACCACATTTTTCAACTTTTACAGCTATCTGTCTGTTCATTGTTGTTAGCTGGCCAGTAGTGTGTTCTAAATTAGTTTTACCAAGTTCTTGTAGTTCAGAAGGACCAAATCCAATGACGACAGTGTGGCTCTTTGTTAGATCCATATTTTGCTCTTCCTCTGAACATATAATCATCTTGTCATGGCAATAGTCAGGTGTGGGATTGCTTAAACTTTTCCTCAGTGGCTCAGCCAGTTTAGAATTCTGGCCTAGTACAGATTTCACTGTATGACTACTTATAGCAGTATCATGATTTTTCATAGAGAACTGTCCTGATGAAAATAATGGCTTTGTGGTAGAAAACAAAGATTGTTCCCATGATACTGTATTTCTATTAGTTATTTGTTTATCAAGAACTCCACCACAGTAGACTATATTATGGCTTGTTGCTATCTCCTGATTACAATCAGCTGACTGAGGAGAATCTTTATCAAGGTAGGGCAAAATCTTCAAAACCCAATCTTTGTCTTTGTTCCAGGTGTCGGTTAAGCTGTTTTTGGCTATTATGTCTGATCGCTGAAATGGTTCATTACGACTTTTGGTAATTTCTTCACATTCATCTGAAGAGCTTTTGCTCTGAGAGTGAGATTCACTGGTACTCTCCGGTGCTAGATTATAAGCTGCAAGAGGAACCTGACTTCCTAAGTTACTTGTGTGACTTTCAGTCAAATCCATATTTTCACCTGATAAGAGTTCAGTCTTTCTATCAGTCAATGAAATAGACAAAGGATTTGACAGGCTCTGCTGTATTCTTTCCTTAGATACATGAGGAACTGAGTTACAATTTACATTCATTTTCCCATCTTCTGATGTGGTCATAAGATTTTGGAGCATCATTTCTTTTTCGGGTGTTGGTGCAGCTGCTATTTGCACATTTGATTGATCTTGTTTAAAAATTTGATTATCTATTGCAACTGTATGACTCTTGGTAATGTCCATGTTCTCCTCTCCGGAATAAATAGTTTTCTCTGTGAGAGAAGACATAGCATCTGGATTGCAATACATTTTAGCATAATTACTGTCATGCTTTAGCAAATTTTTCTCCTCTCTCATATTTGAGAGACATTTGGTCATTTCCATGGCATCATTACAACTAGAATAGAAAACAGTCTTACAACCTTGAATAGATGGATTAGAATATATAGATTCTGGGGTCATGGCTAATATTCTGGCATCCTGATTACAAGTCTGTGAGACTATGTGAGTTTCTGCCCCCATAATATGACTTCTGGTAATATGTATTTTGTCTGCAGAGTTTATGGAAAGGTCTTGAAAAGCAGTATTTTGTTTACTCTTAAAAACTGTTTTATTTCCTGAAGCTTTAGTTCCATAACCTGTTGTTACATCCATGGCATTCTGAGTTTGATTTTCTATTTCAGAAAAATTACCTGTTGCAGGTAAGATCTGCAAAGTGTGGTTAAATGTCAAGTCCATAAAGTCATTGCCATAAATTGTAATATCATTACCTTTAGATTCCCGTGAGTTGGTCTCACTGGATGTGGGAATCAATGTCTGAATATTGGCTGTATGACACTGGGTGAAATTCATCCCATCATCTTTTTCTCTAAAGAGCCTAGTAATATTACTGTTATTTTCATCTTCCTTAAGAGATACATGCATTTGATGTGTAGAAGAGGCACTGTTCGGTTCCTTGGAATAAATAGGTATCTCAAAATTTTCTTTATCAGGCACATCAGGAAAAGCACTACATTTTCCTGTTTTCAATCTTTTTATGAAGTCATTGAAATCTATTTTATTTTCTGAAGAAGTGTTTTGATCCACGGAAAAAT
The DNA here is from genome assembly GCF_000001405.40 of Homo sapiens. Taxonomy (NCBI): domain Eukaryota; kingdom Metazoa; phylum Chordata; class Mammalia; order Primates; family Hominidae; genus Homo; species Homo sapiens. Next base: position 40,620,862 of record NC_000015.10, on the reverse strand, counting down.
TTACTTCTTTTTTCATTCTTGAGTCCTCGGTGTGAAGCTTTAAATTAGCTAGAAATGATGTGGTATCTATCTTGGTGGACTTTTCACTTATGGGATTATCTAAAAGGCCTTTGGTAATCATTACAGTGTGACTTGATGTCAGGTCCATCTGGTTTTCATCTGAAAAAATGACTGTCTGGTCATTTGCATGTTTCCTTTCACGGGTATGTTCTATAATTGAAAACTATAATGAAAGCAAAATATAAGAGATCAGAACAAAAGCAAACTTTTAAAAAGGCATTTTACAACATGTATTATATAAAAAATCCTCAGTGATGGTTTCATAACACGTTGGTTTGCTTGAATCAATGGTGTAGCATGTTGCATATAATTTGTCATTAAAAATTATTCTTGGGAAGCCGAGGTGGGTGGATCACGAGGGCAGGAGATCGAGACCATCCTGGCTAACATGGTGAAACCCCGTCTCTACTAAAAAATACAAAAAAGAAAATAAGCCAGGCATGGTGGCGGGCACCTGTAGTCCCAGCTACTCGGGAGGCTGAGGCAGGAGAATGGTGTGAACCTGGGAGGCGGAGCTTGCAGCGAGCTGAGATTGCACCACTGCCTGGGCAACAGAGCAAGACTCTGTCTCAAAAAAAAAAAAAAATTATTCTAGGCTAGGCACAGTGGCTCACGCCTGTAATCCAAGCACTTTGGAAGGCTGAGGCAGGGGGATTGCCTGAAGCCAGGAGTAACAAAGTAAGATCCTGTCTCTACAAAAAATTATAAAAATTAGGCACAGTGGTGCATGCCTGTTGTCCTAGCTACTAGGAAGGCTGAGGTGGGAGGACTGCTCGAGTCCAGGAGTTTGAGCTGTCATAGGCTAGGATCACACCATTGCACTCCAACTTCGGCAACAGAGTAATACCCAATCTATTAGGAAAAGAAAAAGAAATCTAAAGTCTGCGAGTAATTTACTTTTTAGTGTTTTGGGACAAATTAAAAATTCAAGGTTAATTATACACCCACTAGAATGACTAAAAAATTAAAAACACTGACAGCACCAAATGTAAACATGACAAAAATTCTAATTACTATATTGAATAGGTCATTCTTATCCTAAATTTTAAAAGTCTAGGAAAGACATAAGCCCATGATGGCTAATCTATATTACATTCTAGACTGGGCTTGGTGGCTCACACTTGTAATCCCAGCACTTTGAGAAGCCAAGGCAGAAAGATCCCTTGAGCCCAGGAGTTCAAGACCAGCCTGGGCAACAGAGTGAGACCTTGTCTCTACAAAAAAATGAACAAAATTAGCTAGGCATGGTGGCATGCACCTGTAGTCCCAGCCACTCAGGAGGCTGAGGTGGGAGGATCGCTTCAGCCCAGAAGATTGAGGCTGCAATGAGCCAAGATTGTGCCACTGCACTCCAGCCTGGGCAACAGTGTAAGACTGTGTCTAACAACAACCAAAAAAAATCCTTCTTGTAGGAGATAGCCTAAAATATATATATATATATATATATTACACTGTGTGCTACAACAGTTTTCTCAGTGAGGACACAGATTAACTCTTTGCTACTGAAAGTATGGCCTATGGACTTGTGTACTAGTATCACTAAGGAAATAGAAATAAAGACTCATGTGCTCTTTAAACTTTGAGAGGTACTGGTATACTGTATCTCCCATTACTTAAACTGGCTGTGACTTAACTATCCTTAAGTTAACTGGAAAGGTAGGAAGCCTTTCCAGTTTATGCTGATTCATTTTTTTAAGTCATCCCTAAACTATGCCATTATCATTGAATTGTGTTTTCTGTTTTAACAATCAAATGACATTACAATATGAAGGTATTTGCATGAACTCATACCTCCTTCTGTTGCATCTGGGTATGAATGGGAGCAGAAAGCAATGTGTTCATCCCTATTTAGAAAAAAGAAAAAACTGTAGTCAGAAAATATAACACTGAGCCTGATTTTCCTTTTCTTAGGTTCTTCATCAGTTACAAGTATTTACTAGAATTTACCAGTAACTAAGCCCTTAAGAACTTACGTATTAAATTTTTTTAATTTTTTAAAAATTGATACATCATTGTTGTACATATTTTTGTGTTACATGTGATATTTTGATACTTGTATACATTGTGTAATGATCAAATCAGGGTAACTGGAATATCCACCACCTCAAACATTTATCTTTTGTGTTGGGAACATATAAAATTTCATAAGACTTAATTATCCTATGTTAGTGACAGAGAGACCAATAATTATTGTATCCTCTGTGTGGCTGAAATATTTTTATAATGTGGTGGTGATTTTAAAGATGGAAAGTTTGGACTACTACTTATTATTATTATTATTATTCACTTCTCTATTTTTATTTCCTGGATAGTAGAAGTCCCATGGAGAAGAGTATCAAATGATGAGACTGAAAGGTTAGGGTAGGATTCTGAAGGGTCTTTTATTCTATGTTAAGGAATCTAGATATTCCCATGATAAGACACATGTGCTTTATAAAAATAATCCCATTATAAAATATAATGCATTTTAGAAAAATAGTAAAAAGTAATAAGGAGAAGTTGATTCAAGAGAAGATAAACCAATAAGGAAGTTACTACAATAGTTCAGATTAACGCAAGAGGTCATGTTAGGGCAACAGAGCAATGAAAATGGAAATAAAGGATTAGACTCAAGACTTATTTTAGAACTACAAATCAGACTTTGTAAATAAGGAAGGGATTCAAAAGGCTATATTAAAACAGGAAATACATTTAAAAATACTTACATTTAAAGTTTAAAGGCAAATCTTTAGAACACATTAAAGAATGTATGACGAGCTTGAGTACATATAATGAAATAATTATAAGCTTTTTTTTTTTTTTTTTTTTTTTTTTTTTTTTTTTTTTTACTAAAAGCCTTATTTATATTTCAGGCTTCCATTCATTTTTTCAACAAATGTTGGTTCAGAACCTATTACATGAAAAAACAAAACAAACAAACGAACACACCTCAAATGTCTACTAAGGTATAAAGAAGAACAAGACAAAATTTCTGAATTTCTGGACTCTCAGAGATGGTAGTTCAGGCTATTCTGAGCACACTGCCTATGGGGTAGCTGTGCTCCTCAAGGAGGAGTATCTCCCACCGCCTGCAAAAAAAGTTTGGCCTCTTTAATAAGACAGCCAGAAATACTTAAAGTACAATGTGATAAATTCTAAAATATACTGAAAAATAAAAGAGGTGTTATGGGAGCACAGAACATCTGACTAACTCCTTAGTTTTGCCAGAGAGGGTTCCATTTAAGCCAGTGCTACTTGAAGTATGGTGCCAGACTGTGAACTGCTTGTTACCTATTCATAACGAGATAAGGAGCTGGCGGCAAACATAAATCATATAATAATAATTGCTAGGAAAAAAGTGTAAACTAAACTAAACTGTGGCTTAATGCCACAGTTAAGGCACATTATGGTACAAATTCCTTTTCTGTCATGGACTGAGCAGTTAGTTTGTGGACTGGACACTTTGGATAGCACTGAAGTTAAACTAAGTGAAGTGAAAAATGAGAAGCCTGATAGGCAAACTGGAGTAGAAAGATCACTTTAGATAGAGAAAATAGCATTTATAAATGCATATAGGGGCTGAGTGCGGAGGCTCACGCCTGTAATCCAAGCACTCTGGAGGCCAAGGCGGTGGATCATCTGAGGTCAGGAGTTTGAGACCAGCCTGGCCAACATGGTGAAACCCCATCTCTACTAAAAATACAAAAATCAGCTCGGCCTGGTGGCACGTGCCTGTAATCCCAGCTACTCGGGAGGCTGAGGCAGGAAAATCGCTTGAACCTGGGAGGCGGAGGTTGCAGTGAGCCAAGATCGCACCACCTCACTTCAGCCTGGGTGACAGAGTGAGACTCCGTCTCAAAAAAATAAAATGAAATAAAATGAAAAATAAATGCATATAGGCAGAAAAAGAGTTTATATAGTGAACTGCAAATAATTCATCATGGGCTAGAGCATGGGATACCTATATAATGGGTAGGAGATAAGTTTGGAGAAGAAAACAGGCCAAGTGATAAAGGACATTCTAACTCATTGCTAAGGAGTATGGGCTTTATTCTGTAAGCAAAACAGTGTCATTGAACCATTTTAAGCTGGGAGGTAACATAATCAAATTTAGAAATATGGAGAATGGATTGGAAGGATAAGAAATGAAATACAGTAGCCCAAGAAAAAATAATAACAACTTGAATTAAAGCAGTCACAGAAGGAATACAGAATAGGTAACGATTTTCAAGACATTTAGGAGACAAAACAGAAAGTAGGCCAAATGGCCATTAGACATAAAGGAAGAATTGAAAATGACTTCTTGATTCCTGACTTCAGTGAATGACTGAATGAGTGGGAGTCCAAGACAGAGAAAACAGGAGAAACAGCAGGTTTGAAAGAAGTAACAGTGAGTTGGCTGGGTGCAGTGGCTCATACCTATAATCCCAGCACTTTGGGAGGCCGAGGCGGGTGGATCACCTGAGGTCAGGAGTTTGAGAGCAGCCTGGCCAACATGGAGAAACCCTGTCTCTACTAAAAATACAAAAAAAATTAGCTGGGTGTAGTGGTGGGCACCTGTAATCCCAGCTACTCAGGAGGCTGAGGCAAGAGAATTGCTTGAACCCGGGAGGTAGAGGCTGCAGTGAGCCCAGATTGCACCACTGCACCCCAGCCTGGACAACAAGAATGAAAATTCATCTCAAAAAAAAAAAAAAAGAAGTAATAGTGAGCCTGTGAAATTTTAAATTGAAGACAATGTGTAAAGAACAAAGCCCTGGGCCAGGCGCGGTGGCTCACACCTGTAATCCCAGCACTTTGGGAGGCCAAGGCGGTTAGATCACGAGGGTAGCAGTTCGAGACCAGCCTGACCAACATGGTAAAACCCTGTCTCTACTAAAAATACAAAAAAATTAGCTGGGCGTGGTGGCGGGCGCCTGTAATCCCAGCAACTTGGGAGGCTGAGGCAGGAGAATTGCTTGAAACCAGAAGGCGGAGGTTGCAGTGAGCTGAGATTGTGCCACTGCACTAGCCTGGGCAATAAGAGCAAAACTCCATCTCAAAAAGAAAAAAAAAAAAAAAGAACAAAGCTCTGTTTGGAGCCATTGCTGGAGTGCAGTGGCGCGATCTCAGCTCACTGCAATCTCCGCCTCCTGGGTTCAAGCGATTCCCCTGCCTCAGCCCCGAGTAGCTGGGACTACAGGAGCGCACCACCACGCCCAGCTACTTTTTTGTATTTTAGTAGAGACTGGGTTTCACCATGTTGGCCAGGATGGTCTCGATCTCCCGACCTCGTGATCTGCCTGCCTCAGCCTGCCAAAATACTGGGATTACAGGCGTGAGCACCGTGCCTGGCCTCTGTTTGCTTTTTTTTCGTGGTTCATGGTTTCTTGTACATAATAGTGATCAAGAAACCTAGATGAATAGACTATCTTACTATAAGAAAAGTATTCTAGTCATACTCACCAGTAATTTCACAGTAATTATCTTCTAATTTCTTATTCCTAAAAATTAAAAAGTATTTTTATAATCTATACCCCAAACAATTACCAAGAATCTTTCAATAACAGCTGAAAGAGTACAGAAGGTGAAAGACTTTCATAGAATGACTAGCAGAAAATTATAAAGACATCTTTTTAAAAAAGACTCATCTAATGCAGAAAATTATAAAGACATCTTTTTAAAAAAAGACTCATCTAATACTGGCTGAAGGAATTACAAGGCAACTAAAGGATACTTTTCAGATTGGTCTTAATGGTTTGCTAATTTCAAGAATATTATCAGCCAGCCGTGGTGGCTCACATCTGTAATCCCAACACTTTGGGAGCGTGAAGTGGGAGGATCACTTGAGACCTGAAGTCCAGGGCTGCAATGAACTATAATCATGTCACTGCACTCCAGCCTGGGTGACAGAGTGAGACCCCATCTCAAAAAAATAAACTAGAAAAATATGCTTAATATATACTGCTTGCTTATTTTTTCAAAAAATGACCTATAAAGCAATTCCTTTTCTAAAACTTGAGCCTTAAAACAAAAAGTACATGAAAGAAACCACTCAAGTGTCCATCAATAGGGAGTTCACTAAATGTTGGTGCAGCCATACAAGAGATTGTAACAGACTGAGGTAAATCTTTATGTAATAACATAGAAAGTGCTATAAGACATATTACTAGGCAATCCCATTTTTGTCTTGTTTAAAAAAATAAAAGCTAAACATGCACTTGGACATACAAAAAAAATTTCTGCAAGTACACCAAAAATTGTCAACAGTGGTTATCTGTAAGGAGTGAGTCACCTGAAGAAGAGGGAATAGGCTGGGTGTGGTGGCTCACGTCTGTAATCCCATCACTTTGGGAGGCCAAGGCAGGCAGATCACCCGAGGTCAGGAGTTTGAGACTAGCTTGGCCGACATGGTGAAACACCGCTTCTACTAAAAATACAAAATTAGGCCGGGTGTGGTGGCTCATGCCTAAAATCCCAGCACTTTGGGAAGCCAAGGCAGGCAGATAAACTGAGGTCAGGAGTTCGAGACCAGCCTGGCCAACGTGGTGAAACCCCATCTCTACTAAAAATACAAAAATTGGCTGGGCGTGGTGGTGTGCACCTGTAGTCCCAGGTACTCGGGAGGCTGAGGCAGGAGAATTGCTTGAACCCATGAGGCGGAGGTTGCAGTGAGCCAAGATTAGGCCACTGCACTCCAGCCTGCACAACAGAGCAAGACTCCATCTCAAAAAAAAAAAAAAGGGGGGCCAGGCGTGGTGGCTCACGCCTGTAATCCCAGCACTTTGGGAGGCCGAGGCGGGTGGATCACAAGGTCAGGAAATTGAGACCATCCTGGCTAACACAGTGAAACCCTGTCTCTACTAAAAATACAAAAAAATGAGCCAGGCGTGGTGGCAGGCGCCTGTAGTCCCAGCTACTAGGGAGGCTGAGGCAGGAGAATGGCGTGAAACCAGGAGGCGGAGCTTGCAGTGGGCCGAGATGGCGCCACTGCACTCCAGCCTGGGTGACGGAGCGAGACTCTATCTCAAAATAAAATAAAATAAAATAAAATAATAAAAATAAAATAAATTAGCCAGGTGTAGTGGTGCACACCTGTAGTCCTAGCTACTCAGGAGGCTGAGGCAGGAGAATTGCTTGAACCCAGGAGGCTGAGGTTGCAGTGAGCCAAGATCATGCCATTATACTCCAGTCTGGCCAACAAGAGCGAAACCCCGTCTCACAAAAAAGAAAGAAGAGGGAAAGAGGGAATAATTTTTACTTTTCAATGTATATACTTCTGTACCTTTTTATTTAAAAAATTATTTTTCCTTTAAGTTCTGTTGGAGTTGATTCTGTACCTTTTCTAAACCATGACTACTATTACTTCCATTTCTTCGTTTCAACAATTTTAAGAATGTAATAGGTAATACTTTCATATGGTTTTAAATTAATAAACCACAAAGCCAACATGTAACCTATAGCAAGGTTCTTTTCTCTGTAGGCAATCTTACTAGTTTCTTCCAGAGATATTATGCATATATATGCATAAGTCACTACATATACATACATTATACATGTACACACACGAGAAGATACACACACACACACACGCTTTTCTTCTTCCCTGTTTTACCCAAGTGGTAATACATGATATACTTTGTTTTGCGTCTTGCTTTTTATCTTAAGTAATATAGCTTAGAGATTTCTCTATTTAGCATAAAATTTTTTTTCCGGCTGCATAGTCAATTATATGGAAAATGTACAATTTATTTAACCAGGCCCTTACTGATGGACCTTCAGGACCTTTCACAACGTTTACTATTATAATAAACGCTGCTGTGAATAACCTTATCTATTCATCATTTCAAACATTTACACGTATATTGGTGAGATAATTTCCAGACATAAAACTGAAGTCAAAGGGCATGTGCATTTAAAATTCTGAACGATATTACCAAGTTGCCTTCTACAAATTATACTCCCACTAGCACGGAGTGACTTTTTACCTATTTCCTTAACTGACTGGATAAAAATATCTCTTTTTTAGGCCAGGCACAGTGGCTCACGCCTGTAATCCCAGCACTTTAGGAGGCCAAAGTGGGCGGATCACGAGGTCAAGAGACCAAGACAATTCTGGCCAACATGGTGAAACCCCGTGTCTACTAAAAATACAACAAAATTAGCCAGGCGTGGTGGCAGGCGCCTGTAGTCCCAGCTACTCGGGAGGCTGAAGCAGGAGAATCACTTGAACCCAGGAGGCGGAGGTTGCAGAGAGCCAAGATCGTACCATTGCACTCCAGCCTGGCGACAGAGGAAGATGCCGTCTAAACAACAAACAAACAACAACAACAGCAAAAAAACCTCTTTTTTGGAGACAGAGTCTCGCTCTGCTGCCCAGGTTGGAGTGCAGGGGCATGATCTCAGCTCACTGCAACCTCCGCCTCCCGGGTTCAAGCGATTCTCGTGCCTTGGCCTCCTGAGTAGCTGGGATTACAGGCACAGTGCCACCATACCTGGCTAATTTTTTGGGGTTTTTTTTGTTTTTTTGAGACGGAGTCTCGCTCTGTCGCCCAGGCTGGAGTGCAGTGGCATGATCTCGGCTCACTGCAACCTCTACCTCCCAGATTCAAGTGATTCTCCTACCTCAACCTCCTGAGTAGCTGGGACTACAGGCGCCCACCACAACACCTGGCTAATTTTTGTATTCTTAGTAGAGATGGGGTTTCACCACGTTGGCCAGGATGGTCTCGATCTCCTGACCTCGTGATCTACCCGCCTCAGCCTCCCTAAGTGCTTGGTTTACAGGCGTAAGCCACTGTGCCCGGCCAATTTTTTGTATTTTTTTAGTAGAGATGGGGTTTCATCATGTTGGCCAGGCTGGTCTCGAACTCCTGACCTCAGGTGATCCACCAGCCTCGGCCTCCCAAAGTGCTCGGATTACAGGCATGAGCCACCACGTCCAGCCAAAAATATCTCAATATAATCAAATCTGTACTTCTCTTATGATGAATAAAGATAACCATCTTTTCATTTGTTGAAGAGCTACTGGTATTTGCCTTTCTATGTAATAATATTATAAGAAAGATTAATTTAATAAAAAAACTAAAGACTTGCTATCTATTGTTTTATATTAGTTAATAAATATAAAGGTTTATATATTATATTGTTTCATCACTATTAAAACTATAAACAGTACAATGGCCATATTAATCAGATATAGCAGTATACTAAATTCTGCAAATAACTGGTTTTCTGAATTAATCCTAAGTATTCCACAAAAGGAACACAAAAATAAGAAATAAAAATAATATTAATTTATAACTTTTTAAATATAATTTGAATATTACTTACTGTATCAAAAGAAGATTTTCTCCTGTTTCTGTTTCTAAAAATAAAATTAAAATTAAATTTGTCCAAGGATACACTGATAAAGCATTAGAAAAATTACTTAAGGACAGCTGGGCCCGGTGGCTCATGCCTGTAATCCCAGAACTTTGGGAGGCCGAGACGGGTGGACCACGAGGTCAGGAGTTCGAGATCAACCTGACCAACACGGTGAAACCCTGTCTCTACTAAAAATACAAAAATTAGCCAGGTGTGGTGGCGTGCACATGTAATCCCAGCTACTCAGGAGGCTGAGGTAGGAGAATTGCTTGAACCTGGGAGGCAGAGATTGCAGTTAGCCGAGATCGCACCACTGCACTCTAGCCTGGGCGACAGGGCAAGCAAGACTCTGTCTCAAAAAAAAAAAAAATACAATAAAATTTTTAAAAAATTACTTAAGGACATTAACAACATTTAAAAAAATTATTAACTGCTGGACGTGGTGGCTCACGCCTGTAATCCTAGCATTTTGAGGCCAAGGCAGGCGGATCACTTGAGGCCAGGGGTTCGAGACCAGCCTGGCCAATATGGTGAAACCCTGTCTCTACTAAAAATACAAAAATTAGCTGGGTGTGGTGGTGCATGCCTGTAATCCCGGCTACCTGGGAGGCTGAGGCAGGAGAATCGCTTAAACCCAGGAGGCAGAAGTTGCAGCTGAGATGGCACCATTGCACTGCAGCCTGGGGAACAACAGTGAAAATCCGTCTCAAAATAAATAAATAAATAAATTTACTTACTATCCACTCTACTCTCTACTCCCAAGACTCAAGGTATACTTTTTTTGTTTTTGAGACAGAGTCTTGCTCTGTTGCCCAGGCTGGAGTGCACTGGTGCAATCACTGCAGTCTCAATCTTCTGGACTCAAGTGATCCTCTCACCTCAGCCTCCTGAGTAGCTGGGGCTACAGGAATGCACCCCCACACCTGGCTAATTTTTTATTTTTTGTAGAGACAGAATCTCACTATGCTATCCAGGTTGGTCTTGAACTCCTGGGCTCAAGCGATCCTCCCACCTCAGACTGCCAAAGTGTCGGGATCACAGGTGTGAACCACTATGCATGGCCCATCATATATTTTTTAAGCAATAAGATAGACAATAAGTTATATTAGTTGTCTGGTTAGATAGCTACAGTAAAATTTTTTAAAAAGCAGATTTAGCAGGAATTATAGTAACATACTTACCTTCCATTTCTGACTTTCTCACTATTTTCATATGAGACTCCGTCTGGAATACCCTAGAAGAGAAAATAAAGATTATTGAAAACCTGCAATTTGTAATCATTATCTTTTGGTGTTGATTTATAGTCTGTGTTGAGATAGGTCAAGATAATACTTTGATTTTAGCTTCCTCTTTGCTATGCCATATACTCCTAGTATTTCAAATGCCAAAAGTAGTTTACCACAATAAAATCTGCTATAGTTTTGTTTTTATTTTTGATTTTAAACAGGGTCTCGCTTTGTTGCCCAGTCTAGATTGCAGTGGTGCGATCACAGCTCACTGTAGCCTCAATCTCCCAGGTTAAAGTGATCATCCCACTTCAGCCTCCCGAGTAGCCTCACCAACAAGCCTGACTAATATTTTTTATTTCTAGTAGAGACAATGCTGTTATAGTTTATTTATTTATTTATTTATTTTTAACTAAGATTCTGAGCCATTTGTTACTGCAGAGGTTATAATTTTTAAATGAGCTCTGACTTAGTAATTATTATATCCCTCTCAATCACCTAAAATATTCATTTAATTCAACAAGTATTTATTAAACACTCACTATATACCTGGTATCATACTAGGGCCTGGGATACAAACACATGATCCTTGACTCAAGGAGCTTCCACTATAAATAGAGCTAGAACAGTGATTATAAACATTATTTCACTGGCTTTTGTTATTAACAGTTCAGGTATGGTAGCATGGACTCCATAGGAAGGGATCCCTTTTCACTGGGCTGGTTAAGAATAAGCTTCAAGGAGCATTTGACATCTGCCTTGAATCCGACCAGTTCATTCTAATTCTGCTAATATTAGGTATCACTCACTATATAGAAGCTATTCTTTTTTCTTTTTTGAGACAGGGTCTCACTCTGTTGCCCAGGCTGGAGTGCAATGACACTATCATGGCTCACTGCAGCCTAGAACTCCTGAACTGAAGCAATCCTCCAGCCTCAGCCTCCTAAGTATCTGGGACTACAGGTGCAGGGTATCATGCCTAGCTAATTTTTTTTTTTTTTTTTTTTTGTAGAGATGGGATCTCGCTAAGTTGCTTGGGCTAGTCTCGAACTATTGGCCTCAAGCAATCCTCTGGCTTCAACCTCCCAAAGTGCTGGGATTACAGGCGTGAGCCAGCACACCCGGCCCCTAGTACAATGTCAAATAACAGTTGGATATCATTGTTTTGTTCCTGACTTTAGAGGGAATGCTTTGTTTCTCTTTTAAACATAATACTGAATAACCCTTTGAAGAATAACTAATGTTTAATCAAAACAGATTATTCAAGTCAGTACCAATACATTTGGTTTGATACACAAAATACCAGTACCTATAATATTTTAGTTATTTCTGCTTTCAACTTACTTTATAGTATCTGCAAAGCTGACTCGACGAGAGTTTTTCTTATTTCTCAAAGCATTGGATTCCTAAGGGCAGAGAATATATGGTATAATTCTTAATAAAATCACTGTGAATTACATCTCCAGAGTACTATAGACAGAGATCAAGTCCTTTTTTTTTTTTTTTTGAGATGGAGTTTCGCTCTTGTTGCCCAGACTGGAGTGCAACGGTGTGATCTTGGCTCACCACAGCCTCTGCCTCCCGGATTCAAGCGATTCTCCTGCCTCAGCCTCCCGAGTAGCTGGGATTACAGGCATACGTCACCACGACCAACTAATTCTGTATTTTTAGTAGGGATGGGGTTTCTCCATGTTGGTCAGGCTGGTCTCGAACTCCCGACCTCAGGTGATCGGCCCACCTCGGCCTCCCAAAGTGCTGCTGGGATTATAGCCATGGGCCCCTGCACCCAGACAAGTCTTTTTTTTTTTTTTTTTTTTTTCCAAGACGGTTTTGTTCTGTCGCCCAGGCTGGAGTACAGTAACTCGATCTCAGTTCACTGCAACCTCTGCCTCTCAGGTTCAAGTGATTTTCATGTCTCAACCTCTAATTTTTTGTATTTTTAGTAGAGATGGGGTTTCACCATGTTGACTAGGCTGGTCTCAAACTCCTGACCTCAAGTGATCCTCCCGCCTCAGCTTTCCAAAGTGCTAGGATTACAGGCATGAGCCACTGCACCCGGCCAGAGATCAAGTCTTATTCTGAATTACTTCTTCACATTTTGTAGTATGTGTCAGAATTTCCTTCTTTTTTTCAAGGCTGAATGATATTTCACTGCATGTATATATTACCACATTTTGTTTATCCATTCATCCATCAATGGACACTTGAGTTGCTTCCACCTTCTAGCTAATGTGAATAATGCCGCTATGAACATGGGTGTACAAATATCTCTTTGAAACTCTCCTTTCAATTCTTTTGGATATATATCCAGAAGTGGAATTGTTGGATCATATGGCAATTCTATTTTCAATTTTTTGAGGAATTGCCATACTGTTTTCCATAGCAGCTGTACCATTTTATACCCCCACCAAGAAAGCACAAGTGTTCCAATTTCTCTGCATCCTCATCAACACTTGTTATTGTCTTTTACTTTAACCATCCTAATGGGTGTGAGGTGATATCTCATTTAGGTTTTGATTTACATTTCCCTAATGGTCAATGATGTTGAGCATCTCTTCATTAGAATACACTATTTTTACCTTCCTTCCCCACCTTCTTTAACAAGAGCAAACATTTCTACTCACATAAATACCATACACAAAAACTAAAAGACATTAAGGATGAGCTTGCTGTCAAGTAAAAACATAAAATAATAATAATAATCAAAAGACAGAAACAAAATCCACAGAGAGTTTTACTGGGTTAATTCTGAATACCTAACCATAAGTCTTATTATAATAAAGAATCAGAAATGGTAACCCCTCTGCATCAAAGCAGTGATGTGATTAAGGCCCTAGAAGATGCTACAGGTAGCCTTGAGCTTAATATGACAATACTGACATGGTAAACACTGGGACTAACAGAGACTAATATATTTCTTACTGAAAAAAAAGAATACTGATCTTTTCGTAGTTCATAAGTGTGATTGGGTTTTCACACGCATGTGTGAGATGTGCTTTCTTCAAACTTTGTTACGATGTTGGCACATTATACATCTGACATGAAAAAAGAAAGGCCCAGCACGATGGCTCATGCCTATAATACCCACACTTTGGGAGGCCCAGGCAAGAGGATCACTTGAGCCCAGAAGTTCAAAACCAGCCCAGCCAACATAGCAAGACCCTGTCTATACTAAAAACAAAAATTTTTTAAGGGCTGGGTACAGTGGCTCACGCCTGTAATGCCAGCACTTTGGAAGACCAAGGTGGGTGGATTACTTGAGCCCAGGAGTTCAAGACCAGCGTGGGGCAACATGGCGAAATCCTGTCTCTATAAAAAATAAAAAATTAGCCGGGCATGGTGGCATGTTCCTGTAGGCCTAGTTACTCAGGAGGCTAAGGTGGGAGGATCTCTTGAGCCCAGGGGGAGGAGGTTGCAGTGAGCCATGATCGCACCATTGTACTCCAGTCTGGGCAACAGTCAGACCCTGTTTCTAAATAAATAAATAAATAGCTAAGTATGATGGCATGTGCCGTAGTCCCAGCTACTCAGGAGGCTGAGGCGGGAAGATTGATTGAGCCCAGGAATGCAAGGCTGCAGGGACTTATGATTGTGCCACTACACTCCAACCTGGGTAAGAGAGGGAGATGCCATTCCTAGAAAAAAGAAGAAAAATGAAAAATCAAGAATGCCAGTATATTCAAGTGTTTGGAAACTCATGGGATGCTTACACATTTCCTCTTCAAATAGCTAATAAACTTCTTGACTTAAAAATATAACTGAAAATAGTCATCTATAAAGTATTTGCACAAAAGACTTACCTGAACTCTTTCATTCCCACCTCTGAGGTCCTGAAGAGGACTCCTTGGGGGTTTCAATATCTAGGGTAACAATTAGAATTATTCAAAAAAAATCTGGCATATCTATTAAGAATCAGTTTATTTCAAGTTATATCATAGGTAGAAAGCTAAAATTTTCATTAAAAACTCTGAAACTCCTCAAATTCATTCTGCTCAATGCTATACCGTGTGGCAGATTTAAATATCTGACATCTATTCCCTTCTACCTGCCCATCCTCTCCAATTATTCTACCCGCTCTCATCCCACATGGTCTGAGTGAATGCCACACCAACTCTAGGGTAAAACACATAGCTCTGTCTAGAACAATCTGATATTCTCTTGTCAATGATGATTTGTTCAGGAATGAGGACTTGACCCATATCAGGATAATCAAGCTAACATGATTCAATTCTGAGTCTTTTCTGTTTTCAGGAAAAAGACACTATTCTTCACGTAGGACTTGGGCCTGGAAGTAAAAGAGCTAGATGTATCACAGTAATTATAGGGAAAGAATCTATCTGCTGGAGATTACCCAGAGGAAGCACTAAGAGTAGAAAAAGCAAAAGGAAATCCTAGTACTGGTGTCATGGTTAGAATCTCTGGTCAGTAAGTGTGCCTAAAGCCATCCCTTCGTTGGATTTTTTAGTATCATAACCCAACACATTTTGTGCTTAAAGCAGTTTGGGCTGGGCACAGTGGCTCACGCCTGTAATCTCAGCGCTTTGGGAGGCTGAGGCAGGAGGATCACTTGAGGCCAGGAGTTTGAGACCAGCCTGGGCAACATGGCAAAACCTCATCTCTTCTAAAAAATAAAAAAATTAGCCACACGTGGTACATGCTTGTAATTCCAGCTACTCAGGTGGCTGAAACACGAGAATCGCTTGAACCCAGGAGGCGGAGGTTACAGTGAGCCGAGATCACACCACTGCGCTCCAGCCTGGGCGACAGAGCGAGACTCTATCTCAAAAACACAAAAGCAGTTTGGGTAGGTCTTCTGTCTCTTGCAACAGCTTTGTACCACAGGTTAAACATATCTTTTAAACAGCTTTATTGAAGTATAACTTACATAGCATAAAATTCATAAAATTACTACAAAATTCATAAAGTATGAATTTTGGTATATTTACAGAATTGTATAACCACGTTAAATATTTGAGTCTTTATCTAGAGAGCAACAGGAAGCCAGTAAGGGTAGGATGGTGAAGCCACAGTCAAAACTACTGTGATATATGGTTATCATTAAATAAAAGCTGACAATTATTAATTCAAGAAAGTCTTTCTTACTGAAGAATGCCGTCTTCTAACAGGTCTCTCTATATTGTCACTGAAAAAGGAAAACAAAATTATATACACAGTGATTTAAAAAAATGAATTCACAAAAGGCATCATCACAGCACCCCTTACATGCTTTCAAACTGGTCATCACTTTCTCTTAGCACTCTGGCAAGCAAAATTTATATACAAGACTTTAAATTCAGTTAGGAATTCAGTGTTTTAAAATACATATTGTGTACTACGAGACTATCTCTTGAATAATTATCAGTACAACATAATTTACCATATTTATAGAGGTATAATAATAAGATAAATGGGCTATAAGTCAAGAGACGCTAGCTTTGGTTTTACTACTATACGATTTTTAGACCAGGTTTTGAAAATTCAAATGCCTATGAGGCTAAACAGATAATTTTTTAGGAGCAAGAAAAATAGGTAGTGTTGAGATTATAATAATCTAGAGAATTCCTCTCTCACCTAAAGGTCAGTCATTCCTCTGCTGTGGTTAGTTGTTGCCAAACAAGAATAGGAGCCCAGTGTTGCCACGCTTGATTTTTCAAGAGAAGCTGAAAACCCGATTGTACAAAATTTTGAGATTTTAAAATTTTGGCAACTAATTCAAAAACTAAAAAATATGTGTAGGCCAAAGCCAGCCACAGTGGCCCATGTCTATACTTCCAGCTATTCAGGAGGCTGTGGCAGGAGAATCACTTGAGCCCAGGAGTCCAAATCTAGCCTGGGCAACAAAGCAAGACACAGTCTCTTAAAAAGAAACAATCAAAAAATACTATGTATAAGCCAAAAACTTATGACTGCAGGCTGCAAACAAGCCACCAGGTTGTGATGTCAATTTTAGACAAATCATTTTTCTTCCTGGTTCTCAATTTTCTCATCCTTAAATTGAAGAGATAGGTTCTCAATTTTCCTGGTTCTCAATTTTCTCATCCTTAAATTGAAGAGATAGGAGATAGTATCTAAAGTCCCTCTCAGATTTGACCCTAGATGAGATGATGATGATGATGATGATGATGATGATGATGATATGTGAGACAGGGTCTTGAGGTAGGAGGCAGAACTTGACTCCACAGGTGGGGCTTGGACACAGGACCAAATTGAGGACTAGCTAAAACAGGTCTGGGGCAAAAGCACCTCCCCACAAGACACTCCCACCAGGGTGCCTTGTCAGTTTACCATTGCTATGGCAAAAACCCAGCAGTTACCTGCCCTTTCCATGGCAATGACCTGACAAGCTGGAAGTTACTACCCTCATTCTAAAAATGTCTGCATAAAACACCTCTTAATTTGCATATAATTAAAAATGGGTATAAATATGAGTGCAGAACTGCCTCTGAGCTGCTACTCTGGGCATACTGCCTACAGAGTAGCCCTGCTCTGCAAGGAGCTATACCAGTGCTGCTGCTTTACGCTATGCCACTTCAATAAAAGTGCTGTTTAACACCGCTGGCTAGCCCATGAATTCTTTCCTGGGCAAAGCCAAGCATCCTCCCTGGCTGGTAAAGCCAAGAGCCCTCCATTTAAAAAAATTTATTTTTTGTAGAGATGGGGGGGCGGGGGTGTCTTACTATGTTGCTCAGGCTGGTCTCAAGTTACTGGGCCTAAGCCTCTCAAAGTGCCGGGACTACAGGTGTGAGCCACCATGCCCAGAGTAGATGAGTTTATACAAAGTTATGGCAATGGCAAGGAAAGCTATGAGTCTGTAACATCTACTTCTTTTTGGATGAGTTCATGTACTTTGTAGGGACATGGATGAAGCTGGAAACCATCATTCTCAGCAAACTATCACAAGGACAGAAAACCAAACACCGCATGTTCTCACTCGTAGGTGGAAATTGAACAATGAGATCACTTGGACACAGGGTTGGGGAACATCACTCACCGGGGCCTGCCAGGGGGTGAGGGACTGGGAGAGGGATAGCATTAGGAGAAATACCTAATGTAAATGAGTTGATGGGTGCAGCAAACCAACATGGCACATGTATACATATGTAACAAACCTGCACGTTGTGCACATGTACCCTAGAACTTAAAGTATAATTTAAAAAAAAAAACTACTACTTTTTCTTGGAACACAATGGAAAAAGATCTCAGAAGTTATGGATAGGTCTTACTAATTAGAAAAATATCTTTCTCTGATAGAATATAATATTTTTAGCTGCATTAAATGAACTTACTTTTCTTCATTAGCCTCTGAAGACACCCCATCCATTTTTGAAGAAAACTTTTCTGTAACAAATATACAATATTAGAAAACATGAGGAAAAAGGAAGAGCAACTACAGTCTAAGAAAAGATTAAGAGTACAGATGGTGACTTCAGGGTTACTTTCTGAGGGAAGACCAAAGATGGGAAGGAAAGGCCGGGCGCAGTGGCTCATGCCTGTAATCCCAGCACTTTGGGAGGCCGAGGCAGGCAGATCACCTGAGGTCAGAAGTTTGAGATCAGCCTGACCAACATGGAGAAACCCCGTCTCTACCAAAATACAAAATTAGCTGGGCGTGGTGGCGCATGCCTGTAACCCCAGCTATTTGGGAGGCTGAGGTAGGAGACTCGCTTGAATCCAGGACGCGGAGGTTGCGGTGAGCTGAGATCACTCCATTGCACTCCAGCCTGGGCGACAAGAGCAAAACTCTGTCTCCAAAAAAAAAAAAAAAAAAAAAAGGAAGGAAAAAAACTACATTATGAAGATATAAAACGATGCATTTTGGCCGGGCGCGGTGGCTCATGCCTGTAATCTCAGCACTGTGGGAGGCCGAGGCGGGTGGATCACAAGGTCAGGAGATCGAGACCATCCTGGCTAACACGGTGAAACCCCGTCTCTACTGAAAAAAAAAAAAATACAGCACTTTGGGAGGCCGAGGCGGGCAGATCACGGGGTCAGGAGATCGAGACCATCTTGGCTAACACGGTGAAACCCCGTCTCTACTAAAAATAGAAAAAAAAAAAAATTAGCTGGGCGCGGTGGCGGGCGCCTGTAATCCCAGCTAATCAGGAGGCTGAGGCAGAATGGCGTGAACCCGGGAGGCGGAGCTTGCAGTGAGCCGAGATAGCGCCACCACAGTCCGGCCTGGGCGAAAGAGCAAGACTCCGTCTCAAAAAAAAAACAAAAACAAAACAAAAAAACCCACAAAAATTAGCCAGGCGTGGCGGCGTGCACCTGTAGTCCCAGCTACTAGGGAGGCTGAGGCGGAGCTTGCAGTGAGCCGAAATTGCACCACTGCACTCCAGCCTGGGCGACAGAGCGAGAATCTGTCTCAAAAAAAAAAAAAAAAAAAAAAAAAAGATGCATTTTTAAGGAATTTTTTTTTTTTTTTGAGACGGAGTCTGGCTCTGTCGCCCAGGCTGGAGAGCAGCGGCGCCATCTCGGCTCACTGCAAGCTCCGCCTCCCGGGTTCACGCCATTCTCCATTCTCCTGCCTCAGCCTCCCGAGTAGCTGGGACTACAGGCGCCCACGACCGCGCCCGGCTAATTTTTTTTGTATTTTTAGTAGAGACGGGGTTTCACCGTGGTCTCGATCTCCTGACCTCATGATCCACCCGCCTCGGCCTCCCAAAGTGCTGGGATTACAGGCGTGAGCCACCCCGCCTGGCCCATTTTAATAAATTTAAACCACTATTATAATTAATATTCCTGGAAAATTATCACACTCAAGATAAAAATCAGTGACTAACTTTGATCAGGATGCTAGGGACTTTACTGGTTCAAATAAAAATTTGGCCTAGCTTATAAGAGTTTGCAGATTATTTAATAATCCACTCCCAAAGTGGACATCAATTAGATAAGTGGTCCCCAACCTTTTCCAAACCAGGGATCAGTTTTAGGGAAGACTATTTTTCCACAGACCAGGAGGGTGTGATGGGGGATGGTTTCGGGATGAAACTGTTCCACCTCTGATCATCAGGCATTAGACTCTCGTAAGGAGCCCGCAACCTAGATCCCTCGTGTGCGCAGTTCACAACAGGGTTTGTGCTCCCGTGAGAATCAAATGCCACTGCTGATCCGACAGAAGGCGGAGCTCAGGCCGCTAATGCTGGGCTGCTACTGATCTCCCACTGTGCCATCCAGGCAGTGGACCTATACCGTTCCACGGCCCAGGGGGTTGGGGACACCTGAATTAGATATCTAAATATAGTGAATTTGCATCATATGTATATTTATCTGAGGGAAAGTCAACGATAAGTACTCAGCAAAAAAATTTAACACATGAAAATAGCACCTTATTAGCATAGCTGATAATGCTTTAAATTTCACTCAGTGAGTATTTGCCCTGGAAAGAATATGAACTTAGAGGCATAACGTGAAGTTTCCTGAACTGGTCTCAGTTCCTGCCTCCCTATATTTGATTTTCACTTTATGTATTAACTTTAGAATCTCATCCTTGGATAAGAAAAAAATGCCACTGCAGATTTCAAAAAAGAATAGCTAGAGATTTTGACTCAACCATATTAGCATTTCCACCACAACACTAAATTAATACAATACACATAAACAGGATCAATGTTCTTGCTTTTAGCAATAAGTAAACAGGTACCTGAAAGATATTTGATGTGCTTCGATCCACCTGCCTCTGCCTTCCAAAGTGCTGGGATTATAAGCATGAGCCACTGTGCCCAGCTATTTTTCTAGTTTTAGCCATTAAACTGTCTGTCTTCCCACCATGGGAGATCAAAATTTAACTTCCTTTCCTGCAACCACCTCTGAGACACACATACACACACACCAAGGAAAGATTACATGCCATTCTCAAAAGTATAAAAATCCCAAATAGCCGGGCGTGGTGGCCCATGCCTGTAATCCCAACACTTTGGGAGGCCAAGGTGGATGGATCACCTCAGGTCAGGAGTTTGAGACCAGCCTGGCCAACATGGTGAAACCCCGTCTCTACTAAAAATATAAAAACTAGTCGACATGGTGGTGGGTGCCTGTAATCCCAGCTACTAAGGAGGCTGAGGCAGGAGAATTGCTTGAACCCAGGGGACAGAGGTTACAGTGAGCCAACACGGGGCCACTGCACTCCAACCTGGGCAACAAAGTGAGATTCCATTGCAAAAAAAAAAAAAAAAAAGGAATCCCAAATAAATATCAGCAAAAAGAATCCAGCAATTTGTAAGAAGGATAATATATCACGGTCATGTTGGTTTTATTGCAGAAATGCAAAATTGGGTGGGCAGATATGGGGCAATGTGCCTGCAGTCCCAGCTACTTGGGAGGCTGAGGCAGGAGGATCTCTGGAACCCTGGAGTTCCAGGCTGCAGTGTACTATGATTGCAACCGTGAATAGCTACTGTACTCCAGCCTGGGCAACATAGGGAGACCCCGTCTCTTTAAAAAAAAAAAAAAAAAAAAAGGAATACATAATCGGTTTAATATCAGAAAATCAACCTTGCAATTTACCTTACTAACAGATTAAAAGGTAAAAATCATATAATCATCTCAACAGATGAAGAAAAAAGTTAAGGGCTGGGGGCAGTGGCTCACACCTGTAATCCTAGCACTTTGGGCAGCCGAGGCAGGCTGATCACTTGAGCTCAGGAGTCCAAAGGGGCCTGGACAACACGGCAAAACCCCACCTCTACGAAAAATACAAAACTTAGCCGGGTATGGTGGCTCGCACATGTAGTCCCAGCTACTCTGGAGGCTGAGGTGGGAGGATCGCTTGACCCTGGGAGGCAGAGGCTGCAGTGAGCAGAGATCAAACCACTGCACTCCAGCCTGGGCAACAGAGAAAGACCCTGTCTCGGGGGGTGGGGGAGGATGCTTAATGAATTTTAACATCCTTTCCTGTTTAAAAAAACAAAACAAAACAAAACTTTTTTTTTTTTTTTTTTGAGGCAGAATCTTGCTCTGTGACCCAGGCTGGAGTGCAGTGACGCAATTTTGGCTCACTGCAACCTCTGCCTCCCGGGTTCATGCCTCCCAAGTAGCCTCCCTAGTAGCTGGGACTATAGGCACCCGCCACCATGCTCAGCTAATTTTTTGAAAAATACTCTTTTTTTAAAGCTATAGTTGTTTAAAAAAAATTTTTTTTTTCAAATGGGCCAGGCATGGTGGCTCATGCCTGTAATCCCAGCACTCTGGGAAGTCAAGGTGGGAGGACTGCTTGACTCCAGGAGTTTGACAGCAGCCTGGGCAACATAGTGAGATCTTGTCTCTACTAAAAATAAAAATAATTAACCAGGTATGGTAGCACATGCCTGTAGTCCCAGCTACTTGGGAGGGTGAGGCAGGAGGATAGCTTGAGCCTGGAAGGTAGGTGGTGCAGTGAGCCGTGATCACGCCACTAGACTCCAGCCTGGGCAACAGAGCTAGACCCTGTCTCGAAAACAAATTTAAAAAAATTTCTTTTTAATACAGCAAACGAGAAATAGAAGGTAAGTTAACAGTATATATTCAAAAAACTAATAGGAAAGATCAACTTAATAGTTAAACTTTGAAAACTTTCCAAGATCCAAAAAGTATGACAGCCATTTACTTCTATTCAATCCAACATCTAATTCGATTTCCAATATATATCCCCAATATCCCCAACCCACTCATTTTTTTGTTTTTTTTGGGGGGCCGGAGGGGGCAGGGAGACAGGGTCTTGCTCTGTTGTCCAGGCTGGAGTGCAGTGGTGTGATCTAGGCTTACTGCAGTCTCAAACTCTTAGGCTCAAGTAATCCTCAAGCCTCTTGAGGAGCTGGGGTTACAGGCACCTGCCACCATTCCTGGCTAATTTTTTTATTTTTATTTTTTGTAGAGCTGGAGTCTACTAGGCTGCCCAGGCTTGTCATGAGCTCCTGGCCTCAAGCAATCCTTCCAGCTCTGCTCCCAAAGTGTTGGGATTACCGGTATAAGCCAGCAGGCCCAGCCTCAATAAACATTTGCTGAATGAGTAATTAAGAAACAATTATTTGACCACCAACTCGCATATTTTTTCTCCTTTGGAAATATTTTCTTTTTTTTTCTTTTTCTTTTTTTTTTTTTGAGACGGAGTTTCCCTCTTGTTGCCCAGGCTAGAGAGCAATGGTGCCATCTCAGCTCACCACAACATCCCCATCCTGGGTTCAAGTGATTCTCCTTCCTGCCTCACCCGCCAGAGTAGCTGGGATTCCAGGCGCCTGCCACCACGCCCAGCTAATTTTTGTACTTTTAGTAGAGACGGGTTTTCACCATGTTGGTCAGGCTGGTCTCGAACTCTTCACCTAGTGATCTGCCCGCCTCGGCCTCCCAAAGTGCTGGGATGACAGGCGTGAGCCACCGCGCCCAGGGGAAATATTTTCAAATTCAGTGCACATGTTCAAAATTCACAGATAATAACTACTATCAACTCAAGATCACCTAAATATCTTTGTTGTTTAAAACAGTCATTAAGCATAATTCCTGTCCAATCTGTAGACCAATCAGTTAGCAATTAACTGATAAAATTCAAACTTACTGAAGTCCCCCTTTTAAAATATTCTGTAACTGTTAAGTTCCACTTTCAACACAAATAGGAGACTCCAGACTCACAAGTTAAGCCTCATTTATAAAACACTGGTACGGCCAAACTCTTGATTATTGACACATTAAGTTACTGGTTCCCGGGGCCTGGTGCGATGGCTCAAGCCTGTAATCTCAGCACTTTGGGAGGCCGAGGTGGGTGGATCACTTGAGGCCAGGAGTTCAAGACCAGCCTGGACAACATGGTGAAACCTCTGTCTCTACTAAAATTACAAAAAAATTAGCAGGGCAAAAAAATTAGCTAGGCATGGAAGCGTGTTCCTGTAATCCCAGGTACTTGGGAGGCTGAAGCAGGAGAATCCCCTGAACCCAGGAGGTAGAGATTGCAGTGAACTGAGATGGCACCACTGCATTCTGGCCTGGGCAACACAGTGAGTGAGACTCTGTCTCGAAAAGAAAAAAAAACAAAAAAGTTACTGATTCCAAACTGTGTACCTGGCACCCAAGGGTGCTGCAGCATACTCACAATGGTGTCCTGGGATATTTAAAAATTTTGAGAGATGCACAGCAGTTCTGAACACCTGTCAGGTACTGTGTGAACTACTAGATCAAAACAGTACATTTGCATTACATTAGTTTTAATAACATCACTGTAAAGATAAACTGTTTGCAGTTGCTGTGATAAAAAGCAAGTACCTTTTTTTTTTTTTTTTTTTTTGAGATGGAGTTTCACTCTTGTTGCCCAGGCTGGAGTACAATGGCGCAATCTTGGCTCACTGCAACCTCTGCCTCCCAGGTTCAAGTGATTCTCCTGCCTCAGCCTCCCAAGTAGCTGGGATTACAGGCATGCGCCACCACGCTTGGCTAATTTTGTATTTTTAGTAGAGACGCAGTTTCTGCATGTTGGTCAGGCTGGTCTCAAACTCCTGATCTCAGGTGATCTGCCTGCCTCGGCCTCCCAAAGTGCTGGGATTACAGGTGTGAGCCACCGTGCCCGGCCCAAAAGCAAGTATTTTTTATTAAAGTACTACAGGAAATGAGGGTGACAGGGTATAAACTGATTCCAAAGTTTCAGAAGTTGTGCAGTGTCCAACAGGCACAGATATCCAATCAGTAAGTGTGATTATTTAATAATAAAATTTTGGCCAGGCACAGTGGCTCACACCTGTAATCCCAGGACTTTGGGAGGCCAAGGCAGGCGGATCCCGAGGTCAAGAGTTCGAGACCAGCCTGGCCAACGTGGTGAAACCCCGTGTCTACTTAAAAATATAAAAATTGGCTGCGCATGGTGGCGGGTGCCTATAATCCCAGTTACTGCGGAAGCTGAGGCAGGAGAATCATTTGAACCCAGGAGGCGGAGGCTGCAGTGAGCCAAGATAGCACCACTGCACTCCAGCCTGGGTGACAGAGCGAGACTCCGTCTCACAAAAAAGAATAAATAAATAAATAAAATTTAAAATATCATATTTTCCTTCAATTTCTGTATTTTTTTAAATGGCTACTAAGTTTGGGACATATATACTTAATGTTTGGACCCAACCACTGTACTCAATAAATAGACTGTTAGGTATTTCTTTGATCTCAGGGTGCCATGCATCAAGAAAATTTGGGAACCACTACTCTAAATAATCCGTAGGTCCTCAAACAGCGACTGAGCCCAATTAGCCTTTGAGCTAAGAGTGTTTTTTTACCCTTTTAATGGATTGTAGAAAACAAGGCAAGCAATAACAACTAAACAAAGAATATGTGACAAAGACCATGTAGCCTGCAAAGCCTGAAATATTTACTATCTGGCTCTTTGCCCACTCCTACATTTATACGACCGATATCTAGAGTTAGTATTTTCCGGGATTGTAGGAGGATAAGAGTGAAATGACAGAGACTCTAGACCTGTGCTGTCCAATATAGTAGTTATTTACATTTAAATTAATGAAAATAAAATAAAATTTAATAATCAGTTCTTTGGTCACAATAATGACATTTCAAGTGCTCCATAGTCCCATGTCGCTAATGGGTAGTATGTTGGAGTGCACATATAAAACATTACCATTTTCACAGGAAGCCCTGTTGGACAGCACTGCTTTACTGGCAATATCTAGAGTCAGTATCTTTTACAGTCTATTATTTAACATCGAACACATCATTAATACTACCATTCCAAACATTTTAATTCAATTTACATGTATTTATCATCTTGTAAAGATTTCCAGCCATTCGCAAAGTCAAGAATTATACTGCTTTGACCCTAACCTTTAATTACCAAAATTTTACCACATATTAACTCCCATCTGTAAATCATCTCTCCAACCAACGTCCACCTCAAATGCGGTCTTCTCCACAAATCCATCACCAAAAGCATCAAATAAGCTCTCCCTTTTCCGTGCTCCCACACCACTTTAGAATGTCCTATAATCTTTTACATTCTGTCTTGTATTCTAGTTATTTGTGTATATTAGTTATTTCCCTTTGTAAACCCCTCTAGGTTTGGGAATCATCTGTCCCCGGCCCTATCACAGGATAAGGAACCCAATAAATATCTACAGGATTCGACGGAAGTGAAAACATCAATTTTAATATCTAGACTGGAATAAGCTTCTGCTTTGGTCTTCATCCACATCCTTTATCTGTTAATGCCTATTAAACCTATCTGTAAAATTCCAATCGGCAATACTTTTTCCTCCCTCAAACTTGAGTATTTAAATAAACGTGAAGAATAAGGGCTTAAATCCTGAGGAATAATGAACAGAAGAGGATTTTTAAAAACTAATTTGCGCAGTACTAATATTGACTTCATTTGTTAAGGTTATTATACTTGCAGAAAACGAAAAATCTGTTACGTGCGGCCAGCACTCCGAGCAGACACCTTAAACCACGAAGAGCTGAGAATTTTAAAATCACTCATTGCTGTCACTTCATTTAGAGCCAAAAAAAGCTTAAGTGAGAAATACAAACAGCCGAGAGGTCCCTAGGGAAGAGCGGCAGGGGTGCAAGAAGAGTCCGCGAGCCCTGACAGAGGACGGCAGGGCGGGGCGGAAGAGGACGCCAAGAGAGCGACGGACAAGCAACCCGAGCCGGGTGGCCGGAGGGGCCGAGGTGCAGGCGGAGAAGTGTTAGGGAAGCGGGAGGCGGCACAACGTACAGGCCGAGGAGGGGAAAAAGGGCACAGTGTGCCCGGCCCGGGGCAGGGGCGTCTACTCGGCCCGGCGCTAACGGAGGCCGCCAGGCTGAGGGAGCGTACCCTACCTCCCACCGCAGGAACTTCAGGGCGCCCAGACAAAACCCGAAGCCTTCCCTGAAGCCCAGAACGAAAGAGTCATTCTCTTTACCTGCCGCGGCAAACCTCCTCGACAAATTTTGCGCAGACTTGTTTGGGGTCCACACGCTCTGAGTTTCCTTAGAGCGGAAACAGACAGCCGCCTCTAGCAGTCCGCTCACAACGCCCGGCTCGCCTCAGTGAAGTATTCAAATCTAACCGCCTAGGTGATGCGCACGCGCAAAGCGGCTCTACGCGTCGGCTCCGCCCCTTAGGTTCCAGACCAACCCTATTTCTAAGACTCCTTTAGGGAAACTACTTTCCCAGACTCCGTGCCAATTTTATTTCCTTCAGCTTTATCTCTTTTTCGACCGAATTTCCTCTGCCCCTCCCCAGTGGAGACCTCCCCCACAATCGTGGGAGCGGCCATCTTCTTTCGATTGCTTGCTATGGAAGTGATTGGACTTTGGCTTCCGTACAAAATGGCGGCTTCCATAACATTGCGTCACAGCCCCTTGATATTACTCCCTATAGCAATCAGGAAACAGTAACTTACCGGGACGAGGTGGCCGAGTGGTTAAGGCGATGGACTGCTAATCCATTGTGCTCTGCACGCGTGGGTTCGAATCCCATCCTCGTCGATGTGGTGGCTTACTTTTGCTTGTAACCAAAGTAAATTTGCAGAGCAGAATAAATTTTTTAATAACCAAAGTAAATTTGCAGAGCAGAATAAATTTTTTAATAACCAAAGTAAATTTGCAGAGCGGAAAAACTTGAATACTTATTATTTATTACTCAATTAATCTGGCACCATCAGTTTCAGGCCTGAAATGTTGAAATACAGTATTTGGAACGTTCTGACATCACAGATAAAGAAAAGGGAGGGAAAGAGACTTTCCAGGAATCAGAAATCATGCTGGATTTAATTTCTTTTTATATGGAGTTAACAACAGTGAATAGAATTCCACAATTATTACCATCCCATATGTTCCAATGCTGCTCTGTTCCAACTTTAACACAGCTCCTAACTGAGGAGTTTCAATTATTGTAGACTGTTACTCTGGGGTTTTTAACACCTGTCCTGATTATGAGATACCAGGTTTCACTTCAAAAGCTACCATGAGACACTTTATCCGGTATTTATTATCTACAGGCACCACATGTTTTACATGAATTACATCACTATAACCCTTGATCATGACAAATATTTTTATTACTCCATTTTACAGATGAGGAGACTGAAAGATTAGCTTGCCCGAGGTTATACAGCTTCTAAATTGAAGAAAGGAGAGTGTAACCCAAATCTACTAGACGCTGGCTTAATCACCCTTCTAATCTGTGCTGTAGATTAATAATTAGTATTTATCAATCCTACACTGTGCTGTAGATTAATAATCAGTATTTATCAATCTTTTGCAGTCATGGTTTACAGATTGTCTCCTCCACAAGGCTGTCTGCATTGCACCATGCTCCACAACACGGCCTCTGGCAGGTGCTTCAGCAAGGTTTGGGCACTGAGTATGGAAAGCAGTGGCCCCATTCTCTGCTGGCTCCAGTGGCTTCTTTCTGTTACAGATCCAAATCCGTTGGGAATGTTGATACCTCCTTGGGCTCAGGACATTGAGTCACCCTTCCTTAGCCTTGCTCTCCAATGCATTCTCTACCCTGCTGCTAGGAAGGGTTTCTGCTGGGTTCCACGCATTTCCAAGGGGTCCATGGATAGAATTCAGTGGGTTATTTGGTTCAGAAAAAGATTTCATCCTTATTTCCACACTCCCTAATTGAAAGCACATCCTTCAATAACGGTAAGCAACTAACTACAGTAATATTAACCTTATCCATTATTTTGTCACCAATAGAAATCACAGATATTTTTATATCAGATTACTGTTATTGCTTTACGCTCATTGCTACTTCAAAATTGTGGTAATTTTTAGACCTGCTATTATGTCTTGTAATGTTATGCATTCATAAAGAAGTGCATGCATTAAGCTGGGCGCGGTGGCTCACACCTGTAATCCCAGCTCTTTGGAAGGCTGAGGTGGGTGGATCATTTGAGGTCAGGAGTTCAAGACCAGCCTGGCCAACATGGTGAAACCCCATCTGTACTAAAAATACAAAAATTACCCGGGCGTGGTGGCACGTGCCTGTAGTCCCAGCTACCGGGGAGGCCGAGGCAGGAGAACTGCTTGAACCCGGGAGGTGAAGGTTGCAGTGAGCCAAAATCATGCCACTGCATTCCAGCCTGGGCGACAGAGCAAGACTCCATTTCAAAAAAAAAAAAAAAAGTGCATGCATTATTATATTATTACATCACAAACTTTGAGAATATTTTGGCAACTATTCCAACAAAATTGGTTGCCTTTGTATTCTAACATATTTAATTTTATACATTTAAAAACAACATTCTGGCCAGGCATGGTGGCTCATGCCTGAAATCTCAGGAGCAGCCCTTGAGTCCGGGAGTTCAAAGACAGTCTGGGCAACATAGTGAGGCCCCTGTCTCTACAAAAAAATTTAAAAATTTAATCAAAATTTAAAAAAAATTCTGAGATGAGATCCTTAGACTTCCCCAGACTGCCAAAAGGGTCTGTGTCACAAAAAAAAGGTTAAGAGCCCCTGAGAGAGACCTTTCTAAATCTCCCTGGAGACACAGATCTACCTTTCCTTGAACTAGGATTTTTTCTCTTTCCACAACACGTTTGTAGATACCGTCCCTGCTCCTCTCCCTGCAACATACCCCTGACCCCACCCTCTTCTTTCCCATCATGTCACTGCCTGGGCGGCTCCTGCTTCTCCTTCGGATCTGAGCTTAGAGGTCACCCCCATCAACAAGCCCTGCAACCTGCAGCTCCCTCTTCCATTTCAACTAGCCCGTGCGCTCTCTCTTGCTTCTGGACCTTTGTAACCCTCCTAGACGCTTCTGTGGCCTGCTAGGCTTTTCCCAGCACTTGCCAGGGAAGTGCTGGGAATGCATTTGTAAATACATTTTTATTTACATTGCCCATTAGTGCTGCAACTTCTCTAGAGACGCCAGGGCTGCATCATTTTCCTGAGGTTTGCCAGCTTCTTGCAGTGATAACTATAGGTCTATCAACGTCTGTGCAGAGCATGGGTAGACTTTTTTTTTTTTTTTTTTGAGACAGGGTCTCGCTCTGTCGCCCAGGCTGGAGTGCAGTGGCACTATCTCCGCTCACCGCAACCTTCACCTCCCAGGTTCAAGCAGTTCTCCTGCCTCAGCCTTCCAAGTAGCTGGGATTACAGGTGTGTGCCACCACGCCCTGTTAATTTTTGTATTTTTAAGAGAGACTGGGTTTCACTGAAGAAGGAATTCATGAATTTTACAAGTATAATCAAAGACAACCGAAAATTTTTACTTTTTCCTTCAAAAGCTAAGTGTAGTGTAGCCACCTCCCCCCCGCCCCGCCCCCAGCCAAGTTAGAGAAGACCCCCGGCCAAGTTAGAGAAGAATACTAACTGCCTGCTTTTCCTTCTGTGCTCGGCGAGCCTTATCTGTACTTGCTAGTTTCACATTCCTTGAGGCTCAGCGAGTTCCTGCTTCCCCTCCCTAGGGCAGCTGCAAAGTTATAAGGTTGGTACAGAAACATGGTTTCCCAGGGATGTGGAACGTGTAGTATAGATAAATGTAAAAGACTGATCAACTGTCTTTGTTCTCGCTTCTGTAAGTACCCTTCCTGCATCACGTTGCTCCCGGCCACTGACTGCGTAAAACGTGGCTACTTTCTTTGTCTGGGGCTCAGACTTTCCTGGAGGCTAGTCCTACTGGGCCAAGTGACCACCTTTTAATAAAGACCTTTCCTGAACTCACTCTGTTCGGTCTCTCCCATCTTTTGATTGTCCCGCAACATCACCATGTTGGCCATGCTGGATGGGACGGCGTGCTGCATGGGCTGGGAAGATTATTTTTTCAAAGGAAAATCTTCAGCTGTATAAGTTATGAAAATGAAATGTACTGGCAGAATATAGAGGAAAAAAAAGAAAAAAATTGTGAGTTGAAAACTCACTTTTTTAGGCTGAGTACAGTGGCTCACACCTGTAATTCCAGCACTCTGGAAGGCTGAGGTGGGAGGATTGCTTGAGTCCCGGAGTTCGAGACCAGCCCAAGCAACATAGGGAGAATCTGTCTCAAGAAAGAAGGAAAGAGAGAGAAAAAGAAAGACAGAAAGAAAGAGAAAGAAAAAGAAAATAAGAAAGAAAGAAAGACAAGAAAGAAAAAAGAAAGAAAGAAAGAAAGAGGCTGGTGTGGTCGCTAGCGCCCGTAGTCCTGCGAGGCTGAGGTGGGAGGATCGCTTGAGCCCCGGAGGTTGAGGCTGCGGTGAGGCGTGATCGGTCCACTGCACTCCAGCCTGGGCGACACAGCGAGACTCCGTCTCAAAAAAAAAAAAAAAAAAAAAAAAGTCAAGGGAAAGAAAAAGAAATACTTCAATTAGAAACGGAAAGAGAAGCTTGTAAGAAGCTGACAGGAAAAGAGTTAGAGGCGCCATCTACTGGAGCAGCTGCAACTGCAAGACTCGGACAAGATGCTCTTATCTACAGGGATGGATGCTCTCGTCTACCGAGATGGATGCTCTCGTCTACAGAGATCTCCATTAACTCCCCAAATTCTTCAACAAACCACAGCTCAAAGAAACCGTTCTCTACCAACACCAACGTTCTTCCTTGCAAGTACTATCCTCAACTATTGCAGGACACCTCAACCTCTGGAAGACCACAGCAAAGGACTGTTGCATAAATATCTTACCAAGATATTCCAGCTCTTTTACTATTGGAGTGTTAGGCAATGCGTCTTCATTATCTGGGGCCAGCTTTAAGAGGACCAATTCCCTCTTTTGAAAATGAGGTTCTCTGGGAATCAATGGCCAATGTTTATTATGAAATAATAAACTGGTCCACAGCCCAGACAGGCTGTGTGTGTCAGCAGCAGCCCTTATATGACATAGCTCTGAAGGAAGAATTGAAATCAATGCTTTGTTTTTGTTTGTTCGGTTTGGCTTTTTTTTTTTTTTTTGACACATCTAAAGTTTATTTCTTAACTCTTGCAAGAAAAACCCAGACCTCAGGCTCCAAGACTTGCAAAGACTGGTTTTGAGAGGCAGGCAATGACAGAAGTGAAGTCAATTTGTTCCTTACCATTAGGTTCTCCCACTGGAGAACCATCTCTGGGAACACAGTGATGACAGGGTCTGGAGAGGTTCCATAGTGAATCCATGCATTCTGCTCTGAGTCTACAACACCGACCCAAAACGTTTTTCTTTTCTAAAATCATTCCCTGAGATGTACTCTATCGTGTGAAAATACTACAACAACTTCTAGGAATGTCTAGTGAACTGAAAACTAAATAACATTTTCATATTGAAGATCAGTAGAGCAAAACGGAAATCCAGTTTTAGTAACATTGTCTAGGAAAGCCAAGATGAATGAGTAAATGCCAAAGACTCAGGGAAATAGGGAATAACACTTTATGGTATATCCCAAGCTGAGGTAGTGATGGATAGTTAGCCAGTTGTTTATCTGATCGTTTTCTTTTTTCCTTTTTTTTTTTTTGTGAGACAGAGTCTCACTCTGTCACTCAGGCTGGAGTGCAGTAGCGCGACCTTGGCTCACTGCAACCTCCGCCACCCAGGTTCAAGCGATTCTCTCATCTCAGCTTCCTGAGTAGCTGGGATTACAGGTGCGCGCCACACCACACCCAGCTAATTTTTATATTTTTAGTAGAGATGGAGTTTCATCATGTTGGCTAGGCTAGTCTCAAACTCCTGACCTCAGGTGATCTGCCCCGCTCAGCCTCCCAAAGTGCTGGAATTACAGGTGTGAGCCACCGTGCCTGGTCTAGAATTCTGATTTTTAAATTATTGAATAACACAGAAACTTGACATCTGAAAAAATGTTTTGTTTTTGTTTTGATTTTTTAGCTTTAAAAAACTGAAATAGTTCCTTAATGTCAGTTTCTGGGAACTCACTGAAAGGATCACTTCCAATCAACTCTCCTTTCAATGACTGTCAGTAGTCATTTTTTATATAACCTAGGAGGTATCAGAGGTGGCCTTTATTTCAGCCCAAGATGCAAGGCTTTAAAATTCTTTTTTGAGGCCAGGTGCCATGGCTTATGCCTGTAATCCCAGCATGTTGACAGGCCAAGGCAGAAGTTCTGCTTGAGGCCAAGAGGTCGAGACCAGCCTGGGTAATACAGTGAGACCCTGTCTCTACAAAAAATGAAATTAAAATTAAAAAAATTAGCCAGGCGGCTGGGCACGGTGGTTCACGCCTGTAATCCCAGCACTTTGGGAGGCCAAGGCAGGCAGATCACCTGAGGTCAGGAGTTCGAGACCAGCCTGGCCAATGTGGCAAAAAAACCCATCTCTACTAAAAATACAAAAATTAGCCAGGCATGGTGGCATGCACCTGTAACTCCAGCTACCCAGGAGGCTGAGGCAGGAGTATCACTTAAACCCAGGAGATGGAGGTTGCAGTGAGCCGAGATTGTGCCACTGTACTCCAGCCTGGGAAACAGAGTGAGACTCTACCTCAAAAAAAAAAAAAAAAAAAATTAGCCAGGCATGGGTGTGCACACTTGTGGGCCCAGCTACTCGGGAGGCTGAGGCAGGAGGATCATTTGAACCCAGGAGTTCCAGGTTGCAGTGAGCCTTGATCATGCTACCGTACTCCAGCCTGGGTGACAGGCTGTCTCAGAAAAACCCAAAAAATTTTGCTTAAACAACAAAAATTTATTGTCTCCCAGTTCTGGAGGCTAAAGTCTGAGATCAAGGTGTCAACAGGGTTGGTTCCTTAGGAGGGGTGTGAGGGAGAATCTATTTCATATCTCTCATCTAGCTTCTGTAGTTTACTGGCAGTTTCTGGCATATCTTGGCTTATAAAATGACTAATCCTTGCAATTTTGCTTCAGTTGTGATTCTGGAAGATTTGGCATTTAGATCAGATATAAAGCTTTCCTTTTAAAATTCCTAACCTACTTTAACTTCAACATTTGGAATGTTGGAAAGAAAAAAGAA
Source organism: Homo sapiens (assembly GCF_000001405.40). Taxonomy (NCBI): domain Eukaryota; kingdom Metazoa; phylum Chordata; class Mammalia; order Primates; family Hominidae; genus Homo; species Homo sapiens. The sequence continues at coordinate 40,587,434 of NC_000015.10, read as the reverse complement.
CCAGAATAATTGCATCACTTATTATTTACTTGAATTACTAAAACATTTTCAAGAACCTTTTGTCTAGATGTCTTGGTAATGAAGAGATAGAAGATGCAAGTTCTTGGGCTCTTTGTGTCGGAGAGCATGCGGGGTCTAGAATTCCAAAGCCATGAACTGCTTTTAGATCCCTCAGTTCTTTTATGATGGAGAAGTTGTATTTGAATCTGCTAAGGCAAATTAAAGCAGTTAGTCATTTTTGCAAATTATTATTATTATTATTTTTGAAACGGAGTCTTGCTCTGTCGCCCAGGCTGGAGTGCACTGGCGCTATCTCAGCTCACTGCAAGCTCCACCTCCTGGGTTCATGCCATTCTCCTGCCTCAGCCTCCCTAGTAGGTGGACTACAGGCGCCCGCCACCATGCCTGGCTAATTTTTTTTTTGTATTTTTAGTAGAGACAGGCTTTTACCGTGTTAGCCAGGATGGTCTCGATCTCCTGACCTCATGATCCGCCCACCTCAGCCTCCCAAAGTGCTGGGATTATAGGTGTGAGCCACCAAGCGCCTGGCCCATTTTTGCAAATTATTAATTATTGCTTACCATTATAGTCTCCAAAATACTAGGTGTATGGTGTTATCTTTCCACCACTGGTGAAAACAACCCATGGTCTAGGCACTTTGGAGTAGCACCCACCAGCTGTGTGAAGGTCAAATGGATCTTAAAGAGTTGTGCAGTGGGACTGAAAGAGGAGAGTCACTATTTCAGAGATAACCAAATGTTAAAAAAAAGAGGTGAGATATTTTAATATTTGTTGTTTAAAAGTTTTATCTTGATAGTATTACACAATTATACAATACATACATACGTAATGTAATATGCATGTACAGTTTAAAAATAACAATAATAAGGCCAGGTGCAGTGGCTCACACATGTAATCCCAGCACTTTGGGAGGCCAAGGTTGGGGACGATCGCTTGAGGCCAGTAGTTCGAGACCAGCCTAGGTAACACAGTGAGACTCTGTCTCTACAAAATATTAAAAATTAGCCAGGTGTGGTGGTATGCACCCATATTCTCAGCTACTCAAGAGGCTCAAATGGGTGAATCACTTGAGCCCAAGAGTTCCAGACAGGCCTGGGAAACATGGCAAAACCCTGTCTCTACCAAAAATGCAAAAATTAGCTGGGTGTGCTGGTGTGTGCTGCGGTCCCAGCTACTCAGGAGGCTGAAGTGGGAGGATCACTTGAACCTGGGAGGTCGAGAGTACAGTGAGCCATGATCGTGCCACTGCAATCCAGCCTGGGCAACAGAGCAGGACCTTGTCTCCGAAAAAAAAAAGAAAGAAAGAAAGAAAGAAAAAAACAGCAATGCTGTATATACACCACCCAGCTTGAGAAATAGAACATTACCAGCCCCTTTGTTTCTTTTTTAAAAAATGATTTTTAATTATTTTAATTTTTTTTTCCTACCCTCTTGGCAGGTGGCAGATTACTAGCACCTTTGATGCTTCCTGTGTGTCCCTTCCTGGAGGCATCCTCCCACCAAAAAGATAACTACTTTGGCCGGGCACAGTGGCTCACGCCTGTAATCTCAGCACTTTGTGAGGATGAGGCAGGCAGACCACGAGGTCAGGAGTTTGAGACCAGCCTCACCAATATGGTGAAACCCTGTCTCTACTAAAAAAAAAAAAAATACAAAAAATTAGCCAGGCGTGGTGGCGGGCGCCTATAATCCCAGCTACTCGGGAGGCTGAGGCAGGAGAATCGCTTGAACCTGGGAGGCGGAGGTTGCAGTGAGCCAAGATCCCGCCACTGCACTCCAGCCAGGGAGACAGAGTGAGACTCCATTTCCAAAAAAAAAAAAGGTAACTACTTTTTGTTTGTTTGTTTGTTTGTTTGTTTGAGACGGAGTCACACTCTGTCGCCCCCGGCTGGAGTGCAGTGGCGCGATCTCGGCTCACTGCAAACTCCGCCTCCCGGGTTCATGCGATTCTCCTGCCTCAGCCTCCCGAGAAGCTGGGATTGCGGTGCATGTCACCACGCCTGGCTAATTTTTTGTATTTGTAGTAGAGACGGGGTTTCACCGTGTTAGCCAAGATGGTCTCGATCTCCTGACCTCGTGATCCACCTGCCTTGGCCTCCCAAAGTGCTGGGATTACAGGCGTGAGCCACCGTGTCTGGCAAAGATAACAACTTTTCTGAATTTCATGTTAATCATTCTCTTGTTTTTCTTACCAAATATACATATTTATACATATTTGTAGTCTTAAATATGTTTTGTCTGTTTTTTAATTTTATATAATGTATTCATTTTATATAACGTATTCATCTGTAACTTCTGTCACTGGACACTGTTTTATCCGTATAATTCGTTCATTTTCACTGCTGATTAGTTTGCAATTATCTGAACATACAATTAGGTATCCATTCTCTTATTGATGGATATTTTTGTTATCTCCAGTCTTTTGCTGCAAGAACACTGCTGTGACTGTTTTTATATGTCTCTTGGGGCACATGTACAAGTGTTTCTGTAGGTAGATAGCTAGAAGTAGAGTCATTGGTTATGTGTGTGTTCAACTTTAGTAGGCAATTCTTAACTGTTTTCACCTAGTTAATGGTTGACAAAAATGTTGCAGTTTTGAAAACGTGGACAAGCTTCAAATGAAAAGAAGAGGATGACAGAGGACTTGGAGGGGAAGAAAACAAAAATCATAATCATAGACAATATTGTTCACCATGTACAAGACAGTGTTCTAAGCAGAATGAGTGCCTTTGGTGATGATACCTCGTCAGGACCACAGTAAACTTACCCAACTAAAAACTGGTCACATTCCATGGCTGTTCTGCTTCTGTCTTTGGTTTTCAATAATCCTATGTTCTAGAATATGTGAGTCTTGAGGATCAATCATCCAAACCTCGAAAAGGCTTTGAAATCAGTCCATTTTCTCTAAAGTCTTTGGAAGCAAGATTGACTCAAGCAAGTCTAGGTCATCCGTGAAAAGATACAGACATTCAGGGAAACCCATGGTTCCAACCCTGACTGGAAACAATGCCAACTTTGAAAAATGCAGCTGCTGGACCAGCTGCATTTTCAGTTGCTGCATTCAGCTGCCTCAGCCTCTCACATGACTGGACAGAATGAAAATTGGTATAATCTTTTTGGAGGGCAGTTTCCTATTACCTATTTATATTTAAAGCCATTGACCCCATAATTACACTAAAAAACTGTCCTGTAGAAACTATGCTACAAGTGTGGAAGGGTATATAAGGATGTTTACTATGGCCTGAGAATAGTGAAAAACTGCAAACACCTAAAATTCCAGCAACAGAAGATAGATTGTAGTACAATGGAACACAATGCAGCTATAAAAAAAAAAATCGGCTGGGCGCGGTGGCTCACGCTTGTAATCCCAGCACTTTGGGAGGCCGAGGCGGGCGGATCACGAGGTCAGGAGATCGAGACCACGGTGAAACCCCGTCTCTACTAAAAAAAAAAAAAAAAAAAAATTAGCCGGGGGTGGTGGCGGGCGCCTGTAGTCCCACCTACTCCGAGAGGCTGAGGCAGGAGAATGGCGTGAACCCGGGAGGCGGAGCTTGCCGTGAGCTGAGATCGCGCCACTGCACTCCAGACTGGGGCGACAGAGCGAGACTCCGTCTCAAAAAAAAAAAAAAAAAAAAAATCAAGGCTGGGCACCGTGGCTCACGCCTGTAATCCCAGCACTTTGGGAGACTGAGGCGGGCAGATCACGAGGTCAGGAGTTGGAGACCAGCCTGGCCAATATGGTGAAACCCCGTCTGTACTAAAAATACAAAAAAAAAATTAGCCGGGCGTGGCGGCGTGTGCCTGTAGTCCCAGCTACTCCGGAGGCTGAGGCAGGAGAATTGCTTGAACCCAGGAGGCGGAAGTTGCAGTGAGCCAAGATTGCGCCACTGCACTCCAGCCTGGGTGGCAGAGACTCCGTCGCAAAAAAAAAAAAAAAAAAAATCCAAAAAATCAAGTTACAGAACAATTTGCATGGCATGATCTCATTTTTATTTTTATTAAAGGAAATACATATAGATTTTTGTATCTATGAATAGAAAACAGGCAGGAGAACCCTTTATTTTTATCATTATTTTCCCCCCTCCCCATTACCGCTAGAGGGTCTTGACTGCAAGTTGTCCAGGTTCTTGGCATTTTGAACAAAGAATAGGACAAAATGCACAGCAACGCAAGGAAAGAATGAAGCAACGAAAGGAACGAAATGAAGGCAGGGATTTATTGAAAATGAAAGTACACTCCACAGTGTGGCAGTGGGCCAAGCAGTGGCTCAAGGGCCCCCAATACAGAATCTTCTCGGGTCCAAATAGCCCCTAGAGGTTTCCCGTTGGCCACTTGGTGTTCACCTCATGGTTGCAAAGGCAACCAATCAGAGGCTAAACTGAAGTTACAAAGTTGCACTTCTATGCAAAGGAAGACTTGGCCAGCAATCAGTTTGATTGGTTGCAGACAACAACCAATCGGAGGCTGAAGTGATGTTACAAAGGTCACAGTCCCATGGAAACATCTGATCGATTGCAAAAAGCAACCAATCAGAGGTACTTTCAATTTCCCATCTGCGGGGCAGAAAAGTTGGGGGTTTGCAAAGGGAGTAACCTCTGGTCCTTTTGTTATTAGGAGTGGACAGTTAGGGCTTTCCTATCAATTTAGTTCTAGGAAGTCAGTGTGAAATGGCCTTAGGTTCCCTGCCTCCAGACCTTGTTCTGCCTCACCCCCACCCCTTTGGGACCCCTTAGTTATTAATAGTGGTTACCTCCAGAGCAGGGGTGAGGGAAGGGGGCTATAATAAAAGTTTTAAAAGGATACTTTTTTTTTTTTTCTGTAGAGCCAGAGTCTTGCTCTCTCGCCCAGGCTGGAGTGCAGTGGCGCGATCTCGGCTCACTGCAACCTCTGCCTCCCGGATTCAAGCAATTCTCCTGCCTCAGCCTCCTGAGTAGCTGGGACAACAGGCGCACGCTGCCACGCCCAGCTAATTTATTTTGTATTTTAGTAGATACAGGGTTTCACCGTGTTGCCCAAGCTAGTCTGGAACTCCTGAGCTCAGGCGATCTGCCCGCCTTGGCCTCCCAAAGTGCTAGGATTATAGGCATGAGCCACTGCACCCAGCCAAAAGGATACCATTTTATAAGGATAAAAAACACATTCAAGAACAGCCAACTGTTCAGCATAGCAAAGGACAACTAGATTCAACCTGGGCTCCTTATAGGTAGTACTTTTGTCACAGGTTTTGTATTAACATTCCAGTGAGAGGTGAAGTCAGCAGGACTTCCTGGGTCAGTGGGGACTTGGAGAACTTTTCTGTCTAGCTAGAAGATTGTAAACACACCTATCAGCCCTCTGTAAAAATGCACCAATCAGCGCTCTGTGTCTAGCTAAAGGATTGTGAATGCACCAATCAGCACTCTGTAAAAATGCACCAATCAGCCCTCTGTGTCTAGCTAAAGTATTGTAAATGCACCAATCAGCACTCTGTAAAATGGACCAATCAGCACTCTGTAAAATGGACCAATCGGCAAGACATGGGCAGGGACAAATAAGGGAATAAAAGCTGGCCACCCCCACCCCCTCCAAAAGCCAGCAGCAGCAATCCACTGGGGTCCCCTTCCATGCTGTGGAAGCTGTATTCTTTCGCTCTTCACAATAAGTCTTGCTGCTGCTCACTCTTTGGGTCCGTGCCACCTTTGAGAGCTGTAACACTCACCCGAAGGTCTGTGGCTTCATTCTTGAAGTTAGGGAGACCAAGAACCCACCCGAAGGAACGGACACACTAGCACCTAGCACAGCATTTAATTAACACAGAGAGACCAATTGCTTGATTAGTATGTGCAAGATAGAAGAACACACATGCACACACACACACACACACACCCTGCTTTTTAGGCATCTGCAGACTAGTGGAGTAATTGTAGTTAGGAACTCTTGTTTTGTGTAGAGATCCTTTGAAGCAATGGCACCCAATAGAACTTTGCTAGGTGATGGAACTATTCTATGTCTGTGCTGTCCAATATGGTGGTCACTAGACCAAGTGGCTTTGAACACTGGGAATGGGGCAAATACAGCAGAAAAACTGCATTTTGTTTCATTTTTATTTTTATTTATTTTGAGACGGAGTCTCACTCTGTCCCCAGGCTGGAGTGCAGTGGCACGATCTCAGCTCACTGCAACCTCTGTCTCCCGGGTTCAAGCAATTCTCTGCCACAACCTCCCGAGTAGCTGGGATTACAGGCACCTGCCACCACGCCCAGCTAATTTTTGTATTTTTAGTAGAGACCAGATTTCATCCTCTTGGCCAGGCTGGTCTTGAACTCCTGACCTTGTGATCCACCCGCCTCGGCCTCCCAAAGTGCTGGGATTACAGGCGTGAGGCTCCGCACCTGGCTTATTTTTATTTTTATTTTTTTTGAGACAGAGTCTTGCTCTGTAGCCCAGGCTGGAGTGCAGTGGCACGATCTCAGCTTACGGCAACCTCTGCCTCCTGGGTTCCAGAGATTTGCCTGCCTCAGCCTCCCAAGTAGCTGGGATTACAGGCACCCGCCACCATGCCCAGTGAATTTTTTGTATTTTTAGTAGAGACAGGGTTTCACCATGTTGCCTATGCTGGTTTCGAACTCCTGAGCTGAGGCATTCCACCTGCCTCAGTCTCCTAAAGTGCTGCGATTACAGGCATGTGTCACCATGCCCGGCCTGCATTTTATTTTATGAGACAGAGTCTCACTCAGTTGCCCAGACTGGAGTGCAGTGGCACGATCTCAGCTCACTGCAACCTCCACCTCCTGGCTTCAAGTGATTCTCCTGCCTCAGCCTCCTGAGTAGCTGGGATTACAGGCACATGCAACCATGGCTGGCTAATTTTTGTATTTTTCATAGAGACAGGGTTTTACCATATTGGCCAGGCTGGTCTCGAACTCCAAGACTCAAGTGATCCACCCGCCTCGGCTTCCCATGCATTTTAAATTTTATTTAATTTTAATTAAATAGCCATATGTTGCTAGCATTGGACAACGCAGCTTTAAAAGATCTGTTGAGAAATTAATATATAGACTCTCCTCAGAAAAGTATACACATATACCAAATTTTACATAAAATTTCAAGAGATCCAGGGATCCTCTCAAGCCCATCCATGTGTCTCTAGCTCAAGAACCTCTGAAATAATGAGAATAGGATAAACAGCACTAGAGAGGGTAAAATTCAGAACTTAAGAGGTGAGATGGAAAATGGGCAAATGCTAATGCTCCCATTCAGAACCCTGGGATCCTGGAAGGAATCACACTAGGTGTGCCTCCCTCCTTCTCCTGTCACACAGAACATTTACCACATTGTTTACTGTTTACTTTCCCACATTGTGCTGGACATTCGGACTGTATACTTCATAAGAGTGGAGACCTTATCTGTCTTACTCACCATTATATACCCAGAGCCTAGTGTGAATCCAGCACATAGTTGGCTCTCAAATATCTGCCATATGAATTCATTTTATTGGATATCTCATTCTTCCCAGTCCTAGGACCCCACAGCTCCTGAGTTATGGAGGGTCTCAGTGATAAGGAGAGTTGGCTGGCTCATGGAATGGAGATAGGGTTTTCTTGAAGCTGAGCAAATACTCAGATTCATGAGAATCCCCTATCACTGGTGTGATATACAAGCCACTGAAAGGCTTCAATAGGCCAGGTGCGGTGGCCGGCGCCTGTAATCCCAACACTTTGGGAGGCCGAGGTGGGCGGATCACCTGAGGTCGGGAGTTTGAGACCAGCCTGACCAACATGGTGAAACCCTGTCTCTACTAAAAATACAAAAATTAGCTGGGCGTGGTGTGCACCTGTAGTCCCAGCTACTCGGGAGACTGAGGCAGGAGAATTGCTTGAACTCGGGAGGCGGAGGTTGCGGTGAGCTGAGATTGCGCCACTGCACTCCAGCCTGGTAACAGAGCAAGACTCCGTCTCAAATTTAAAAAAAAAAAGGCTTCAATAGTAAGTGATAGGGAGACATATACTAGAGCCCCAGGGTTAAACGCTCTCCTTGGGTGTCTCCTCCTCTGTCTTTTCGAGTTCTAGAATATGACCACCTTCTCTCAAATTGTCCCTCTATCTGGAATCCTCTTATATCTCTAGTAGGCAAATTCTAACTCACTGTTAAATGCCTCTTTCTCTGGGAAATCTATGCTAGTACTTCCAGACAGAATTATATCATATTTCCACTGGTTCCCTTTGTACTTGCACATTTCATCATGTGTGTTCTAACAGGGCAGGGGCCAGCCATTCATCTCTGTATCCCAGCAATAAATAATGTTTGGCATATAGTAGGTGGTTAACGACCAATATGAACCACTAAAAGAATATAAACACAATTGCTTTCCCCGCCTACACTACTTCTGCTCCATATGTTCTGGTCAAAGGCAATGGATTCGGTATGAATAAGCCTTTGTTATTCACCATGAAGTTACCTGAAAACAAAAATCCATGGTTCTCTTTATGAGTACTCCAACGAAATAGGAAATACATGACAGGTGTACAACAGAAGGAACAGGAAAGAAAAGGTTTCTGCCTGAGCAGAAGTCAAAGGGCTGTCCAGGCAGAAATGCAGGGCAAGAAACAAGCAGAAATGCAGGGCAAGGGCCAGGCGCGGTGGCTCAGGCCTGTAATCCCAGCAATTTGGGAGGCCAAGGTGGGTGGATCAGCTGAGGTCAGGAGTTCAAGACCAGCCTGGCCAACATTGGGAAACCCAGTCTCTACTAAAAAACACAAAAATTAGCTGGATGTGGTGGTGGGCGCCTGTAATCCCAGCTACTCAGGAGGCTGAGGCAGAAGAATTGCTTGAATCCAGGAGACGGAGGTTGTAGTGAGCCGACACAGTGCCACTGCACTCCAGGCTTTGCGACAGAGCGAGACTCTGTCTCAAAAAGAGAAAAAAGGCCGGGCGCAGTGGCTCACGCCTGTAATCCCAGCACTTTGGGAGGCCAAGGCAGGCAGATCACGAGGTCAGGAGATCGAGACCATCCTGGCTAACACGGTGAAACCCTGTCTCTACTAAAAATACAAAAAATTAGCTGGGCGCAGTAGCAGGCACCTGTAGTCCCAGCTACTCGGGAGGCTGAGGCAGGAGAATGGCATGAACCCAGGAGGCAGAGCTTGCAGTGAGCCAAGATCACGCCACTGCACTCTGGCCTGGGTGAAAGAGCGAGACTCCACCTCAAAAAAAAAAAAAAAAAAGAAAAGAAAAAGAAAAAAAAATGCAGGGCAAGAACATCCTCAGTATGGTAAAGGGCATTTATGAAAAGCCCAGAGGTAACATCACACACAATGGTGAAAGACTGAAAACTATCCGCCTAAGATAAGGAGCAAGACAAGGAGACCCACTTTCCCTATGCTATTTCTATTCAACATTGTACTGGAAGTTCTATCCATAGCAATTAGACAAGAAAAAGAAACAAAAGGTATCCAAATGGGGAAGGAAGAAGTAACATTATCTCTATTTGCAGATGACATGGATTATATATATATATATAAATATAATATATAGTATAATTTGTGTATTAGATAATATATATCCCTAAAGAATCCACAAAAAAAGCTAATAAATTCAGCAGAATTGCAGAGTACAAAATCAACATACGTAAGTCAGTCATATTTTTTTTTTTTTTTTGAGACGGTGTCTCACTCTGTCACCCAGGCTGGAGTGCAGTGGCACCATCTTGGCTCACTGCAACCTCTGCCTCCTGGGTTCAAGTGTTACTCCTGCCTCAGCCTCCCAAGTAGCTGGGACTACAGGCGCATGCCACCACACCCGGCTAATTTTTGTAGTTTTAGTAAAGGTGAAGTTTCGCCATGTTGGCCAGGCTGGTCTCAAACTCCTGACCTCAGGTGATCCATCCCCCGACTGGCCTCCCAGAGTACTGGGATTACAGGCATGAGCCACCGCCCCCAGCCAAAAATCGGTCATATTTCTATAGACTACCAATGAATAAATAATTAAACATGAAATTAAGAAAACAATTCTGGCCGGGCATGGTGGCTCACGCCTATAATCCCAGCACTTTGGGTGGCCAAGGTGGGTGGATCACTTGAGGTCCGGAGATCAAGACCAGCCTGGCCAACGTGGTGAAACCCCATCTCTATTAAAAATACAAAAATTAGCCAGGTGTGGTGGCGTGTGCCTGTAGTCCCAGCTACTCGGGAGGCTGAGGAAGGAGAAATGCTTGAGCCCGGGAGGTGGAGGTTGCAGTGAGCCGAGATTGTGCCACCACACTCCAGCCTGGGCGACAGAATGAGATTCTGTCTCAAAAAAATAAAATAAAATAAAATAAAATAAAATAAAATAAAATAAAATAAAATAAAATAAATAAAAACAAAAAACAGACAAATGGGACTGTATTAAACTTTAAAACTTCTGTGCATCAAAGAACACAATCAAGAAAGTGAAAAGGCAACCTATGGAATAAGAGAAAATATGTGCTAAGCATGTATCTGATAATGAGTTAATACCTAGAATACATAAAGGGCTCCTGCAGCTCAACAACAAAAAAATCAAATATGGTTGGCCCTCCATGTCCATAGATTCTGAATCTGTGGACTCAACAAATCCTAGATTGAAAACATTTGGAAAAAAAAATGGATGGTTGCATCTGTACTGAACATGTACAGACTTTTTTTCCTTATTATTCCCTAAACAGCACAGTATAACAGCTATTTATATAGCATTTACTATGTATAGTAAGTAAACTAGAGATGATTTAAAGTGTACGAGAGGACGTTTATATGCAAATAATATGTCATTTTATATGAGACTTAAGCATCTGTGAATTTTGGTATCTTGGGATGAAGGTGGAGGTATCCTAGAACCAATCATGCATGGATACTGAAAGACAATTGTAAATCAAAAAATGAGCAAAGAACTTGGATAGACATTTCTCCAAAGATGATATAAAAATTGCCAACAAGCATATGAAAAGATGTTCTCAGTAATCATCAGAGAAATGTACATTAAAACCACAATGAGATATAATCTCACATCCATTAGGATGGACACTATCAAAAAATGAAAAAAATGACACGTGTTAGTGAGGATGTGAAGAAATCGGACCCTTGTGCAGTTTGTAGGATTGTAAAATGCTGCAACCACTATGAAAAACAGTATGGAGGCTCTTCCAAAAATATAAATTAGTATTACCATATACCCAACTATTCCTCTTCTGGAATTTCCTCCCATCCTGTAGGCTGTCTTTTCACTTTTTTGATAGTGTCTTTTGATTCGCAAAAGTCCTTATTTTGATAAAGTGCAATTTATTTATTTTGTATTTCATTGATTATTATTTTGGTGTTGTATCTAAGAACCCATTGCCAAATTTAAGGTCTTGAAGATTTACCCCAATATTTTCTTCTAAGACTTTTCCTGGGCTCAACTAATCCTTTTGCCTCAGCCTTCCGAGTACCTAGGGCTACAGGCGTACATCATCGCACGCAGCTGATTTATTTATTTATTGTAGAGATAAGGTCTTGCTATGTTGCCCAGGGTGTTCTCAAACTTCTGGCCTCAAGGGATCCTCCTGCCTCGGCCTCCCAAAGTGTTGGGATTGTAGGTGTAAGCCATTGTCCTTGGCCTATTTTCAGTTAATTTTTGTGTATGAGGTAGGGGTCTAACTTTTTTCTTTTTTATGTGAATACCCAGTTTTCCCAGCACGAACTGTTTAAGAAAAAACACATTTGTTTAAGACTATTCTCTCCCCACTGAACAGTCTTAGCACTTTTGTCAAAAACCAATTGACCTTAGATGGATGGGTTTATTTCTTGACTCTTGATTTTATTCCATCACTCTATGTCTATTCTTATACTAATGCCACAGTTTTGATTTGCATTCCCTGATAACTAATAATGTTCAGCTTTTTTTTTTTTCATATGTTAGCTGGTCATTTGTATATCTTCTTTGGAAAAATGTCTATTCCAATCCTTTGCCCATTTTTAAGTTGGGCTGTTAGTCTTTTTGCTAAGACTCTCACATCCAGAATATATAAAGAACACTTACACTCCACAACAAAAAGACTAACAACCCAGAATGAGATGCCACTTCACTCCTACTAGGATGACTATAATCAAAACAAAACAAATGTTGGTGAAGATGTAGAGAAATTGAAACCCTATGCTTGCTGGTGGCAATATAAAATGGTTCAGCTGCTGTGGAAAAGTTTGGTGGATTCTCAAACATTTAAACATAGAATTACCATATGACCCAGCAATTCCACTGTGAGGTATATACCCAAAAGAACTGAAAACATATTTAATGTTCACAGCAGCACTATCCACAATAATGAAATGGTGGAAACAACCCAAATGTCCATTAACTGATGAACAGATAGACAAATCGTGGTATATCCATACAACAGCTTATTCTGCCATAAAAAAAGAATGAAGTACCGATACATGCTACAAGTTGAATAAACCTTGAAAACATTATGCCAAGGGAAACAGAGACATAGGTCACATGTTTTATCATTCCATTTATATAAAATGTCCAGAATAAACAGGCAAATCCAAACAGACAGAAAGTAGATTAGTGGTTGCCAGAGGCTGGTGGAAGGGGAGTGGAAAGTGACCACTTACTTAATGGGTACAGGTTTCCTTTTGGGGTGATGAAAATGTTTTGGAAATATATGAGGTTATGGTTGTACAACACTGTGAATGTACTAAATGTGACTACGCTGTACATCTTAAATTGGTTAATTTTTTTTTTTTTTAAGAGACAGGGTCTCACTCTGTCACCTAGGCTCTGGAGTGCAGCAGCACAATCACAGTTCACTTTAACCTTGAACTCTTGGCCTCCAGTGATCCTTTCACTTCTACCTCCCAAAGTACTAGGATTATAGCCATGAGCCACTGTGCCTGGCTAGTTAAAGTGGTTAATTTTATGTTATGTGAATTTTACATCAGTAATAAAAAAGAAGCCGGAAGAAAACCAGACATCAAAGATGTTAGAAAAAGGGATATATTTACAAACCAAAAAGTCTCCAAATTCCCACTGGAAGGAGGTAGCAAGTATGAGCAGGTCTCTTTAGAAGCCCGTCCTCATTCCTATAGAAACCCCAAGTACTAGCCCATGGGGTCAGCCCTTGCCCTATAGCCCATCCTTGTCACAACCCAAGAAGCAATCCCTCCATTGGCCACACCCTCAGTCCTTTTGCCAGTCATCCTGTGCCCAGGCAGGCATTGGTGAAAAGTACTCAAAGCCTGGCCCTTTATAGCGTAGGGCATGTAGGAACATCACAAGGTCTTGGGGCAAGGGATCCTGTCGCACCAGCCGGCACTCTGCACAGAGTGGGTCTGTCTCTTGATTCATGACATCTGTTTCAACTGCCTTCTCTGATGCCAAGGCTATTGTGTCCAACTCCTGAGGGGCTGCCTCAGCTACTTCCTCCATCTTCTGGGCAGCTGCAGCCAACTCTTCCAGGTCGTCCTTGCCCAACTCTGAGGAGGGGGCCGTAGAGTCTGTGAGTCCTGGGGACAGGTCACCCTCACAGAGATCTAGCACATCCAGGCTCTGTTTGGCCTGGTGCTCTGCTACCAGGTCCCGTAGCAACTCCTCGTTTGTCTTGGGAATGTAGCCGCCCCGGCCTCGAGAAGGACCCCAGGCAACTGAGTTGTAGATGGGGTCGTTGAGAATGGGATGGCCCAAGAACTGAAGGTGGACTCGAATCTGGTGTGTGCGGCCTGTGAGTGGCCGGCACCGTACCACACTGGACTGGCCATTGTAGCTTAGCCTCTGGAACACTGTCTCACAGGGCTTGCCCCGGGGATCTACACGGCACACCCCTACTTTGTAAGACACCACTAAGATGGGTTCTTTACAGGTCACTTCCTCAGTGGGGAACTCCCCTTCCACCCGGCACACGTACTCCTTCTCCAGCTACATAGGAGGGAAGAGGGAGAAAGTCAGTACAAAGCCTAAATTCATGGAGTCCAAACTCTTTGTGGAGTGATAAGGACCAGTGTCAGAAAATTCAAACTCCAGCTCTACCATTCGCCAGTTTTGCGATCTTGGGTACATTACTTAACCTCTAAATCCTACTAACTCATCTAGAAAATGTGAAATTAGAAAAGCATTTACCAGCTGGGTGAGGTGGCTCACGCCTGTAATCCCAGCACTTTGGGAAGCTGAGGTGGGTGGATCACCTGAGGTCGAAAGTTCGAGACCAGCCTGACCAACATGAAGAAACCCCGTCTCTACTAAAAAATACAAAATTAGCCAGGCGTGGTGGCGCATGCCAGTCATCCCAGCTACCTGGGAGGCTGAGGCAGGATAATTGCTTGAACCCAGGAGGCGGAGGTTGCAGTGAGCCAGGATCACACCATTGCACTCCAGACTGGGCAACAAGAGCGAAACTCCATCTCAAAAAAAAAAAAAAAAAAAAAGAAAAGAAAAGAAAAGCATTTACCTCATTGGGCTGTGATAAGCATTCAGTAAGTTAGGCTCTAATGTGCTTGATACTAAGCCTGGTATATAGCATGCACTCAATAAATGTATTATGATTCAGATCCAGAATTACAAGTCTCAGGACAACAATCATTACCATTAAACTCCTCTACCCAAGACTTTTCCAACTACATCTAGAATCTTTTCACCAAGCAGGCTCTCCCCATAATCTTAAAAGCCTTGCTCAGCCTGTCAGCACTTTATTTTCTTATGTTAATTTATTTCTTTGAGACGGAGTCTTGTTCTATAGCTCAGGCTGGAACGCAGTGACATGCTCATGGCTCACTGCAGCCTCAACCTCCCATGGCCAAGTGATCCTCCTATCTCAGCCTCCCAAGTAGCTGGGACTACAGGCATGTGCCACCATGCCAGGGTAAGTTTTTTTTTTTTTTTTTGAGACAGAGTCTCACTCTGTCACCCAGGCTGGAGTGCGGTGGCGCGATTCGGCTCACTGCAAGCTCCACCTCTTGGGTTCACACCATTCTCCTGCCTCAGCCTCCCGAGTAGCTGGGACTATAGGTGCCCGCCACCACGCCCAGCTAATTTTTTGTATTTTTTTTTAGTAGAGACGGGGTTTCACCGTGTTAGCCAGGATGACCTCGATCTCCTGACCTCGTGATCTGCCCGCCTCGGCCTCCCAAAGTGTTGGGATTACAGGCGTGAGCCACTGCGCCTGGCCTTTTTTTTTTTTTTTTGTAGAGATAGGGTCTCCCTATTTTGCCCAGGCTGGTCTCTACCTCCTGGGCTCAAGCTATCCTCCCACCTCAGCCTCCCAAAATGCTGGGATTACAGGTGTGAGCCTGGCCTTGTCAGCATTTTAAAGCTTCAAAATAGCAAACTACTAAGAGAGGCAGTGTATGCCATCTCTAAAGATTTTTTTGGAAACATATGAGATATCCTGCATTTGGCACTTTAGGTGTTGACCTGCCTTAAGGTAGGAAGGTAGGAAGGATGGCCAGATAAATATGAAGGACCACTTCGGAACTCCATGATGCCCTTTTGACACAGAGCATTCGTGAGCCCAAGAAGTGGCCTGTAGGAGACAAAAGCCTGACTCACCTGCCGGTCCCGAACCTGCTCGTGAATTCTCTCAGAGACTGCAGCTGTCTTGGCAAACATAAGCACCCCTGAGGTAAGGCGGTCAAGCCGATGCAAGGGGTGTAGCTCCTTGAGTTGGTGCTCCTTGCCTAGGATGAAGATAACTGTGTTGTGTCGGAAGCGGCCACAGGGGTGAACGGGAATGGAGGAAGGCTTGTCTACAACCACCACATCTTCGTTCTCAGCTAGCAGGCGAATGGGCTCTGCTGTGACTGGTGGCTCATGCCTGTGCACTGTGTTCCGCAAGAAATCATTGTCCTGTCAAAGACATAGGTAATAAGTCAGCCTAGGGACCGCAGCCTGTAATCAGTCAACTTCATATCCAGCTTCCCCTGTTCCTCACTGACATGGAAAAATGGTGAAAGCACATCTTGGGCTGAAAAAGCAGTGTGCAGAGTGTGATCTCATTTTGTAAAAATACAGACAGACACAGGCAGATAGCTGGCACTGAAAAAGTACTGGAAGGACATATGCAAAAATGTTAACTGTGTTATCTCTGGGTGGTTAGATTATGAATGTTTTTTGGCTTTGCTAATTGTATTTTCTCTACAATAAAGGTATTTAAAAGGTAAAATTTTTTAGCCGGGCGCAGTGGCTCACGCCTCTAATCCCAGCACTTTGGGAGGCTGAGGTGGGTGGATCACGAGATCAAGACCATCCTGGCTAACATGGTCAAACTCTGTCTCTACTAAAAATACAAAAATTAGCAGGCGTGGTGGCACATGCCTGTAATCCCAGCTACTTGGGAGACTGAGGCAGGAGAATCGCTTGAACCTGGGAGGCGGAGGTTGCAGTGAGCCGAGATCGCGCCACTACACGCCAGCCTGGGCAACAGAGCAAGACTCTGTCTCAAAAAAAAAAAAAATAAATAATCAAGGTAAAATTTTTTTAATGGAGGAAAAAACCTCCATAAATCATCACTTATTACGATCTTGAACAAACAAAACTAAGGCTTAAGTCCAGGGATATGGGCTCTAGACCAGGATTTGCCACAGGCTCGCTACATGCTCTTGGGCAAGTCATTTATCTTTTCTGGGTCTCTGCTTCCTGTGGAATGTGAGGGTTAGACCAGATCTGTGCTTTAGAAATTGGGATAGGAGAGGGAATTCGTCAATGTATGATATATTGACGCAAATCGATTGATCAATGGAACAAGTTACTCCAAAACCATCCATTCCCCAAATGCTGTAATCGCCTTTTCTCCACTCACAACCATGGTAAACTAGTGTTACTGAGAGGTAAACAGTGTTACTTCTGACAGGGGTGTCTGGTACCTCATAGATGTGATGGAATTTTAAAGGAGTCAAAGCACTGGGCTAAACAATTCTAGTCTCTATCCCTGACATCTCATAACTCTATGTTAAATAGTTTAAGTAGTAGTTATAGGAACATAGGCTTTGGTAGTGGCACTGTTGATAGCCTTACCCCTGTGAGTTTCCTTAGTTTCCTCAGAGGTAAAATGGAGTGGCAATACCTACTTCACAAGGCTGTCATTAGAATTAGTGGACATACAATGTTTAACTTTGTGCCCAGCACACAGTAAAGAGACATAAATGATAGCCCCTATTATTACTATTTGCACAGAGATCTACAACGCAGGGTAAAGTGATCAGTGCCCTTGCCACAAGACGGTGTTTAAAGGAATTATGAAAATTCCAACTTCTGTCCCTTGGAAACAAGGAAGCTGCCTTGAGGAAGAGGATAAACAGGCTGAGTCCTGAAGCACAGACACCCTGGCCACTTGCGGAGGTGGGAAACGGGCTAAAATAGTGTTCCAAATGAAAGCGAGAACGCTTTAGAATTGCCATGATTTTAATCCAGTACCTATGCTTTACTAAGACTAAAAAACAAAACAAAACAAAACAAAACCCGGCCCCTTTTCCTCGCCCGCTTCTGGCCAGCCCCATCAGGACTCCACCTTGAGCACGATGTTGAGGTCCTGCACCGGCTTCTCGTTGAGTTGCAGGCGGCCCGCCCGGACCGCGGCCTCATAGTAGGCCAGGGGCTGAGCTCGGAACTCGGTACTGAAGACGTGCAGCAAGCTGTGGCCCACCCAGCGACCTTTGCAGTAGGTCCGGAAGTCAAAGTAATAGGGCCGCACCTTACGCAGGCCGCCCTCGAAGTAATAACTGGTTTCTGCAAAGTGCTCATCTCCGAAGCTCACCCCGGTCCGCCGCTTCTTCGGGGGCGGCACGACACGCTCCCTGGTTGCGCCCCGCCGCTTCTTATGCTTGCCCGGGCCTGGGGCTGCAGCCGAGGGATGCTCCCCGCCTACTGGGGCCGGCTCCACTTCCCGGCCAGCCGGCTTCGGGGGCCCGGGGGACAGCTCAACCTTCGCGTCGCCACCAGCGTCACCGTTTTGCTGATGCGAAGCCCTCAGCCCGCCCTCTGTCCCAACCTGGGTAGACACTGTTTCTGCCATTGGGCCCTTATCGCCACTCCAAGTCCTGGTAAAGCTAGGGCGCCTAAGGTCGTAGCGCCAATGTCCAAGAACCCTGAGCCATCCGCGGCGGTCCAGCCACATAACCACGCTGCCCCCACTCCACTCCCAGGGTCGCGATCTGAGGACGTCACTCGGCCCCAGCGAATCAGGGAGGCCCAGTCCCGAGGCGGGGTCTGCGATAAGTGAGCGAATGAGTGAGCTGCTCGAATTAAATTAGGTGAATTGAGTGAGCTTAGAGATGAGAGACTGTAAATGTCTCACCAAAAGTGACCTTACTCAGACGTCTTCCTATTAGGGAGATACGACGTTATTTATAAAGGAAACCCTTGGAATTGCTCCGTGTAAAGGCCATGACAGGAGTAGGTCGTGTAAATTCCGAGTAGTCCCTTGGGTCTGAAGAAACGCTTGAAAGGAGCTTTATTTAAGACAAAACAAAAACTAACAACCAGAATAAAGATTGCTAAACTCTGCGAATATACTAAAACCCACTGTATTCTATATTTTAAAAGGGTCAATATTATAGTATGTGACTTGTATCTCAGTAAGATTGTTATATATGTATTTAAAACACACACAAGCACCCCAGAAGCAATGTGTTCACACCTGTGTTTCCCCCTAACAGCATGAGAAGGATTAGTGATCCCCATTCGCCTCCCACATGCTTCCATCCTGAGATTAAAACTGCAAATAGATCAGAGGATATATGGCGAGGGTTCTTAAGTGCAAAATAAACCAACTCTGGCTAATTTCATCAGAGATAGAATTATGGAAAGTATATTAGTGCCTCATAGAATTCACAAGACAACTGGAGACTAGGCTCAGAAAAAGGGCCAAATCAAGGGAAACCAAGCCTTTTGAGAGCCTGGCTTCAGACATGTCAGGGAAGAAACCCAGTTGGGATGCAGTAGACACAAGAAACTATGTTGTGCCAAAGGACTCTTTTTCCTGCAGCCCTGCCACCCCTTGGAGACCCCTAAATCTCCCTGTGTCTCTGTGTCCCTCTTCCAAGGTTAAGAGTCCTGCAGGGGAGGACTTCCATCAGCCAAACCTCATTGCTCTGAGCCCTCACTTCCAGGGTGCCTGGAGATGGAAGAATTTAACCCTCTTTTTTTTTTTTTTTTTTTTTTTTTTTGAGACGGAGTCTTGCTCTGTCGCCCAGGCTGGAGTGCAGTGGAGCGATTTCACCTCACTGCAACCTCCGCCTCCTGAGTTCAAGCCATTCTTCTGCCTCAGCCTCCTGAGTGGCTGGGACTACAGGCACGCACCACCACGCCTGGCTAATTTTTATATTATGAGTGCTGGGATTACAGGCGTAAGCCACCGCGCCCGGCCAAGAATCTAACCCTCTTTGGTATCCAGAGTGGGATTCTTCCAAATAAGGAGGCATTTCAATGTTAGTTTGCCAAAAAAAAAAAAAAAAAAAAGACAGTCTAATTCTTATCCTAGGCATTTGTATTCTGGAGAGGAGAAAGGGAAATCTTTTTTAGCTAAATTCCTTCTTCAAGTCATTAGTCTCACCAAACTAACTGAGGGACTGCAGCTGAGGTATCCACAGCTGCAGAACTCCATATGCTGAAAAGTCTGATTCCTGACTACCTCCAGAAATAAGAGGTAGAATTCTCCATTGATTGTGGGGTATGTTAGAACCAAACTACTTCACAGGAGGGACATCATCTCTCAAGTGCATCATTTCATTAAGATATTTACAGTGAAAGCAGAACCTTATCCAAAAGAAAAGTATGTATTCTTAGCTAGCCTCTTTGCTCCATAGGATTGGGGTGGGAGAATTAAATTAGTTAATTCAAGTAAAATACTTGGACTAGTGCCTGGCAAAACTGTGGAGACAGAAAACATAGCAGAATCTTGTTCCTCCTCCCCTTCTGACCTACTAAATGAGAATCTGCACTTTAACATGATCCTCAGGTGATTTTTCTGCATATTAAAGCTTGAGAAGCACTGGCATAGACCATGTAGAGTAGACATTTGTCATATTCTGTAAACATCCAGCATCTTCCGAACACCCTTCTTTTGGGTGGGGAATTTCTCACATTTCATTACTGCCCCCAAAAGGTAGAAGCCAGAGCCTTCCCACACTCTCTTGCAGCTTGGACATAGGCATTTGACCTGGGCTCTATCTCTTAGACAGAGGCTTTGGTTCAGAGGCACACAGCCGCGGAAGCAGGCTCAGTGTGAAATCCGTGTCTAACAAGGTAGCATTGGAGGCATCTAATCTGGGAGGCCAACAGTCGGGGAGGTTCTTGTGTCAAGTACCCAATCGACGAATAATGCCAGCTATAGATGTTCAGTGGCTGTGGGGTGTTCCCTGAGCAGTCTCTCAGTGAGATTCAGATACTGTCCCTGGCTGTATAGACCTAAAGCCTGACTCTCCACTCACCTTGAGGTTCTGTGAACTATGTAATATTCTCCAATCCTGTGCTATACAATAGGATCACCATTAGCCATGTGCTGTACAATAGCCACATGTGGCTAATTAAATTTAAATTAATTAAAATTTTAACAAGTTTTGAAACAAGATCTCACTCCCATCACCCAGGCTGGAGTGCAGTGGCACGATTTTGGCTCACTGCAGCCTTGACTTCCCAAACTGAAGTGATCCTCCCACCTCAGGCTCCCTAGTAGCTGAGACGACAGACATGTGCCACCATGACTGGCTAATTTTTTGTATTTTTAGTAGAGACGAGGTTTTGCCACATTGCCTAGGGTGGTCTCAAACTGGGCTCAAACAATCCATCCACCTTGGCCTCCCAAAGTGTTAGGATTACAGGCCGGATGTGGTGGCGCAACCTCCGCCTCCTGGGTTCAAGTAGTTCTCCTACCTCAGCCTCCTGAGTAGCTGGGATTACAGGCATGCGCCTCCACGCCCAGTTAATTTTTGTATTTTTAGTAGAAACAGGGTTTCACCATGTTGGCCAGGCTGGTCTCGAACTGCTGATCTCAGGTGATCCACACCCCCTCAGCCTCCCAAAATTCTGGGATTACAGGCATGAGCCACCAAGCCCGGCCAGGAACTGAATTTTAAATTGTATTTTAGCTGGGCGCAGTGGCTCACATCTGTAATCCTAAAACTATGTTGTTTTTGTTGTTGTTGTTTTCTTTTTCTTTCTTTCTTTTTTTTTTTGAGACGGAGTCTTGCTCTGTCACCCAGGCTGGAGTGAGAACTATTTCCTCAGCCAAGTTACTTGGCTACTGATGGTTGGCTGATGTCTTTCATCACGTGTTTCTTGGGAGAGAGTAACTGGTGTTGATCCTGGAAGCTGGGGATGGGGAGGGGTCGATCTCAATGAACAAGCTGGTATCTATCCCCTGAAGGATATCAAAGGTCATCTCCTTTAACAACTACAACAACAAAGCATTCTGACACACACTTCTTATGACCACTCTCTCCTTTATGTACTCTGGCCACACTTCCATCATATACTCTATAATCCTCAACGCCCCCCTCCTTTTTTTTTTTTGAGACAGTCTTGCTCTGTTGCCCAGGTTGGAATGCAGTGGTGCGATCTTGTCTCACTGCAACCTCTGCCTTCCCGGTTCAAGCGATTCTCCTGCCTGAGCCTCCCGAATAGCTAGGATTCCAGGCATGTGCCACCATGCTCAGCTAATTTTTGTACTTTTAGTAGAGACAGAGTTTCACCATGTTTCACCCAGGCTGGTCTCGAACTCCTGACCTCAGGTGATCCACCTGCCTCGGCCTCCTAGAGTACTGGGATTACAGGCGTGAGTCACCGCGCCCGGCTGTCTATCACTGTTTACTGTTATTTGTAAACTTTTATGCCTCCATGGCGGACCCCCTTCCTACACTACTAAGCTGTAAGGATCTCCAGGACTTATATCAAGTCATATGTGTCTTAACTTCACGCTTAACACAATGCTTAGAACACAGCAGGTGCTTGGTATCTATTGACTAAATGAATGAAGGAAAGCTTCATAATTTGATGAATGAGACACGAGTCTCCTGGGAGAGTAAGGAAAGAAGCCGCCGAAGTGCTCTAATTTGGGTAACGAAGGGGTGAAATTTTTAGAAGACAAACACCGACAGAGAAAGTTGTGGAGGAGGTGAACTGGCTCCGGCGACTAGGAAAAGTCAAAAGTCTTGGAAACGACTTCCCTATCCAAGCAGGGACTGGAACCCTGGATCTGCAAGGAATCAACCTGGCCCTCGGGAGGGGAGGGGCAATGCTCAGGGCACGTGACTCCACCGTTTCCCGGCAACCAGAGCCCCGTCCACCGCTCGCCTCTTGCTGCTCCTCACTTCTTCACCACGCTGAGCTCCTCTCGACCAATCGACGCACAGAACATCGTCGGGTGGGAAGGTAGTTGGAGGACTCCTGGGCTCCGTCACTAGGGGACTCCGCCCCTCCCGATTTCCTCCGGGCTACAGGCGACAGAGCTGAGCCAAGCGTTTACTGGGCAGCTGTTACGGTAAGTGAGGAGGGGCTGGGGTGCCCAGCGTTTTGGATCTCCCACTCTGGCCCGGCCCCGGAATACCACATAGAGGCCTTGGGACCTGATTCATCCCGTCCAGACAGCCCTAGAGACCTGAGCGACTGAGGCCTGGGATCTGGACGCCGGAATTTCCTGCGTGGTTCTGGACGCCCTGCCCTGGGGTAAGGGGCCATGCGGGGCTCTGGTGTGAGCAAAGTTTTGGTTTTGGGTGGCTTTAGACGAATTCGGGTTGGGGGTTCACTGTAGCGCTAGACATCAGTTCACCCAGGACCGCCGTGTCATAGCTGTCCCTTTTACTTCCGGCCTTTACGCTGGCTGGGCTCTGTCTCCTGGCATTATTCAGACCTTGCCTCAGGCAGCCTTCCTGATTTCTAAGTCTCCTCTTGAAAGAAGGTGTCAGCCTGTCTCATATGCCTAGATAGTTATAAAAGCCTCCAGGCTCTTTGCGTAGCTTTTCCTACCTGCCCGTGCTTGGGCTGCTTTCGTTATATTTTCCAAACAAGCAGGATGGTATTTGATAAAAACATGGATTCTGGAGCAGCACAGATCTGGTTTTCCTGTCAAGGATTCCCCACATATCAGTAATGTGCCCTAGAGCAAGTTACCCTTCTGAACTTGTTTTTTCATCTGTAAAATGGTGAAAATACCTACCTTTCAGTGATTGTATTAAAATAAGAGCATGAGACATACGGCTGAACTGCATGCGCTGAGCACACAGCCCTTGCATTGTAACAGTACTCTCTGACAGACACTTTTTACCAAGCAGGATCTTCATGTATATGGAACTGTGGAAAGACCTTTAGTCTGTGTTCTGTTGAAAACAGAATTTAGGGGCCGGGCGCGGTGGCTCACGCCTGTAATCCCAGCACTTTGGGAGGCCGAGGCGGGCGGATCACAAGATCAGGAGATCGAGACCACCCTGGCTAAACGGTGAAACCCCGTCTTTACTAAAAAATGCAAAAAATTAGCCGGGCGTGGTGGCGAGTGCCTGTAGTCCCAGCTATTTGGGAGGCTGAGGCAGGAGAATGGCGTGAACCCGGGAGGCGGAGGTTGCAGTGAGCCAAGTTAGCGCCACTGCACTCCAGCCTGGGCGACAGAGCGAGACTCTGTCTCAAAAAAAAAAAAGAAAGAAAGAAAGAAAAAAAAACAGAATTTAATTGACTGGAGATAGAACTGTTGCATTTTGGAGATCTTTGGAGAAAAGTGCAGGCTGGTTGTCCAACCTGGAAATGCCCTACAGATTTGTGTGTGTGTGTGTGTGTGTGTGTGTGTGTTAAAATATATGTAGCATAAAATTGACCATTTTAACTATTTTTGTGTGTATGATTCAGTGGTGTTCACATTGTTGTGCAACCATAACTACCATCCACCTCCAGAACTTTTTCATTTTCCCAAACTGAAACTGTGTACCCATTAAACAGTAATTCCCCATTCTTTCTACCTCCCAGCCCCCAGCTCCCACCATCCTATTTTCTGTATCTATGAATTTGACTACTCAGGTACCTTATATAAGTGGAATCACAGTATCTGCCTTTTGTGTATGGCTTGTAGGAATTCCATTTTTATTTTTATTTTATTTATTTATTTGTGAGACAGGGCCTCGCAATGTCACCCAGGCTGGAGTGCAATGGCGTGATCACCACTCACTGCAGCCTCTATCTCCTGGGCTAAGGTGATCCTCCTACCTCAGCCTCCGGAGTAGCTGGGACTACAGGCATGTGCCACCACACCTGTCTAATTTTTGTATTTTTAGTAGAGATGGGATTTTGCCATGTTTCCCAGGCTGGTCTCGAACTGCTGGCCTCAAATGATCTGACTGCCTCGGCTTCCCAAAGTGTTGGGATTACAGTCGTGAGCCACTGTGCTCAACCTTATGCTGTATTCTTAAAGCCAGTTCTTACTCACTTGAGCTTCTGTTTTATAGCTCAGATTCCAAATGAAAATGTTTGAGAGCGCTGACTCTACAGCCACAAGATCTGGCCAGGATCTCTGGGCTGAAATTTGTTCCTGTCTGCCAAATCCTGAACAAGAAGATGGTGCCAACAATGCATTCTCAGACTCCTTTGTGGATTCTTGCCCTGAAGGTGAAGGCCAGAGGGAGGTGGCTGACTTTGCTGTCCAGCCAGCTGTAAAGCCTTGGGCTCCCTTGCAGGATTCAGAAGTGTATTTAGCATCTCTAGGTAAGTTTGACGGCTCTAGGGAAGCATATTGAAGTTCTGTTACATCAAACTTGGTTTCCTATTCTTTTGTGTTGTTGTTATTCCTGTCACACGTATCTGTCAGATATAATTCCAAGGGATGTTTCAAGCCGGCTGTTGGGAAGCAGCCCCCTTTTCCTTGAACAGATCTTTTTTTATTTTTATTTTTAATTTTTTGAGACTTTCACTCTTGTTGCCCAGGCTGGAGTGCAGTGGCGTGATCTTAGCTCATGGCAACCTCCACCTCCCGGGTTCAAGCGATTTTCCTGCCTCAGCCTACCGAGTAGCTGGGATTACAGGCGCCTGGCACAATGCCCGGCTAATTTTTTGTATTTTTAGTAGAGATGGGGTTTCATTTCACCATGTTGGCTAGGCTGGTCTCGAATGCCTGACCTCAGGTGATCCACCTGCCTCGGCATCCCAAAGTGCTGGGATTACAGGCATGAGCCGCCGTGACTACCCGAACAGCTCTTAAAACAGTTTTTGTCACTTCCTGCCTCTGCCCAGTTCATCTAAATTCTGTGTTTGATTTCTTGGCATTCTGTAGAACCCTCTTGCCTACTGTTGGTTGCCCGTATATTCAAATAACTCAAAAGTGTTAAACCTTATGCCATCCTGCAAGAAAATGTGATGGCCCCAGGGCTACATGTGGATTTCTGATGCTGGAGTTTGAAAAACTTACATAAATAGATTGATTGTTGAGAATGGGAGCATATTGACATAAGATTCATTCTGCCTCTTGTTAGCCATTTTATTTTAAAAATATTTCCTGAACACATTTTCAGTACCCTGTCCTGCGGCCATAGTATAAGTATCTAGAGAGATTCCAAACACAGGAAAGAGATTCAAATTGTCCCATGCTAGGGGAAAAAGAAATATCAGTCTAGGGCGGTGAGGGGCAGTCTTTAGAATTGTAATATCCTTTTATTGTGGAACAACCATGAGATTCATCCATGTTTCACAAAGCCAAACCTGGGAATAAGGCTTACCTTGGCCTCCTGAAGTGCTGGGATTACAGGCGTGTGCCACCGCGCTTGGCCCTAATTTTTTTATTTCAATAGCTTTTGGTGTACAAGCGGTTTTTGGCTACATGGATTAATTGTATAGTGGTGAAGTCTGAGATTTTAGTGCACCCATCACCCAAGTAGTGGACATTGTACCCAATGTGTAGTTTTTTATCCCTCACCCCTCTCCAAACCTCCCCACTTCTGAATCTCCAAAGTCCAGTATACCACTTTGTGTTTTGTTTTTTTTTTGGTTGTTGTTTTGTTTTTTTTTTTTGAGACGGAGTCTCATTCTGTTGCCCAGGCTGGAATGCAGTGGCACGATCTCGACTCACTGCAACCTCCGCCTCACGGGTTCAAGCAATTCTGCTGCCTCAGCCTCCTGAGTAGCTGGGATTACAGTCGCCCACCACCACGCCTGGCTCATTTTTGTATTTTCAGTAGATAGAGAGTTTCACCATGTTGGTCAGAGTGGTCTCGAACTCCTGACTTCGTGATCCACCCACCTCGGCCTCCCAGAGTGCTGGGATTACAGGTGTGAGCCACCGTGCCCGGCCAATATACCACTTTGTATACCTTTGTGTACCCATAGCTTAGCTCCCACTTATAAGTGAGAACGTATGGCATTTTGTTTTCCATTCCTGAGTTACTTCACTTAGAGGATAATGGCCTCCAGCTCCATCTAAGTTGCTGCAGAAGACATTATTTTATTATTTCTTATGGCTGAGTAGTGTTCTATGGTGTATATATTCCATATTTTCTTTATCTACTCATTGCTCGATGGGCACTTAGGTTGGTTCCATATCTTTGCAATTATGAATTATGAAACATGCGTGCAGGTATCTTTTTGATATAACGACTTCTTTTCCTTTGGGTAAACACCTCGTAGTGGGATTGCTGGATCAAATGGTAGATTTACTCTTAGTTCTTTGAGAAATCTCCATATGTTTTCCATAGAGGTTGTACTGATTTACATTCCCATCAGCAGTGTATAAGGATTCTCTTTTTACCACATCCGTGCCAACATCTATTGTCTTTTGACTTTTTAATAGTGGCCATTCTGGCTGGGGTGAGGTGGTAGCTCACCATTTTGACTTGCATTTCCCTGATGATTAGTGATTTTGAGCATTTTTTCATATGTTTGTTAGCCATTTGTATATCTTCTCAAATCCCATTGAGAAATGTCTATTCATGTCATTTGCCCACTTTTTGATGGGATTGTTTTTTTCTTTCTGATTTGTTTGAGCACCTTGTAGATTCTGGATATTAGTCCTTTGTTAGATACATAGTTTGCAAATACTTTCTCCCATTCCATGGGTTGTCTGTTTACTCTGATTATTTCTTTTGCTGTACGGAAGTTTTTAGTTTAATTAGATCCGATTTATTTATTTTTGTTATTGTTGCATTTACTTTTGGGATCTTAGTCATAAATTTTTTGCCTAGGCCGGGCACGGTGGCTCACGCCTGTAATCCCAGCACTTTGGGAGACCGAGGCAGGCAGATCACAAGGTCAAGAGATCGAGACCATCCTGGCCAACATGGTGAAACCCTGTCTCTAATAAAAATACACAAATTAGCTGGGCGTGGTGGCGCACACCTATAGTCCCAGCTACTCGGGAGGCTGAGACAGGAGAATCGCTTGAACCCAGGAGGCAGAGGTTGCAGTGAGCTGAAATCGCACCACTGCACTCTAGCCTGGGCAACAGAGCGAGACTCCATCTCAAAATAAAAATTGCCTAGGCCAATGTCTGGAAGAGTTTTTCCTAGGTTTTCTTTTAGAATTTTGAAGATTTCAAGTCTTATATCCATCTTGAGTTGATTTTTGTATAAGGTGAGAGATAGGGATCTAGTTTTATTCTTCTACAGGTGGCTAGCCAGTTTTCCCAGAACCATTTGTTACATAGGATGTCCTTTCCCCAATTTGTGTTGTTATATGCTTTGTCGAAGATCAGCTACAAACCTGGGAATAATTTTTTGAGGAAGGAAAGGCAATTCAGGTAGAAGGAGCTTCTGAGGAAAGACAGAAAGAAGAGTCAGAAGAGAGCTTGCATGATAGCTAAGAAATATCTTGCAAAAACAAAAGGGATTTTGTTAATGATGTACTGGAGGAAAAAGATATGAGAAAAACATAGGTGGAGTGATAGAAAGATAGGGAGTAATGTGAAATTTGCCAGGAAGCCACCAAAGATAGGATAGCAATGCTTGCAGCCATGGCCTAGGGGATGAAAATTCTGCATGTGGTAGCCAAAGCATCTGTTTAATGATGATAAGGAGAAGAGGCAACAATTGGATAAAGCTATAGAACGAGATCCCTTGGCTTGTTGGTGCTGTATGACAAGGGCTTCTAAGAAACTTTCATGAAAGTCAGGCATGGTGGCTCACACCTATAATCCCAGCGCTCTGAGAGGCCGATGTGGGAGGGTCACGTGTAGGCCAAGAGTTTGAGACCAGCCTGGGCAACATAGTGAGACTGTCTTTACAAATACATTTTTAAAAATTAGCCTGAAGTGGTAGATGCCTGTAATCTCAGCTACCAGGGGGCTGAGGTGGGAGGATTGCTTGAGCCTAGCAGTTGTTCAAGGTTACAGTGAGCTGTGATCATGCCACTGCACTCCAGCCTGGGTGACAGAGCAAGACCTTGTTGAGAAAGAGAGAGAGGAAGGAAGAGAAAGAGAGAGAGCAATTTGGGAGGCCGAGGCAGGCAGATCACATGAGGTCAGGAGTTCAAGACCATCCTGGCCAACATGACAAAATCCTGTTTCTACTAAAAATACAAAAATTAGCCACGTGTGATGGTGTGCGCCTGTAATCTCAGCTACTTGGGAGGCTGAGGCAGGAGAATCGCTTGAACCCAGGAGGCGGAGCTTGCAGTGAGCTGAGTGAGATCGTGCCACTGCACTCCAGCCTGGGTGACAGAGCGAGACTCCGTCTCAAAAAAAAAAAGAAAGAAAGAAAAAGTGTAATGAAGACAGTGATGATTTTGATTAGTGAAGACTGGCTTGGAAAGTTAATGATCTTCTCTAAAGTCAGTTAAGAAGTTTTCATCTCTGAAGAAAATAAGAGTCATTTCTGTTGCCTATGGCATGGACTGGGAGACAGCGGCAGAAGGGACGTGTTAGTGCCTGTTTCTGCTTGCCCTATTGAAATCACACCTGACCAGGGACTCAGCATACTTAGAGAGAGGAAGACCTTTTCCGGCCCAAAAGAGTACCTTCCACTTTGACAACTGAGGCCAGACAATATGAAGATTGTTTTTATTGTTAAATAACCTATATCAAAGAGAATCCACTGATAACAGCAATAATTAAAAACTTAAATGTATGCTATGGATAACCCTTTTTATATCCTCAAGGAGAAAACAAACCCTGCAAATATTTAACATTTATCAACTGCAGGTTTTTTTTACATGGGTGAGCTCATGGTGGTAATAACAGGAACAAAAGGTATTTGTTTTGATCAGTGGGTGTTAGCTGATGTGACTTTTTTAGAAATGAAAACAGAACTGCAAATCATAGTTTCTATTGGTTCTAAGCTTGATGTTCACCACCCCACCATGCCATCATTAACCTATGTACTTATAGTTGAAGGCAAACTAAATTAAGGCAGACGGTAAATGGTGATGTCCTTTCTTGTATTCTTCGAAAGGGGAAATCTGTTAAACAATTAGAGTTAAAATGCAAACAAGAGTAATTTAACCTCTATCATCAAGAAGCCATATGGAGCACTGTCATGGGATTAGAAGACATTTGTTTTTATTAGACTCCAACATCTAGGCCACAAGTTGAGCAACTTTAAAAAATGTTGGGAGATTCTTTTTATTAAGAATTTAATCACACATAGAGATTTTAAAGGTCTCTTATTGAGTTCTCATCAAGTCAATTTTAATATCTAATGAACCGTTGGATCTTTCATCATTTTCTCTAATTCTTTCTCATGAGATTTGGAAACCACTTCATGTTACTGTAACAAAAAGAAAAAACCACTTACTCCTCAGAGAGATTATTTTCAAGGAGTTGAAAAAAGACAGTAGTATACACATGTCAAACCAGGGAAAACAAGCATTCCTTAGAGAGATACCTGCTGGGCTTACGTGATTTCAAAGAAAACATGCCATTGACTTATTTATGAGAACCTATGGCTTTTCCCTTTTCTCGGGTTAAACATTTATTTGATACAATGCAGGGTGAGGACTTTGTGAAGGAAAAAGGAAGAATGTTCAATTCCCTTTTATCTGTCCTTAAAAAATGACCTCTTTGGCAGGGAGTGTGGATGTCCTCATCGGTGAGAGATTTTTTAAGTTAGTATTTTGAGTTTTAGATTTAGTTAAAATTTCATGTCATGCTCATTTTCCTTGTTAAGCTCTACTTCTCTCTCTAGAGAAGAAGCTAAGAAGAATCAAAGGTTTAAATCAGGAAGTGACTTCCAAGGACATGCTTCGAACTCTGGCCCAAGCCAAGAAGGAATGCTGGGATCGGTTCCTCCAGGAGAAGTTAGCTTCAGAGTTCTTTGTGGATGGACTTGATTCTGATGAGAGGTAATCGATTCCCCGTCTAGTTCCAGCTGAAATCATCCTTTATGTAGTTGTTCTATTTGTTTTTAGCCCAGCAGTAGATTTTTAAGAACAGACTTTTTTGCCAAAAGGCAAATACTGCAGCTACGTGTTGGTCACAGATTGAATAGAGTTAAGGATAAAGCATTGTGTTCATTTTTAAGTATGCAATGAACTTGAGAAAGTAGTAACTAATCAGTCTCTCATGTTCTTGAATTCTTTCTCATGAGGTTTGGAAACCATGTTACTGTAACAAAAGGAAAAACCATTTACTCCTCAGAGAGATTATTTTCTGGAACTATCTCTTCATCTCTTCTTACCTCTGAATTTCCACTGCTTTACAGATTTTTTTTTTTTTTTTTTGAGATGGAATCTCGCTCTGTTGCCCAGGCTGGAGTGCAGTGGCACGATCTCGGCTCACTGCAATCTCTGCCTCCTGGGTTCAAGCAATTCTTGTGCCTCAGCTTCCTGAGTAGCCGGGACTACAGGCGTGTGCCACAACACCCGGCTAATTTTTGTATTTTTAGTAGAGATGGAGTTTCACCATGTTGGCCAGGCTGGTCTCAAACTTCTGACCTCAGGTGATCTGCCTGCCTCGGCCTCACAAAGTGCTGGGATTACAAGCGGGAGCCACTGCACCTGGCCTGCCTTACAGAATTTTTGTCAGATTGTAGCCACTCAATGAATTTACGCAGACTAAATTAATGAATTTATTAAGCATCCACTGTGTGATAGCACTGTGCTTGGTGTCATGGAGGGAATGGTGTAAGGAAGTTTTAAACCCATTTGTTTTTGTCCTCAAAACTACTTGAGGGCAGATGACAAATATATATAAAGACATACCTAACAATACCAGGCATTAATAAGAGAAGGGCCAGTTGAGTAGAAGTGACAGAATGTGCTTTGGGAATTGAGAGGCCACTGAGCTCCCTCCTGGCTTTGGTGTTTTGCCATAGAGGGAGGCAGGACTTGAACAGTACCTGCAAGTAGTTTAGATGCAGAAAGATAGAGAGGGCATGCTGCCCTGCCACAATGAGCAGGAATGGGGCTCGACACTCAGGAAATCGGCTCTGCCACTTACTGGTTGTATGTTCTTGGGTAAGTAACCTATGTGTGCCTCAGTTTCCTGATCTGTGAAATGGGAGCAATCAGCTCTTACCTCATAAGTTGTTATGAGGGTTAAATGAGTTACTATTTGTAAAGGGTATAGAACAATGCCTAGCACATGGTAAGCACTATAGAAGTGTTGGCTGTTACTAATATTATCCTTCCTACAGAATTTTAGAGTTTGGTAAGAAATTATTCAAAGTAAAAATCAATGGGGGGGAGTAAAAAATTGAATTTTAACAAAAGATCTTAGGGGAATGTGATTTAACTTGAGTTTCCAACATATGGACATTGGTGTTGAGAATCCCATCATATCAGAAGAAGTACTGCTGCCGAAATCAGGACAGTATGTGAATAAAACTTCATAGGTACATTTACTTGCAAATGTGTAAAATACTTTCACTTACATTATCTCAAATGCTTAATCAGCATGCCTCTAGATGCTTCAGAAATCAGCGTAGCATCTAAGGTCAGGCCAACTCTCCTCTGAGGGTTCAGGAAATTATATACATTTTGCTCTTTTCTATCTCTAAAGGTCCAACCTAATTAAGTCTTAAATTGCTCCAAACATAGGAGATTTGAAGATGCAGACTCCTGACCCACTGATAATTTGGTATTTACTTATATTCTGTCCCCCTGAATACCTCTCTTCTCTCCAGCTCTGAGAAGAAAAGACAAAACTTTCTCCTGTGTCATTTTCAAGTAGAAATCCTCTTTCTCTGAAATCAGATCAGCATGTTCCTACGTATTTATCAATATGTAAAATAATGTAGATTTCCCTTCTCTATGGAAATAATTTGAACAATTTGATGAAAAGTGTGGTAAATGAAGATTAAATGCTGTGTCACACCTGATTCCCCTGAGCTGTGAGCACTAGAGTCAATCAGCCGCTCTCATTGCCCTCTGACATTTAGATTTTTCCCCAGAGCCTACATCTGTGGGAATGTTTCTTTCTATCATTATCCAGAACAAACACCAGGAAACACTAGTTCTTCAAAGTTTATCTTTTAAACAGAGGCCATTTTACAATGGGGTTGTATAGGTCTTCACGTATGTGAGGGCCAGGTAGGTGATCCTCCTTGTGGTATGCTTTTGGCAAGGGAGTAATGGGCTGAGAAATCCGACTATCCAAAACATAAATTCCCCCATATACCAAGAGATGCCTAAAATCTGCTGTTATGGTATTCTTTCTTGGGTTAAGACTTTGTGCTATTGAGGAGCATAGAATAAGGTTTACATTATTTCTAGTCATTTATATTTTACTGTGAACGTCTAATAGCTTTAGGGTATAGGGTCCTGTAAGGAAGGCGGGTAGGGGACCTTGAGCTTGACAATTACATCTCCCCTCTCCCTACAGATCCAAACAAAAAGACAGCCCTCTGGCATAGTGGTCATTCTCTTGTGGGGAATATTTGCTGCTCAGATGTTTTTATCTTAGGGACTTGCTATAGGATGAAATAAACAAACAAAAACCCCACACAAAAAAAAAATCACTTAGTGCAAGTAAGTGCTATAATTGAGTCCCAGACTGCCTCAGCTATAAGAGGCAAAAGATACTCAGATTTCTGCCTCAATAATAATTTGGTATTTATTTGAGTGTTTCTTCCCCTTGACAATTTCTCTCCTCTCCTGTTTTGAGTGAAAAAAGACCTATCTTTAGGTCTTTAGGACTGAGGCGTAAACTCTTCAGCGGTTCTCATCAAGCCTTCAGAGGCTCTGCATTTGAAGGGGGCCTGCTGCTGCCTGTAGTCAAAGTGCCCACTATGGGGTAAATTATGCGCAGAGCTGCCAGGATGCACAGCTGCCATTAGGAGTATCCTTGTACTTCCCAGTTTAGCAGTGAAAAACAATTGTAGGAAGAAATTGCTGGTGGGCGGGAAGGTAGTGTTTGAGTAACTGAGATAATCATTAAGTAATTAATCAGTGAGGTCTGACACAGCCACCCTTTTATTCTGCCCTTTCATAGCACCTTGGAACATTTCAAGAGGTGGCTCCAGCCAGATAAAGTAGCCGTCAGCACAGAGGAGGTCCAGTATCTGATTCCTCCAGAGTCACAGGTTGAGAAGCCAGTGGCCGAGGACGAGCCAGCAGCCGGGGACAAGCCAGCAGCAGCAGAACAGTAAATTACACACACACACACACACACACACACACACACACACACACACACACACACACACACACACACGCCGAGCAGCTGTCTCGGGTCCAGAGCGAGCAGCGTGGAGCTCAGTGACAGCAGCAGGGAGAAATCCACTGAAGGAAAAAACCCAAATTTCCACTCCACAAAGAAAACAGCTGCAAGCCCCCAGGGACTTACCTGGGGCTGGCATGTGTGACTGTCTCGGATGAAGTGACTGACCCAGTGCACACTGGATCAAAATGCTGCTTTCCTCTGTGTCTCACAGCTTGGCTGAGCTCTGTCTCTGCAGGTTAGAAGTCTGCTAAAGATCAAATGTGAAAGTACTTGGAGAAACTGAGGCCTCTTATGTGTAATGTGTAAGTTAAGTGAGCCATATATTTTCTTGCCTCTTCCGGACATTCATGCTTGTGTCCCAAGCATTCCCTTGGTGAATTGTCACGTGAGTGGGGCCAGTAAGAGTGAAGTCTGCTCCTTGAATCCAAGCCCCATCTGGGGCTTCTCTAACAAATCTGTAGTAAGTATACGGACTCCAGGGAGAGAGGCTGGGCTTCTTTCTCTCATTTGTTCCTTGTGGAACAAATGGGCAAAAGAAGTGTGAAAATGTGGGTGTTTATGTCTGTGTATATGTATTTTTTACTTCATGCATGGCTTCTCCTCCAACTTCCTCCTGCACTTAAAAAGGGCCAGGTTCCAAATTAGACTTGTAAATATGGTGTTAGTGTTTGACACTACTCCTGGATAGTTCCAAACATCTTCCTTGTGGCAGGTTTCCTGGCTGAGCCCGAGCTTCCCTCCCTGTTTATTGTGTTCATGATCAGTATGTGTTTCCATATAAAACTTTTCTCAACGGAATAGCAGTGTCTGTGGTGCTGTTGACTCGATTGCTCCTGGAAGGATGTTCCCAGGCAGCAGGAGGTAAAGACAAATGCATGCAAAGGCATGGGAGCTGGCCACTTTGCCAGCCTCCTGTTATTAGCATGTGCCCTCAGACAGTCCAGACTTTGGTGTTCTGAGGCCTTAGCTCCATGGGCCTTCTTCCTGGGTAATAGTTTACAAATCCCTAAAGATCAGTAGGGTGGCTGTAAAAATCTTCCGATCGAGAGAGGAGCTAAAAGAAAAAATAGAATAAATAAATCTTCTGAGAACATTTGCTTTTTTTTTTTTTTTTTTTTTTTTTTTGAGGTCGCACTTTGTTGCCCAGGCTGGAGTGCAATGGTACAATCATATAGTTCACTGTAACCTCAAACTCCTGAGCTCAGGTGATCCTCCCACCTCAGCCTCCTGAGTAGTTGGAATTACAGGTGCAAACCACTACACCCGGCTATTGTTTGCTCATTTCTAAATCAAGTATTTGTCTTGCCCAAAAGGATAGGAACCAATTAGGTGGTTCCATATACTTGCTTAGTGATACAAATATTTTTATTGTAATATTCAAATATACTTTCCTCTTTTTTTTTTTTTTTTTTTTTGAGATGGAGTTTTGCCCTTGTTGCCCAGGCTCGAGTGCAATGGCGCGATCTTGGCTCCCCGCAACCTCTGCCTCCCGGGTTCAAGCAATTCTCCTGCTTCAGCCTCCTGAGTAGCTGGGATTACAGGCATGCACCACCACGCCCGGCTAATTTTGTATTTTTTTTAGTAGATTTGGGGTTTCTCCATGTTGAGGCTGGTCTCGAACTCCTGACCTCAGGTGATCTGCCCGCCTCAGCCTCCCAAAGTGCTGGGATTACACGCATGAGCCACCGCGCCTGGCCGCTCCTCTTTTTTCCTTCTTTATTTTTTTTTTGTTTTTTTGAGACAAGGTCTCCTCACTCTATCACCCAAGCTGGAGTGTAGTGACAATCATGGCTCACTACAGCCTCAACCTCCCAGGCTCAATCCATCCTTCTGCCTCAGCTTCCCCTGAGTAGCTGGGACTATAGGCATGTGCCACTATGCCTGGCTAATTTTTAAAAAAAATTTTTGTAGAGACAGGGTCGCATTATTTTGCCCAGGTTAGTCTCGAACCTCTGGGCTCAAGCTATCCTTCCACCTTGGCCTCTCAAAGTGCTGGGATTACAGGTGCAAGTCACCATGCCTGGCCCTTTCCTCTCTTTTCATTGACTAATGGTTAACCTTTTTTTTTTTTTTTTTTTTTTTTTTTTGAGACAGGGTCTCACTCTATCACCAGGAGGGCTGGAGGGCAGTGGCACGGTCTCAGCTCACTGCAGTCTTGACCTCCTGGGCTCAGGTGATCCTGCCTCAGGCTCCCGAGTATCTGGGACTACAGGTGCATACCACCATGCCCAGCTTATTTTTTATATTTTTTGTAGAGATGGGATTTCGCCATGTTGTCTGGACTGGGTTAACACCTTTATTAGTAGATTTAGTCGCTTTATTCCTACTGCATTTTATTGGCAGGATACGTGTGACACAGAGAGTGGCTCTCTGTGGCCCCTGGGTACATTGAGGAAGCCAGAATATTGACGGTCATCCAGGCTTGCAGGCTGCCATCTCCACCTGGAGTTCAGATGCCAGGCCTCACTCCTCTCCAGGGCCATCTGATGGCTTTCAGGATGGATTTTTTTGTTTTGAGATGGAGTCTCACTCTCTTGCCCAGGCTGGAGTGCAGTGGCGCCATCTTGGCTCACTGCAAGCTCTGCCTCCCGGGTTCACACCATTCTCCTGCCTCAGCCTCCCGAGTAGCTGGGACTACAGGCGCCCACCACCACGCCCGGCTAATTTTTTGTATTTTTAGTAGAGACGGGGTTTCACCGTGTTAGCCAGGATGGTCTGGATCTCCTGACCTCATGATCCGCCCGCCTCGGCCTCCCAAAGTGGTGGGATTACAGGCGTCAGCCACCGTGCCCTGCCAGGATGGATTTTTTAAAGAAAGAAAAACTAAAATTTTTATTCTCCCTGCATGATAAACAAACAACAATTATTCTTCCTCAGAAACAACAGTTTAAGAAAAAAAAAGCAATGAGGTCCCAAAACACTCTCCCAAAGTGCAGATCATGGGATGGTAAGAGAATGTTTCTGTACCCGAAAATAGTGTTTCTGTCATTCAGGCAAGATTCTAGCTTTGCCTTTTCCCTACTTCCCATTTTCTACCTCAGAAACAGAAATTGGAATATGAGAGGGTGGAGAATCGCTTTAGAGGAACTGAAACAGAGTTTGTAAGTTGAATGGTTTCTAGCCCATGTGTAAACCTGGGTGCGGTGTGAGAGGAGCTCTGCACGACTCCACGGAAGGGAACCCAGTGAGTTGTAGCTATAGTTTCTTAATTGATTTAGAGGTGACAGCGTAAACAATGGCTCTAAAAAAAGGTGAAACTCCATTTACCAAAACCAAATTTGACACTAGCTCCCAAAGCTAACTTGTTAATACAGATTTATCTTAGGCTAGTGAAGTGGCACTAAATTTGAAACTGAGAGTCTTGGGTGCTGTCTTTTATCTGTCTTGTGGCTTACTGAATGGTCACAAATAAGTCAAGTGACCTCTTCATGTTCCAGTTCCTTTTCAGTAATGGGACTAACCATAGGAAAAAATAGTATTGGCCTAAAATGCTGATCTCTTTCCTTTGACCCTGAAAACTCCAAGGAACTCCAGTTAGGGCTTCCTCAACCTAGTAAGATTTGTAAGTTGGTAGAATCTTACTTATCACCCCTGACTTTCTTCCTTCTTCCTCCTTAGTGAAATAGACAGCAAGTTAGAGCAAATGGAGCAATATTTAGTGCTAAAGCTTTAGAGCCAGGGGAGGGTAATCACCAACACGGGCCAAGCCGTAATGACTTGGTACACCCAGAGAAGGCTGGGCTGCAGCCAGGCAGATAACCTAAGGGACTGCTGCTGTTCTCTCCCGGCACACACACGTGCTCATCACTCAGCGCCTGGCAAGATCAGGGCTGGAGTGACACAGGCATGCATCCAATACCTGATCCAGAAATAGGCCCTGGCTGCAGGCACAGCAAGTAAACAAACGTCCCGCCAGCTGTGGCCGAGGTGCACCCTTCCAAGCAGACCTGCCCACCAGGACCATTGCTGGAAGACGGAAGCCCTGGAGCCTCTCCCTGGCCCTGTTTTGGAAGGAGTCCTCCAAGGCTGAGAACAGCCCCAGCCACATGAAGCAGGCAAGGTTTTCTTGAAAATTCTAAATTATCCCAACCAGCTTTGGCCCTACGTCAGTTATAAGACTCAAGATAGGATACTGCCATTGGGATGTTAGGTTTGTGCGAGGGCTGTTTACTTGAGCCCAGAAATAGGTTATTTAAGGCAGAGATTCATTCATCTAACCAATATTTGTTGAGCCCCTGCCATGTTCCAGGCATGGTGCATGGTGTTAAATAAAGCAGAACGGCATCTTCCCACAT